>NC_000011.10:76510241-76813271 GCF_000001405.40 Homo sapiens
ACTCTGAAGGTTGGGGCAAGAGGATTGCTTGAGCCTAGAAGATCAAGGCAGTGAGCCATGATCACACCATTGCACTCTACCTTGGGTGACACAGCAAGACCTTGCCTAAAATTAATTAATATAGTATAATGTAATAATTGATTCACAAATAAAAATGCCATTGATACAGACCTTAGAAACTGGAACCTTGCAGAAATAGGAAGTATCTAGGGTGGGGTAAGTGACAGACTTCTCTGACAGACCCCTGCTTTACGCACTGAGTGCTCACAGAGTCGGGGTAAGGGGTTGGGGAGCAGCCAAAGGTCCTCACAGTTTGCCTCGCTTGGTGGTGGAGTCACTGCCTCACAAGCCAGGGCAAGGGCTATCAGTACTTCAGTATACTCAGTGGTACTGTGCCCAAGGTAGAGCTTTGTCCACAAACTGGGGGCTGGGCAGAATAAGAGAGCTCTCACATCCATACTGCTCTTGCCCAGAACTTAGCCTTAGTAGTAGGTAGCTGAGTGCAGGATGATATAATCTGAAGTCTGGTTTCTCCTGAGAAGAAAACCTTTCAACTGGGAGCTGGCAGAGAAGGAATCCCGAGTTCTTCTTCACTGCAGCCATCTGGAATGGAATGTACCCCTTGCTGAGCTAGTAGTGGGGAAGGAGGAAATGCTCTTGGTTTAAATACCACAGATTTTGCCTTTCTCAATGAATTTTTTGAGATTTTATTGAGTAGATGTTTTTTCATTTATTATTTGCCCTTGGCACGATTTCTGGACCCTTTCAATGGTGGTTTTATAATTTTTACCAGCTTCACTGGGTTAGGGGGCCAGCAGAGCCGATGCCGCCGTGCCAGATATCAATATTTGGAATGGCTTTAAGTACATTGGAATTACTTTCTTTTTAAGAGACTGTAGAATTCTCCAATGCAACTATCTGAGCCTGCTACTTTTTGGCAAAGGGGTACAGCTCCTGAAATTTTTATCTGTGGAAATTTGTCTATTTACATTTTTTCTCTTTTCTGGGGTCAATATTGATAAGTAATAACTTCCTAGAAAATTACCTATTTGATCCAGATTTTAAACTTATTTGCATATAATTGAGCAAAGTCATTTTAAGATTATCTTAATTTTTTCTCTGTGTGCTTATTTCTTTAGAAGCTCCTTTTTATATGTGCTTTAAGAATTACTTAATTGTGGTCGGGTCTGGTGGCTCACACCTGTAATCCCTTTGGGAGGCCAAGGCTGGTGGGTCCCTTGAGGTCAGGAGTTCAAAACCAGCCTGGCCAACATGGTGAAACCCTGTCTCTGCTAAAAATACAAAAAAATTAGCCGGGCATGATGACAGGCCCCTGTAATCCCACCTACTCGGGAGGCTGAGGCAGGAGAATCACTTAAACCCAGGAGGTGGAGGTTGCAGTGAGCTGAGATTGCACCACTGTACTCCAGCCTGGAGACAGAGTGAGACTCCATCTCAAAATAATAATAATAATAAAATAATAATAACTGTAATTCACTAATGAAATAAATACTAGAAATTATTCCCCCCACAAACCTCAGTGCTTAAGATTTATTATAATCAGAATCTTAAAATTTCCATAATAATTACTGAATTTTTACTGTTCATTATGAACTTTACAGTTGTGATTTATTTAATCTTAACAACAGCCTTATGAGGTATATACTAATAGAATCATTATTTTATGGATGAGGAGACTGAGTCACAGAGATTATGTAGCCTGTCTAATTATATACTTAGATGTCATAATTTTAACAACTTTGTTGGCTACAAGAAATTTAAAATTATGTAAGGCTATTAAATAAATAGATCTGTTTGCTTCCTAATGTCTTAACCTAAATCACCATCTCAAAAAGTAATATAATTCTTAGTTGTCTATAACAACATATTTTAACTCATGAATTATTTCAGTGAAGATAGTAGTGGGGAAAGAGTGTTACCAAAAATTTCCTTCCTTAGCTACCAATTTAAATTTATAGTTGGCATAGGAAATTTTATTTTAACCCTTTTCTCATTTACCCCGAGAATACTTGCTGGTGGTGCTTGCAGCTGTAGCATTTACCCCAAGATAACTTTGCCAGGAAATATCTTGCTTTGATTATTATTTTTGCATTGCTCTAGTATATTGACTTTGGAAACAAAAGACATTATTCTATTTATAGCATTCTGTTTTTAGTAGTGGTATTTCCGTTTACAAAATATAGTAATTCTCAATTGCTGAAAATGTCAAATCCTAGAAGCTAGCATTCCTATGTGTGATGTTAACATAGTTCTCAAAAACAGTTTTTATATTTTATTTTCACATTGAAAATCACTCAGATTTGTTTCAGCCTCAAAGAGCATGTTTATATAAAATTAAATGAATGCAGGCAGCAAGCTACACTTTTTTTTTTTCTAAATGGGAAAAGGGTTAAAAGAATGTTTACATTTGGAAAGTCAATGTAACAATTATGGCATTATAAAGAAAAATTTAGAAAATGTAAAAAAAAAAAAAACCATAAATCACCACCCTAGCACTTTAGTTTTATTTTTGCCTATCACCTTCAAGTTCTTGTCCACACACATTTTTTTGTGTAGGTAGAATAATAATGTATCTTTTTTTGTATCCTGTATTTGACAAAGTGAGCTATTAAAAATTATTTTAAAAGAAGGCAGTTAAAAAATTCAAACAAAAAATGTTCTTTGTCTTTATAATTTTCAACAGCTTTTATGTAAGTTTAAGGAGTTGTGTGAATATTTTGGCGAAGTTGGGGATACATAAAAGCACATTACCTTTTGTTTCTGACCTCTTATGCTAGTCCTTTCATCCTAAGTATTTGTATGGAAAGGATTATTTGCCTGTAAAGTCAAGTCCAGTGGATAATTTGGTTTGAAAGCTCTTGTATAACACAATCATAGACAAAAGATTTGTTTTTCTTTATGAAGTTTGTTAATGCAATGTTTTAGTTGCATTTCTGAAATGAGAAATAAACTAAGAAAGATAGGAATTTGAGGAATAAAAGTTTAGAGTTTCATCAGTATTAAAAAAAACTTCTCTTTAGACAAGACTGAGTAAATGTGTGTGACTACTGCCCTCTTGGGTTGGTATAAGGGACATGTATTTAAAAATAATTTGTGCTGAGATTTATCTTTCTTCTTTCAAAGGTGTTAAAATCATCACACAACAGGTTCAACCAAGTAAAATCTTACCCAAACCAGTGACAGCAACTCTACCCACCAGTAGCAATTCCCCTATTATGGTGGTTAGCAGTAATGGTGCAATTATGACAACTAAACTGGTAACCACTCCTACTGGTAAGTTCTCTTGAGCATCAGTTCATTTATTCATCATACATTCATCAAACAGTTTCTCTGTACCAGCAATATGCTTGACACTTGGGATATAGAGATTAATGGGACAGTTTTTCAAAGAGGCCTTTCTTGATTCTCACACCCCTACTGACTGCCCTGACGTTAACTTTCTTTTGTTATTCTTTCTAATGATCCTTTGTTCTTTTCCTTTATAGCACTTCCCATAATTTCTTAGGTATCTAGTTGTATATTGATTTGTTTGATATTGTTCCTTTTATTGGACCATAAGCTCTGTGAGCGTAAGGGACCATATCCTTTTTATTTACCACATATATAGAGCTAGTCTGTAAGTAGGTGCTCAGTCAGGATTTGCTGAATGAATTAAAACAGTCCCAACCCACAAGGATTTCACTCTGATGAAGTTGAGAAGAGTATATGTTACATTACAGTTTAGTAAGCGTTACTGAGACTGAGGGAAGCACAGAATGGTATTGTGCCCTGATAGGCAAGCAACCAGCATATGCTGGAGGAAGTGACAGTGTTGAACATTTTGGATAGTAACACTATCTAAAATGTGACCTTGAGCAGATTACTTAATCTCTCTAAATGTTTTTCTTTGTTTATTTGTTTTTGTTTTTTTCCTTGTTTATTTAAATGGGATAATAATACCTATGCCATAACGTTATTATAAGTACTAAATGAAATCAGGTATGTAGAAAGTCCCCGGCATAGTGCTCAATAGTTGTCACTATTAATATTATAATTAGCCATTACCGTTATTTTAAATGTATGACTCTTTAACCAAACTTTTTGAGGATGGCTAGTATTTAGATGACAGAATTTAAATAGTGTAAAATGATACCTGTCTCAAGCTTATAAGCTGTCATTTATTGGCCAGTGTGTAAAGGTCATTACAGACATTGCACTTCATATCCTTTAGGCTTTATTATCTCCATTTTCAGCAACTTCCCCAAGGTCATGTAGCCAAAAAGAGGCAGAACTGGGGATTGAACCAGTTTGACTCCAAAACCTGTGCTTTCTTTTGTTTTTTAAATTGCAGTAAAATATATATAACATGAAATTTACCATTTTCAAATATATAGTTCATTGGCCTTAAGTACATTCACATTGTTGTATAACCATCAACACCATCTATCTCCAAAACGTTTTCATCTTCCGAAACTGAAACTCTGTGTTCATTCAACAATAATGCTTCATTTCCCCACTTTCTGAAGTCCCTGGCATCACCATTCTACCTTCTGTCTCTATGCAAAGCCTGTGCTTTTAAACACTATTATTCTTTAGTATTTTTATCATACTTCCCCTAAACTTTTCTAAATAGATAACAGTGTTATGCATATATGATTCTTCATGTTATGGAAAAGTAGTGAAGAATAATATTTTGTCTATTTATGTGTCTGTGTTATAATAAGTGTTTCTTTTTTTAACAAAAACTTAATTTGAAATTTTTCCAGATGTAATTTGCCAAATTCAAACTATGTATCCATATAGCATATTTACTTTGCACTAGTTTTGTGGGTTTTTTTTTTTTTTCATTCAGATGTATGCTTATAACCAATATAAACTAATTCTACTTATTGTTCCTCCCGTTCTCCCTTTTTGGGTAATGGTTGTATTTTTCAAAGGTGAATAACTTGGTAAAAGCATTTTTTTGGGGGGGGGGAGGAGGCGAGTATTGAAAATGGCTATCAAAGTGGTCCGTGAATTTGATTATCATGAAAGATTTCTTCAAGTGAAGATGATGTTATCTTAGTCATTTTTTTTTCATTCTCCCTAAGGCTATTGATGCTTAATTTAGGAATAGCCTTTCTGAGTTACTGGATTTGTAAGAAACTACAACAGACTCATGTAGTTAGCTTTTAATTCCTGTTTGGAGAAAAGAAAAAAGTGTTAGAAATAGTGGGGAAGGGTATAAAATCTTTTGAGACACATGAAGAAAAATAGTCTAACAGGTCTAAAGTTGAGGAAATAGGTAAATAGAGAAAATTTTAGGCTAAAGAGAAATATTCCTGGCAACTCTAGGCAGCTTTAACTTTAATCTTTACTAAAATGATAGAATAACCAACCCTTTAAAGGTGGACGTATATTTAGAGGGTAGCAGAGTACAAAGCAATGAAAGTTTGTAAAACTTTAGGCAAACAATACTGCCTTATTTGCTCAATGCCAACATTGGGTTTGGCACTAAGACAGCATAAAACAGATGCAGAGACCTTAAAATCTATGACAGAAATATCTAAAATACTCTGGCAGGAAAGATGATTAAATTTGTTTCTTTTGGCATAAAACTAGTAGAAGAAGGGTAGTGGAAGAAGGGAACAGAGTTAACTCTACTTTTTCTTGGGTTAGTAATTTGATGCAACACATCACAAAATTTTATGTGTAAAATTAATTTAAATTGACTTGGCTGTAGTACTTGCTATATGTGTTGAAAACTGGCTGTAAAATTATAAATTAATGTCTTGACACCTTGAAATTCCATTTTCAAGTTATAGCAATGTAGATTATATGGAATTACAGTTAAACTGTATTAATTATCATTCTTCTGTAAGCAATGACAAGTTTTTCTTTTGGCTTTTCCCTTTCTGTAGGCACACAAGCAACCTATACCCGGCCAACAGTGAGCCCATCCATTGGTCGGATGGCTGCAACCCCTGGAGCTGCAACCTATGTGAAAACTACGAGTGGTAGCATCATTACAGTAGTACCCAAATCATTAGCTACCTTGGGGGGCAAGATAATTAGCAGTAATATAGTTTCTGGTAGGTATATCTGAAATATGTTAAAGGTATAGGTGGCCTTCATTGAGAGGAAAAAAAAAACTTACTTCATTGAAGGATTATATTTGATCTCAATTTTTTGCTTAGAAATCTAAAGCTTTGTTTTAGTCCTTATGTTTCATGATTAAATAAAGTTTTTAGTTTTAATATTCAATATTCACATATAAAGCTTTTGATAGTTTTAAAATGGAAAGAACCTTTAGTTGCTTTTAGTCAGAGTGGAAAGATTATAGTTTAAATTTGCATAGAGATTTTTCATTTGCAAAGTATCCTTCTATTTGTCAACCTATTCAGACCCCATAACAACTCTGAGGTGGTTGCTATTGTGCTGAATTTACAAATGAAGATAGATTTGGCTTTAGAGAGATCAAATTGACCTGTCCAAGACCAATTAGAGTTAGAAAGTGGAAGAACTCTTATTTGTTCTGAATATGTTTTAGGGAACATATCTCATAATTTCAATTACTGATGTCACTTTAGTTTATTAAAAATAAAAATATTTGAATACTTTATTTGCCTTTTGCCATTTATATTAACTTTGCTTTTCAGAAATATTTTACTTTAATAGTGAAAGCCAACCATCTGCCTATTTATTGGTATATTGAAACCATACCTGGTTTTTATTGGCTCATTAATCTCTGCAGTTCTTGGGTTGTGGACCCTAATGTGGAATGTTAAAATGGCATCTGTTTTCATCGATTATTATTTTTAATTAAAATGATGTAAATAATCCCAGATTAAGCAAGACTGTAGACTTTAATTATCTACCATTTTTGTAGACAAGTCATATTTTGTATGCCCCAGGTGAGTTGTTCTAACATTTTAAAGTCAAGGGATTGAAGTTCCTGGCAGTAATTTGATGTTGCTGATAACTCAGGGAGTGAAAAAAAAAGCAAAGCAGAGCATGATATTGGCATAAAGTGTTATATTTAAAGATGTTAATTTTGGCTCTACTTTTAAGTGTAAGTGAGAAAATCCGATGTTTGCCAGACTGAGGAGGGTGAAACCAGTAGGGAAAGAATCATTGTACTCCAGCTTTTAAGAGGATACTTTAAATAACACAGTTAAAACTTAAATTGTAATTTATTACTTGACAATATCTTTACATAGTATAAAGCACTTACTCAGTTAAACATTTGTCAAAAAGGGATCTTATATTTCATTGGTAGGTAGTTTTTTATGACCTTAAGGATTTTTCTTTACTTATACATGAATTTATAGTTTCATATAGCTTGAAGGAATGTTTGGATGTCATGAGTCCTCTATTTTCAGACCTAATGCATAATGTAGCTGCTTTGTACCTGGTTAGAGCAATACAAGCAAGCACATTTTCCTAAAAGCAGAGATGTCATTTGAAATTTATATATCTTATACATGTATAATGTGTTATCCATCTTTGTATTGAATTATAAAACCATTCATGTTAGTTGCTACTTCAAGTGCATGAGTGTACATGAGTAGAGACTTTTCCAGCACTATAGGATATACTTGGCATACAGTTTAAACATACAGTTTAAACAACTTTATTCATTGTGTGGTGCTCATTATGTCTCTATCTCTGCTTCATTGACACTTTTATTCCAAAGAACTTCTTCTGGTTGCTCTAAACTGATCCTTATGTTACATCTCACTATTCTTTATAAAGACAATTTTCTTATTTTATAATATTGTTGATCCATGATACTGGGATTATAGGTTAGTTTTAAAATCTTTCATTGCCTATTTATAGTAAACTGATAAGGCTGGTTGAATGAATTTACACAGTTTTCTGTCTTCATCCATGAGCAGATGCTTTTTCTAGGGTCCCATCTTCCCCAAACAAAAAAGAAGTACTTTCTTTTTTTTTTTTTTTTTTTTAAGACAGAGTATCACTCTGTTGCCCAGGCCAGGGTGCAGTGGCATGATTGGCTTGTTACAGCGTCAGCCTCCTGGGCTCAAGCAATCCTGACACCTCAGCCTTCCAGGTAGCTAAGACTACAGGCCCACACCACCATGCTTGGCTAATTTTTGTAATTTTTCTAGAGACAGGGTTTTGCCATGTTACCCAGGCTGGTCTCAAACTCCTGAGTTGAAGCGATCTGCCCACCTTGGCCACCCAAAGTGCTGGGATTACAGGCATGAGCCACCATGCCTGGCTCTTTTCTTAAAATACACTCAAACATCTAGCTATAAGACTAGAAGGCTTTAAAAAAGATACTTTCCCTCTCATTGTGGGAGAATTTGGAAACTACAGCCAGGTTCAAAGAAAATTAAAAACCTTTGATTTTTACTATCCATAGGACTGTGTTAAAATTTAGGTATATTTCTTTTTATTCATTTTTCTATTCGTTTGTATAAAGTGTGTGTGTGCGCGCATATATATATATATATATATTTTTTTTTTAATTGGGATCTAATATAGTCAGATTTTATCCGTATTTCCTATAGTAATGTTATTTTCCCATGCTAGTAAATGTAGTTTGACATGCCCCCCTCATATTTAACCATTTTCTTATTGTAGCAAGTTTTAGGTTACTTATAGGCTGTCTTGTGTGTGTGTGTGTGTGTGTGTGTCATTATAAATAATTCTATGACGAACATTATTATACATAAATTATTTTGTGGAATTCTTACTTCCTCTGTATAAATATCCTAGAATGCAAGTTAATGCTTCCAAAGTACTTTCTAGAAAGTTCTTTTTATTAGAACAAGTAATTAAATGGAAGCCATGACTATCTTTGTAGTTGATTCATATCTTTTTTTTTTTTTTTTTGAGACAGACTCCTGCTGTGTCACCTAGGCTGGAATGCAGTGGTGTGATCTCTGCTCACTGCTACCCCCGCCTCCCAGGTTCAAGCAATTCTCCTGCCTCAGCCTCCTGAGTAGCTGGGATTACAGGCGCCTGCCACCACGCTCGGCTAATTTTTGTATTTTTAGTAGAGACAGGGTTTCACCATGTTGGCCAGGATGATGTCAAACTCCTGACCTCAGGTGATCCACCTGCCTTGGGCTCCCAAAGTGCTGGTATTATAGGCGTCAGTTACTGCACCTGGCCAATTCATATTTTATAGCGTCAAATATTTATTTACATGTGTATACATTAGATTATCAGATTTGTAAGTTTTTTTGTGAGCTTTGTTGAGGGTTAGATGAATAATTACATTGGATTCTTCAGAGTTGAACTCACTACCTTGATTCTAAGGACGTTATGAGAACCTGTGACAACAGCAAAACTTTAATTCTCCTAATCTTTAGTACAGTGTCCAGGAAAGGAGCTATTGTTTTTGCACTTTTTCATTCGTTCATTCTTTGAGCAAAGCAACATAAAACATTACCTAAGAGACCAAGATTGTCAGGTGATTTTAGAATCTGTAAATAGAATAGTAAAATCTGAGCCAATAAATTTGTGTTCTTCTTTAAGCCTACCTATTATAATGCCCAAACTTTTACAGGGATCTTTTTAAAAAATAAGAATGCCTGGAATGCATCAATATCATAGTTCATTATTATCTAAATGGGATATACAGTTATTTGCACCCATTATATCTCGATTGTTTTATAAGTGAAGATTATATAGGTGGGTCCTTCTGATATGCTACGAGCCAGATACTCTGCTGTGTGTTGTGATACAGAGGAATATATACATGAGTTTTATTATCTGCCCTAAGGAATGCTAAACAAGTGAACTTGTATAATTTTGCTGTAACATGGGAACAGAAGTCCACTGTGAAAGCATAGAGGGTGACTTTTTTTTAATGAGTAATACTTCTTCAATGTAATGTATTTATCCCCTGATACAGAAACATGTTCACTAGAATTTCAGAAATTTATAATTGATCATTCTATCAATTATAAATTATATTCTATTTTAATATAATGTTAGACTTGCTTTTCCTTATGCTATTCCTTTTTCTTCTATTTTCTGACATTTGCCCCCCCACCACATTTTGTTAAACTTGTGGACTTGGTTTGCAACTATCATATAAATTGAAAAACCTCTGTAATGGAAGGGATTAGACATTTTAGTAGGTAAAAATATAATTCATTTGTTAAGCAAGTTTTGTCAAAAAGTGGTCCTTGTACTTTGGTATAAAGTCAAAAGCATAGTAAATCATGTCAAAAGAGGTCTGTATGAAACCATGTCAAAAAAGGTCTATAGAGTTAATCACATGTGAGGGATTAAAGTTAATTAAGAGTTAAAGTTAGTATAAGTGAATCATGGGCAGCTTGGTTTTTGAAGTTCTTAACAGCTGACTGTTCAGAGACTACAAATAAATGGAAAAACAGTTGTGAAGCTAGTTCATAGATTAAAATGCTCTTTTATGTAACCTCAGAGCATGTTACCTTGGACTAATGAGACATATAATGGCAAATATATTGTAAAGACATTTTTTGTAGCAGTGTTGCCAAAATTAACATATAACTAGAATATTCTTATTCTTAGTGTAACTTTGTATACACTAAGTTTACACAAACTTAGTGTAAGTTTGTATAAAACTTAAGTAAGGAATATTAAGGTTTTCCAGTGGAAAATAATAAAATTGTGTTTAATTATTTTTTGAAGACATATTGCTCATGTTTTTACTAAGTAATAATTCTGTGCTTAGTCATTTGATAAATGATATGTAGGCCTATAGAAGAAGAACTTGACATGCCTCTTTTCATAAGCAGAGGAAATTACAGGAGCAAAAGTAGCATTGGAATTTGTATGCTCAAAGACCAATGTGGAAACCAGCACATTAAAGGAGAGGCGTATGTTAGTTAATTCTAAAAATTAAGGTCTGACAAAGCCTGGAAAGCTAGGCAGAGGAGTTTGGGCTTTGTGTGGTAGGTAACGGGAAGCCATAATGAAGAAGTTACTTCTTAGATCAAAGTTTATGGTGTGTACTCTGGAGTACATGCTAATTAGATCAAAATGGTAGATTAAGGGACAGATTATATATTAATAGGATTTTGAAACATGAGGGAAAGTTAGAACTGGGAATGAAATGGGAAATTAGGGAATTTAACCAGTTGACATGTTTCAGGTTCTTGGCATGATAAGTTTAGTTTTTTAAGGATGTAATTGTCATCCACTGTGCTAAGCACTGAGGAATCATAAAAAGGTACAGTGTGGAGATTAAGGGGCTTTCATCTTGTTGAGAGGTATAGGGAGTTAAGACGAGGAAACAGGCCAAGCCTGGTGGCTCATGCCTGTAATTCCAACAATTTGGGAGGCTGAAGCAGGAGGATCCCTTGAGGCCAGGAGTTCAAGACCAACCTGGGTAATGTAGTAAGACCCCATCTCTACCAAAAAATACAGAAATTAGCCAGGCATGGTGGCACATACCTGTAGTCCTAGGTACCTAAGAGGCTGAGATGGGAGGATTGTGTGAGCCCAGGAGTTGAAGCCTGCAGTAGATATGATCATGCCTCTGCACTCCAGCCTGGTAACAGAGTGAGACCCTGTTTCTCTTAAAAAAAAAAAAAAAAAAGTCCAGGCACAGTGGCTTACACCTGTAGTCCCAACACTTCGTGAAGCTGAGGCAGGAGGATCACTTGAACCTAGGAGTTTGAGACCAGCCAGCAGCCAGGGCAACATAGTGAGACCTTATCTCTATAAAAAATCAAAAAGTAAGGTGGGAGGACCACTTGAGCTCAGAAGGTCAAGGCTGCAATGAGCTGTGGTTGCTCCACTCCACTCCCGTCTGGGTGACACAGCAAGACCTTGCCTTAAAAAAAATAAATAAATAAAAATAAAATTTTTTGAAAAAGAGAAGAAGACAAGGAACAAATCAAAGATTTGCGCCAGAATTTACAACTGAAGGTTGGAAGGTAGATTTGATAGGTAGAAGAGAAGCCAATTATGGAAGGATGTGTGGGAGAGGGCAAAGTAATACTGTGTTTGGATCAGTAGGTATAGACCTATTAGATAGATCTTAATAATTGACAATATAAGTTTATATATGCAAATTAGAGTTTTATCCTCACATTCTCCAGAGTGCTACAGATTACAAAAGCATACATTGAATCTGTGACTTGTTTTGTATATCGTTTACTTTGCTTTTTTTTTTTTTTTTTTTTTTTTTTTTTTCTTGAGATCGAGTCTTGCTCTGTAGCCCAGGATGGAGTGCAGTGGCGCAATCTCAGCTCACTGCAACCTCCACCTCCCGGGTTCAAGCAATTCTTTTGCCTCAGCCTCCCAAGTAGCTGGGATTACAGGCGCCCGCCGCCACCCCCAGCTAATTTTTTTGTATTTTTAGTAGAGATAGACTTTCACCAGGCTGATCTTGAACTCCTGACCTCTGGTGATCTGCCTGCGTCAGCCTCTCAAAATACTGGGATTATGAGCGTGAGCCACCACGCCTGGCCTACTTTGTCTTTTTTAATCACAGAAAAATACATGGCTTATTTCTTTTCATAAATTTTTTCTAGAGCCTAGTGTTATGTAAATTTAAGCATTTACTTCATGTTCTTTTTTGAAGGATTTTCCCATCACTTCAGTCACATATAATACTGGGTTTGGGGGAAATACATGTCATGGAATAGAGATTGTGATTTGTTTCTTTTAACTAGTCAGACAAAGAATATTGATGGTAAAACTGTTGTTCTTAGATTCTGAGTTTTGTGTATAGGTTCTCAGATTCTAAAAAGATGACTGCTTTAACTGTGAATTCTTAATATTCTCTCATTCTGGTATGACTTATAACTTACTATTCCAAGCCTTCATTTTCATCATCTTGACAGCTTTCATGTCATCTAGGAATGACATTTACTATATGTACTAATTGTGTATAATATAAACAAAAATAACCAAGTATCTCTAGTCCTTAACTCAGGCCTCCTTTTCTTCCCCCTTTTCTAAGGAACGACTACCAAAATCACTACAATCCCAATGACTTCCAAGCCCAACGTGATTGTTGTACAAAAGACTACAGGAAAAGGAACGACCATTCAAGGCCTCCCGGGCAAAAATGTTGTCACAACGTTGCTAAATGCTGGAGTAAGTGAGAGCTTCAACTGCAGACTTAGCAATTCACAGAGGATTTAAAGACCAGCTATATAAATATTTGCACAAGGACTTGAGAAGCCCACAATAGCCAGAATGGCTTGGTTTACCACTGCTGGGATATAACAACTGTTAAAGCACCACCAACTGATGCCATTTTTCACAGTAATTTCTAAAGCATGTTGCTCATACTTGCTCATAGCTAGGTTGCTTGTGACCATGATTTAGATGCTTAGCTTTGTCCAGATAGAGAATTCCATTGGCTTAACTGTAGGGGGACTTCAGTTGGAGCACTGTTTTATTCCTGCTTATGGTCAATAGATACTGACTTAGTATTTGGCTTAGGGTGGGCAAAGAGAAATATGTGGGATTAAGACTAAATTAATTGATGGGGATTTGTTACTTTCTTTTTTTTTTTTTTTTTTTTTCATTTTTACCTCTTTGAGCTGTTAAAAAATAAAATCAGACTGGGTGTGGTGGCACATGTCTGTAATCCCAGCTGGTTGGGAGGCTGAGGTGGGAGAATCGCTTTAGCCCAGGAGTTCAAGACCAGCCTTGGCAACAAAGCAAGACCCCCACCTCTACCAAAATTTATTTTAAAACTTAACCAGATGTAGTAGCATGCACCTGTAGTCCCAGTTACTTGGGAGGCTAAGGTGGGAGGATCACATGAGCCCGGGAGTTTGAGGCTGCTATGAGCCATGATCATGCCACTGCACTCCAGACTGGGCAACAGAGTGAGACCTTGCCTCAAACAAAAAATAAATAAATAAATAACAGATTCATTTATAGTTCTGAAGGCAGTTGGTAGGAGGGTTGGAGTTAGACAAAACAGGGCTTTGTTTCTCCATATTGTAGTTGTTTGACCTTGGGTGACATACTCAACCTCTCTCATTCTTAATTTCCTCATGTGTACATTGGGATTGATGATCTTTACCAGTGAGGTTGTTTAGTAACTGGTAGCTATTGTGAAAGTGCTTAGAATAGTGCCTGGCCCATAAGAAGTCCTCAATCATTGATTTTCTTCTTGTTATTCTTGGTACTTACCTGTTTAGGCTTGTTAGTGTCCCTACCTTGCCTAACTTCACTAGAACATGGATTGCTATACTTCACTTAAATAGATCTCATAAAAGCTTCATTGGTAGGGGTCCAGCATTAGATTTTTTCAATGTGTGGGAAAACAGATTGCTCCTAGCCTGAATTTACATAGTAAGCCAAAAGTAAAGCCAGGATTAGAATTCAGATTTTCAGAACCCTTTGTAATATGGTTTGCAATTTCAAAGAACTTGATATGTAAGAGGGGATGCTTTGTATTCTAGGCCCTGTGGTCACAAAGATCCAAGAGTCATGTATGATTCATAGCTGTTAGATATCTCTGATAACAACCGTTTGACACAGGCAGCTCTAGTAAAACAAGCAAATCAACGTATAAGACCGTTTTCTGGGCTGGGTGTGGAGGCTTATGCCTGTAATCCCAGCAATTTGGGAAGGCAAGGCAGGTGGATCACTTGAGCCCAAGAGTTTGAGACCAGCCTGAGCAACATGGTGAAACTCCGTATCTACAAAATTACAAAAATTAGCGTGAAGGTGTGCACCTATAGTCCCAGCTACTTGGGAGGCTGAGGTGGAGGATCACTTGAGCCTGGGAGGCAGAGGTTGCAGTGAGCTGAGATCTTGCCACTGTACTCCAGCCTGGGTGACAGAGCAAGACTCTGCCACTGCCACCCCCGCCAAAGACCACATAGGCACAATCACCTCTACTCACCACTTGCTCACCTATGCATGCCCACAACACACATCAGAAGAGCTTTTTTGAAAAACAGGCTGCTAGTTGGTTTTGTTTGGCTTGAATGGGTCATACTTGGCCAGGGTCCATTGAGCTATTTAATAGATAGGTGTGGTCACTTGCAAACTAGTGGCTCTTGGCAAATGAACTAGAGCTCTTTCCAGAGATGGTGCTGGGAAGAGTATGCATGTGTTGAAATAAGTAATAACACCATTGGCAGATGCTTCATGTTTCCCTTAAGTAATTACAGCAGATAGTTAAAATTGTGATTTTTGTAATTATATTTAGCTCTGAATTCACAATGATTGCTTTTTAGCCAGCTCACGTGGGTGCTTTGTTTTTACTGGCTGCTAAGTTTAGATAGGCACACGTTTAGATGATGCTGGCTAAAAATTAAGAAAAACTGATGAGGTGAAAATTCTCAAATCTTTTCATTTCCATCTTAAGTTTATGGATTTTAATTTTAAAAATTTTAATAATTTAGTAAAGTCACTGTATTTGAACTTAATTTAGTTAAGTTCATGTAAAAAGATGTTGATTTCATGAGTGACCAGAAAATGGTACTTAAGAATAAAGTAGATGAAAGTATAGAAAATGATGAAAAGTTAATGGATATAAGCTATCTAGTTAATAGACTAAAAGGATATTAGTAATATATGAATAGTAAAACATAGGAAGCACTCTGAGTTTTCCCTTCCTTTTTTTCTATATGTAACCTTATATATTATTAACAATATATAACATTCTTTCCTCATGGCATATGTTCATCAAATTTTTCCTATATATAACCTTAGAAAGAATGTTAATACCTCTGCTGATTTTGCTTGCCCATACTTTTTCATGTAGACATTCTACTATATATCCTTATAATTTCATATATGTAGAACTTAGGGGATGTATTTTATGTGTGTGCATTTAGCTACTGGTATATTGCACAGTAATTTTCTAATTACACAAATACTTATTTCAGATAAATTAGAAAATAAATATGTATGTGGGGGTTAAGACTTATAATCCCAATTCTTAGAGACAAGCATTAGCAGTGTACTATACCTTCTTCCAGAATTTTCTGACTATTATAATATATGTATTCCATTAATGGGATAGTGTAATAAGTATTTTTGCATGTGGTAATTTTTTAAAATTCGCTCATCAGAGAATAATTAATTCCTTCTTTGGGTAGAAAGTTGGTCAGATGACTTTCTATATCATTTCAACCAAGTCTACGATTTTTGATTTCCTGGAAACATTATACTTTGTTACATAATCTACAGCCCTTTTTTCATCATCCTGGTAAAACCTTACTGATTTTTCAGTGAGAGGACTTTATCATTTATATGCATATAAATCTCTTATATAATCATTGACTTCAATTTAGGGAGAAAAGACTATTCAGACAGTGCCAACAGGAGCAAAGCCAGCTATCCTTACTGCTACAAGACCCATCACCAAAATGATTGTAACGCAGCCAAAAGGAATAGGTTCTACAGTTCAACCAGCAGCTAAAATCATCCCAACAAAAATTGTTTATGGGCAGCAAGGGAAAACGCAGGTATGCTATAAGATATGATGATTTTTCTTGGCTCTTAAATATTTTCAATTCTTATAATTCCCGGGTAGAAATTTGAAGGAAAAGATCAGCAATCTTTAAGAAATCAGATTGTTAAAAGTTATGTTTGAATGTGTTAATTATTCAAGTATTGTCAAAACTTCATTTATCTTTTCAGTACTTTCTTAAAGATACCTAAATGTGTATGTTGTGCTATCAGCAAAGATTATGGGGAAATAATTACCTAGGAATACAATTTGCTGAAGGTGTATTTTGTGATTTGAGGGGGGTGGTTGAGGGAGGATCATAGTCATTCAGAATCACTCAAAGAAAAATATTTACTTTTTATAAGCTACCATGGCCTTCAAAAGCATTTTATTTACTTATAAAATTAGCTTTGCTTGAACCCTTGAACAATAGATAAGCTAGAGTTGTATTTATTTTTTAACCAATAGAAGATAAGGGAACTTTTCTGAAAATTTGCCTTGGAATTTGAGGCTCAGGATCTAATCATATGTTGCTAGGCTACTGTTTATTTTGTAGGTATTTTGCTTTTCTGAGAATATCGAGGGAAGCACTATTAGTTTCGGTTGAGAAATGCCATCCTAGAATTTTTGTAAGAGGTATTAATGTACCTATAAACTACTAATTTACTTTTAGAATCTGTTCTCTCAGAATTATAGCCAAATACTTTACGTATCTAAAAAAAAAATAAGCTTTGTGACAAGTCCAAATTGCCTATGGAGTTTAATTGTAATAATTTCATTTGCTTCATCTAAAGTATGTTTTCCTTCTTAACTCTTGGAAATGGGTAACTTAACAGAGTCTGAGAAATTTTAGAATCTTATATGTGGTAGAAACAAAAATAATTATGAGTTAATAGTTTTTATTCCATGGACCCAATTGAAATTAACTCCTAGAGTTCAGATTTTGAAGTAGAATGGCCCAGTTTGAAAATTTTCTCCCATTTCACTTGTTTCACTGTTTGTTTTTAACTTTTGCCAGGAGCTGATCCAACACATGTTCCATGTTGCTTCTGATAGTTGTCAAATCAATATTCATCTGGGGTTTCTTCAAAGATAGGGCCCAAGCAAGTTTTACTTTTTGCAGGTGTGTCAATTAGGAATTTGATTTAGTTTCTAATGAAAAAAAAAAAGAAAAGAAAAAAAACTTGAAGAACACTCGCTCAAACAGATTAGGGTTTTATTTTTATTATATTAATAAAAGTTCAGAGGGAGGAAGTCCTGGACTGATACTGCAGCACAAAAATTCCACTGGGAATCTAGACTCCTTGTGTCTTTTTGTTCTGCCATCCTCAGCTTGTGGATATCATTTTACTATATAGTCTACAGATTATAAAATGACTCCTGAAGTTGTAGGCAAACAGGCACAAAGGTTCTTGTCAGAATCATGGCTATTGCACTCTGGCATGTACCACTTAAAACATTGTATATGGCTTACACTGTAATTTGTCTGTAGATTGAATTACCCTTTGATGAGCAATGCTGTGCCTAAAAAGTATAACGTACAGAATAGTTTCCATACCAGGAAAATATTAGTTTATGACCTAGAAGTTTAGCATTTTTAAATCGTTTTCTAAAATTTTATCTCAGTATATTTCTGCTTTTCTCCTAGGTTCTTATTAAACCCAAACCAGTGACTTTTCAAGCGACAGTTGTTAGTGAACAAACAAGACAGCTAGTAACAGAAACATTACAGCAAGCATCCAGGGTAGCAGAGGCTGGTAATTCATCTATTCAGGAAGGAAAAGAAGAACCACAGAATTATACAGATAGTAGTTCCTCTTCTACAGAGTCCTCCCAGAGTTCCCAAGGTAAGATCTATTTTACTTCTGATTTATATAAGTACTACTGACATAGTGCCCAAATTCTAAAATAGAGGTTGCTTCTACACATTTCACAACAAATTTGTATGCTCTATCAATTCTTTTCCTTTTTTTTTTTTTTTTTTATTGTTTGATGTTAAATCGGTGAGCTGAAATTTTATTTTTGGTAAAGGTTACCATTCTTTCCTGCATGGAATATGTTCATCAAATAATTAACTTTAGATGATGAATCTGTCAGGTAGGTAATATTAAACTGGATAGAGTTATGATTCCCAGATGGTAATTTTCATATTCTTCCTCTCTGGTTTGGGTAAGTAGGAGAAAACGTATGTAAAGAAGTGAATATATATTTTGAAATGGTTATTGCTATACCCTGAGAAAGAATCAAGGTGGTCAGAGGTAGACTGTAAGTGGGCTGTAAGTAGGGTGACTATACATTCCAATTTGCATGGGACAAGTCCTAGTTTATGTTGTTCTGGCACAATTATTAAAGTACTCCCTTTCACTCTGAAAAGTATCCCAGATAATCATATGGTTGTCCTAATTATATGGAAGGAACGATGAAGCTAGATTCTACAGCAGAAAACTCTTTGTCCTCGGTGCTGTTTGAATTATGTTACTCTTCTACGAAACCTCTTGAAATAAACTCATGATCATAAACTTTGAGACCTTCTACAAATCTAGTACTCATGTCTCTCAGTTATCTTAACTGCCCTTATCCTTGGGTGGTACATTTATGTCTGTGCTTATGTGCTCTGATGCATCTAAGCAAAGCTGTTTATCTTCCCTTGTTCTTTCCACACTCTCTCCATTCCCTCTCTCTGCCTTCCCATTATCCTCTCTGGGGTGCTTTCTTAGCAACTTCACTTTTCTTATACACAGTCTCCATATTGTGCAAACACTAGTATTTTAACTCTTTGGTGGAGTCTTCCTTGATTAGTCTTACATGGTTCACATTGCTGATTAGTCCATTAATTCAATTTGACAATTATTTATTAGTTTATACTACATACTAAGCATTATGCTAGACCCTACAGAAGAGTACAATATAGTTCTTGCCCTCCAGGAGCATAAAATCTAGATCTAGAATAGGGGATTTAAAAAATACACATGCAACTCTAGTATAAGAATTTTATTAGTAGCAAACAAAAAAAATGCCAAAGACTGAAAGTTGACATGCCAGTGAGGAGAGGATAAGAAAGCATTCAAAATATTCTTTGAAAATTCATCAATTAAAAATAAATGAAAATGTTGATTTTTAACAAACATAATATGTCCCTCATTATAGAGAGTGGGTAGTTTCCTTCAGCATATTATCAGTGATAGTAATATTTTCTGAATCCGTTTGCTAAGATGGACTTTATCATTCTGTATTGATTATGAGTCAATTATCTGCTGATTACACTTGGTTGATGCTTATTCTCCAATCATTTCTTTTGGTCTGCAGTTTCTTGAGCAATACTGGCCTTTTTTGCACTCGAGATATACAAAATATATTTTCAAAGAGGGCAGATAAAATGTTTAGTATGAGTTGGTGCAAAAAGGGGACATGAACAGTAGAAGTCTGTATATACATAATCCTAGGTTATCCTTTGAAATTGTTAGTCCTTTCCTAAGAGAGCTGTAAACCAATTAGTACTTCCCAAACATGCCATTTCATTAGTTGAATCTTTAGGGTTTTTTTTTTTTTTTTTTTTGGAGATAGAGTTTCACTCTTGTTGCCCAGACTAGAGTGCAGTGGCGTGATCTCGGCTCACTGCAACCTCCGTCTCCTGGGTTCAAGCGATTCTCCTGCCTCAGCCTCCCGAGTAGCTGGTATTACAAGCACGCACCACCATGCCCAGCTGATTTTTTGTATTTTTAGTAGCGACGGGGTTTCATCATGTTGGCCAGGCTGGTCTTGAACTCCTGACTTCAAGTAATCCACCCGCCTCGGCCTCCCAAAGTGCTGGGATTATAGGCGTGAGCCACTGCGTCCAGCTGAATCTTCAGTTTTTATTCTAAGAATGGGACATAAGTTTGCATCTTCTGTTTTTATTCTATTAGGTTGGTGCAAAAGCAGTTGCCATTACTTTTAATGGCAAAACTGCAATTACTTTTGCACCAACCTAATACATCTTTCATTGTATATTACTTTTTAAAATATTCTATAACAGAAAATTTCACAATTTAGAATAGGCATAGTTGACTGTAAGGCAGATTTTTATAATCTGCCCCTCCCCTTATCGCCTTGTATAGCTGTTTACTACATTCTTACAAAGACTAGGTCTGGGAATATATATGCTGTGATTTAAAGAGAAAGGGATTAAGATGTTGGTTGGTCTCAGGTCATGCTGATTTTCAAAGTATATGAGAATATTCCTACTTATTAAGAATGTAAGTACTACATAGTTTATTTTTCTGTTACATTGTTGCTTTTGTAGTTTTTAGCCACTTTTTTCTTTTTAAAGTAACCTTTTGATATAATTTCAAAATTACAGAACAGTTGCAAGAATAGTAAAAAGAACTCCTGTGTATACTCTTTACCTAGATTCACTACTTATTTACATTTTGCCCTATTTGCTTTGTTGTTGATTCTCTGCCCCCCTTCTGCTGTGTGTGTGTATATTCTTAAAATTTCTTAACCATGTGAGAGTAAGTTGAGCTAACATGTTTCTTATATTTACTTACATTTGTAGGCCTATATTTCTTAAGGATTCTTCTCTTTATGACTAAGATACAGTTATCAAAGTCAAGAAATTTAATGTTATAATAATTATCTAATTTACAATCCATATTCAAATATTGTTAATTAGCTAATAATGTTCTTTATGGTTTTCACCTGTCCTCAATAAAATTCAGGTCGACACATTGCATTTAGCTGCATTTAACTGTTGTGGTTTTTTAATTCTCTTTAACCTGGAATAGGTCCTCAGCCTTTCTTTGTATTTCATGACTTTGATATTTGAAGAGTGTAGGTCAGTTACTTTGTAGAATATTCTTCAGTTTGGTTTTGTCTGATGTTTCCTCATGATTAGATTCATCAGGAATTCCACAGATAGGATATTATATCCTCAGTTTTATCAGGAGAAACATGATGTCAGTTTGTCCCAGCATAGATGATGTTAACATTGATCACTTGGTTAAGATGATGTCTTCTAGTTTTCTCCACTATGAAGTTAACATGTTTCCCTTTCAGATTAATTGTAATTTGTAGGAAGGTACATGATATAAATATCATGTTCCTCATCAAACACTTATCCAGTAGTTTTAGCATCCATAGATGATTTTCCGAAGTTCATTATTCTTTGCACATTTAATAGTTGGCATTCCACTATAAGGAAAAATCAATCTTTTCTTAACTTCAGGTCCTTTTTCTGGTGACTTCTGCTACACAAGTCCTGGAATAAGGACTACGTATGCCAAGAGAATGCCTTGATTCCACTTGTGGTTTCTGAACTTCACCTACTGTCCTCCACCCCCAAGGAAGAGAAATTTTTATTTCTCAACTGTCTCCATATAGGCTAGAATATCATCACCCTATTTTGAGACTTTCCTTGATCACCCTGAGAGGATTCATTCTTCTATGTTAGGCTTCCAATATTGCTTTGTACATCAGCTCTTTTAACACTGACAATTTTATTTTGTATGTTGTGTTTGTTTGTGTGTTATAATTGTTTTCTTTTCCACTAGGCTACTAGCTTCTCAAGCTTAAAGATCATATTCATCTTCATACATATCTGGCATTTATCCAAAGAGTTCAGTTAGGACTGAGAAGGTACTCAGTAAAAGTTTCACCGAATGAACAAATAGCAGAGCAGCAACCATAATAACTGTGGCATTGGGTTAAGCTGCAGCCTTATAAACTCATTTTTGTTGCCTGAGTCCAAAATGTTTTTTTTTTTTTTTTCTGGAGTTCCCCCTAACCTTGTGAGTGGGCCTTTTAAGTAGTAAGTAGTATACACCTAGATATGGATAGATAGCTAGGTGACCAAACCTAATGGATTAAGGCCATCCTCGCCTAGGTCACTTACTAAAGATCAGGTCATATGTCATATCGTTCCTGTGCTTTTCTTCCTAAATGGGCTTTTTCCCCTTTCTCATTTGGGAATGGGGTAGCCTAGAACGTATTTGGGAATGGGTTCCAGATTTTTTTTAAACACATATTAAAGATTATTTATATTATGCTTTGTTTCCAAAAGGTTTTAAGGTGGATTAAAATATAAGATTATATTAAGTGAAGTGGAAGAAAACAAGGAGACAAACCCAAGGGCAGAGATTTATAATGGAATAAGGCATGAGTCAAATACAAAAATGTATCTTGTAAAGACATTGCTTTGAGTAAGTCATAACTCAGTTTCTAGAATGATTTCTTTCTGAAGTTTCATGATCTCAGTACGTCAAGGTGAGGGTGGGGAATAAATCCAGGTTGAGCAGAAACATACTTATTGCAGAACTTTTCAGAGCAATTATGTGCTAATATGTATATGAAAGATTAAGAGTGGAAGATACAATATAAAATGTTCCCCAACTTTTTTGACCATGGAACCCTTTTTTTGCAGAACATCTTGAGGAACAAATGTTCTCTGGAACATTTTGGGCCTTGCTGTCTAGGCAATTAAATACTGTGAAGTCCTTGAGCTTTATGACAGTGCTTCAGAGGGAAGGTATATATTACATCGTAAAAGGGATATAGATATCTTAGGTTTAGTTTAGAAGCAATGATTTAGATGTGTAAGGTGTTTAGAATCACTTTGTATGAGCAATAGTTGGTGGAGACAGGATTTATCATGAAGAAGAGAAGATGGGGGTGGGTTGGGTTGGTGGGGACATAGGAGCTTTTGTCAGTTATCTTCAGGACTGTGATGTGGATTAAGGAAAAGAATTGGTCTTTGTGGATACAGGAACAGACCTAGAAGCGCTAAGTAGAAGTCACAAGACCTGTTTCTACTCAATATGAAAAAACTTTCTGATTGTTATAACTGTGCAGAGTTGTAAGGAAACTGTCTTAGAAAGTAGTGAGTACTTTGGTGCTGGAGTTCTCAGACCCATGGGAATATTGTGAAGATTATAGTATAAGATTGATGGCAGCATTAAACAAACTTTAAGATCCCTTCTAACGGAAAAGTCTTAAGATTCTATGAAAGTATGATCTAGGCCATTTATAATAGAGACATAGGAGATATTCTTCCATAGAGATGTCTGAGTCTGCCTTTGAGTATACTGTTAAAGTGTATATCTCTAGTATCTAACGTGTAGTAGGTATCCAACAAACACTTGTTCAGTGCAGAAAGACATCTGAGGGACAGGCTGCCATCTGCAAGAGATGCAGGAAGTCTAGATGAACGCACACTGCATAAGCACATGTTACTGGTGCAAGCTCCTGATTTCCTAGTCATTGCGTTCCATGACTTGATAGACAGTAGCTTCATTTAGGTCTAAGCATAAGCCAAAAGTAGGAGAGAGAATCATTTAAAGATGGGTTTTCACATAGGTTCACACACTCATCTTGTGTCACAGGGTTGCTACAGTGATACTTATGATGGTCAGCTGCTCTTTCTGAGTATAGACAGAAAGAGATGTAGCAATCTCTCTAGTACCTACGAGGTGATGTTGTTTGGGATAATGGTCTTTGGTAGATGCTCTCCTATGGAAATTTGTTTTCCCTTTTTCCTATCTCTTTCTACCTTATCTCTATAAACACAATCCCTGCCTTTTGTGGATATTCAGTGTGTCTTGTAGGGTTGGGTTGCAAAGTCATTCTTTGCCTATATCATTATGAAAATTTCTTAAGTTTGAGAGCTTAAGTTATATAAAAGGAATGGTTTCATAATATAATCAATTCTCTTAAGTTTAAATTCTACATATCTACTTAAAATGAATAAAAGCTGCTCTGTGCTTCACATGGCATTTGGTATTGCAGGATAGCATCCAGTCTTCTGTATTTCTGGGGAAGTTTAATGGAAAATTATATATCTTCATGTGGCATATATTCTACCTGGTGTTTTGGGGAGGAAAATATAGTTTGTTCATGGTAATTAAAAATTCTAGGTCTATTGTGTATTGATTTTGTTTTTTTCAGGAAGGCTGTTTTGTTGGAAGAGTTGTTCCCCTTGCCCCAACATTTTTCAACAACTTTGTGGCTTTAAAAAATATAAGGTTCATAGAGGGTTAAACGTTTATTATGTTTATTCTTGTTTTGGGGGCTACTTGAATTCTTTTCATTCTTCTGTGATGCTTTCACTGACCATCCCAATTCAAAGCAGCCTCTTACTTTCTGTTTGTCTTGTTTGCCCTAATCATTTGATATTTGCCCTAAGCTACAAAGCCATATATCTTTATTTGATGTTTCCCCCATTATAATCTGAATATAGAGGAAGGAATCATGCCTTTATGTCCTCCACAATTTCCTCTATGGTGTCTTGGACAAAGGAGTTTAGGAAGTTTGTAATAGTCTAGTCCAACTTGCTTATTTTATAGGTGGAAAACTAAAAGAATAACTTGTTGCTTGATTTGATGCACATTTAGTATTTATATGTGTACCTGTATAGCATGAATATAATAAGCCTTGGATTAGGGCTGTAATTTATTTTGAAACTAACAAAGGGTCTTAGAATTCAGAACTTCCAAGCTACAATAGCAACAATAATAACATTTCTATTGGCCTTCATAGTTTATAAAGCTCATTTCCATGTATCATTTCATTGCATACTCAGAAATTCTATGAGGAAGAGAGATAATTTTATTCCCATTTTAGAGGTAGTGAAACTAAGACCCAAAGAATCAACTTGCTAATAATTGATGTAGTTGGGGCTATAATCCAAGACTTTGAGCTCCAGATGTTACACTTGTCCTGTTATATCATGCTGGTTCTAGATCATCTGTCTTTTCTTGCTGGCAGTGAACAGGATTTCCTTCAGTAATTCAGCCATCCAATAAGTGTTGACAGAATGCTCAGGCTGTAATACAACACATATTTTCAGGTGCATTGGAGAAAATAAGACTCCTACAGCATTTTGTTCTTACTATACACAAACATGCACTCACCTACACATATGCGTATCTATTTATAATAGCAATTATCACATTGAGTTGTGATTTGTCTTTTTACATGTCCGTCTCCCCAGCCAGACTATGTGCTTCTTGAGCATCCTCTGATTATTCTGTGAGCTCCTTTATATCTTCAATGCCATATCTAGATTCTGGCACATAAGTGTCCAGTTTGTTGTGAAATCAATGAATGAGTGAATGAATAAGTGAATTCAGAAGTGAAAGACATTATGCCTTCTAGGGGCTTATAGTCTTCTTGGGGAGATAAAGCATGAAGTTTACAATAAATAGAAAGATAAGCAAACAGACAAAAAAATTGTTTGTTTTTTTTTTTTTAAGAGAAACTTTGTTTATAGGGTTTGTTTTTTTTTAACTAATATAAAACAGATTCCCAGCCTGTAGTTCATGTAATTGCTTCCCGGCGTCAGGATTGGTCAGAACATGAGATTGCAATGGAGACTAGCCCTACCATAATTTATCAGGATGTATCCAGTGAATCACAATCAGCTACTTCAACAATCAAAGCTCTGTTAGAACTCCAACAGACAACAGGTATGAATTCACATGCTCAATTGAATGAAGCATGTTTTCTCTAGAGACGGGTTGTGCTAAAATACTACCACTGTTATTATTTATTATTACTATTATTTATTATTATTATTGCTATTATTTGAGCACATTTCCCCCCTCTGGACTTGTCTATAATCATTGGTACAGTCTGGTTTACTTGTTAGTTCAGTAAGATGTGCACAGGAATATTGAAGTACAGATGGACTATCTGTAGAAAAGAGAAAAAAAATTGACAGCTCTGTCTTGTCTCTTGCTTAAAATGGACAGTCCTATTGTTCCTTAGCACTAGAAAGGAGTAGTTCTATCACTTCTAAGCACAAGGCTAGATACAGTACAGTTGCCAGTTGCATTGAAGAATAGCAGGAGGCAGATTGAAGGGCCTTGCCATCCTCCTTGATATTGGTGGAGCACAAAACACCTTTAGTGGCCCTTGCTAACATTCTGATTTGTTTTAATTTTATCTTCAGACTTATTTCTTTGAATAGTATAGGTTAGCCACTTGAGCTGTCATGCAAAGTTGTCCTCATATAACTAGATCCTATAAGTATTTCTAATTACTAAATATCTTTGATAAACTCTAGAACAAACCTGTGGAAGTTATACTGACTTTTCCTTTATAATAGGTCAAAGATTTTCAGAGTATTTAAATGACCTTAGCAATTATGTCATCCAAACCTTTCATTTTATGGATAAGTAAACTGAGATCTAGAGAGGTTATCCAGTTGATTAGTGGCAGAGTGAGACTCATCTTTTGGTTCCTAGTTCAATGTCCTCTCTACTTGTAGGGTGACTTTTGTATTTTTGTTGTTGTTGTTGTTTTACTTATTTTGTTTAATTGTTTTGATTTTTGTCAGGTTATGTACTCAGTGGGTATGAACATTCAGTGGACTTAGTTACTGGTTACCGTTTATTGTAACTTCCACCTTGTTTGATCCAAAGATTACTAGCATTTAATGTAAGTCTTTGGTTAATCCTTCTGTCGGTGTTATTTTTGACCTTAGGGATTTCTTCGGTTCTTTGTCGTTGACATGCTGAGCCATTTCTCTTAATGCCTTATAGAGGTGGGGACTTTGAACGCATAGATTTTGTAGAAAAGTTGATAACAAGGTAGAAAGTGAATCTATTAATGGAAATCATTCTTGATTCCAGACTGTTATATCAGACATTTTTCTAGAAACAAAGAAGCCATTTTTTTCTAACAATGAAAATTTTTATTCTTTAAAAGTTGTTGAAGACATTGTAACATTCCTTTGGAGATATCTTGAATTTTTAATAGCTCAAATTAAACTGGTCACTGTGTTGTGCTATTCTGGGTAGATGTGTCCTAGAGCAAATCATGTTATGTACTGCTTATTCACCCTTTGTTTTTAGGTTGATGAACTCAAGACCACAGGGAATACCTTGAAGAAGGGTATAGGAAATACCTTAAGGAGAGTGTACAAGATAAAAATTCAGTTGTTTGGCTTAGAGATAAAAAGGAGATGATTTTTGTGTTATTGTATGTAAGTCCTTCTTACTAGGCTGCTGAGTATGGTTATGCAAGTTGTGCACTAAACAGCCATACATAGCAATCTGCTTTTTTCTTTTCAATTCACTGTCTACTTAGTCACTGCCAGTGTGGCACCCCAGAGGTCTGGTTCATTATTCCTGTGGACAACTCTGGTTTTGGTACTTGTTTGTAATAAAAGTTAACTTTTCCCCTGACTTTTTTATGCAGTAAAGGAAAAATTGGAATCTAAACCAAGACAACCCACTATTGACCTGAGTCAAATGGCAGTGCCTATTCAGATGACCCAGGAAAAGAGACATTCTCCTGAGAGTCCATCAATTGCTGTGGTAGAGTCAGAACTAGTAGCTGAATACATCACTACTGGTAGGTGTCCTCTTAAAATGTAGTATTAAGGTAGGAGAACTACCTTCCTGGATTTCATGGGATGATTGTGTGGGGGAGAATATATTCTTTATATTTTTAGCTTTTTCCTCTTTGTTTTCAGAGCAAATTCACACCATCCTTGGGATTTACCCTGTCTTTAATGACTAGGAAAAAAAATAGGATGTTATGAAGTTTGTAGGTAATATAAAACTACAAGTCAGCCATAAATAACAACTGTGAATATACAGCAACAGTTGTAGGGAGAGGATAAAATATCTTTTGTCTAAGAATGAGTTTTGTTTGTTTTTTGTTTGTTTGTTTGTTTTGAGACAGGGTCTCACGCCCATCGCTCAGGCTGGAGTGCAGTGGCGCGATCATGATTCACTGCAGCCTCAACTTCCTGGGCTCAGGTGATCCTCCTGCCTCAGCCTCCTGAGTAGCTGGGACTACAGGTGTGTGCCACTATGCCTGGTTAATTTTTTGTATTTTTAGTAGAGATGGGATTTCGCCATGTTGCCCGGGCTTGTCTTGAATTCCTGGGCTCAAGAGATCCGTCCACCTTGGCCTCCCAAAGTGCTGGAATTACAGGCATGAGCCACTGAGCCTGGCCTAGAATAAGTATTTTTATGCATCTAGAGTTTTTAGTTTTGTGGGAAGGTGGGTCAAGGGGGAAAGAAGAAATAAAATCCGGTCCTTTTAATATTTTTCAAAAAGTAGAAAACCTTAGCCAGATGCAGTGGCTCACGCCTGTAATCCCAGCATTTTGGGAGGCCGAGGCGGGCAGATTGCTTGAGGTCAGGAGTTTGAGACCAGCCTGGCCAACATAGCGAAACCCCATCTTTACTAAAACTACAAAAATTAGCCAGGTGTGGTGGCACTTGCCTGTAGTCCCAGCTACTCGGGAGGCTGAGTCACGAGAATCCCTTGAATCCGGAAGGCAGAGGTTGCAGTGAGCTGAGACTATGCCACTGCACTCCAGCCTGGGTGTCAGAGGGAGACTCTGTCTCAAAATAAAAACAAAAACAAGCCAAAAAACCCTTAAATCCATTTAAATACTTACAAGTTCTGGTGGAAAGCAGATTAGCTATTTGTTTAAAATGTGGTCTGGCAGCAAAACACTGAGATTTTTAGATGGCATATATAGAGAAATAAAACAAGATAGATTGTTTCTCTCCTATTCTGATTAGATGACACCTGGAATACTGCTTTCTCTTTTGAACACTTTATTACTTTGAAATTTGAAATAGTTCAGAGAGCAGTAATGTGAATAATTAAAGGGTTTAAGAGAGATGACTTATGAGGCAATATGTAGAGGACTCCTTTCTTAAGTTTTCTTTAGCAGTGGTTAAAGGAGAACATAAACTTACAGATATTTGAAGGACATAAATACCAAAAAGAAAAGGAATTCTTTGGCATCATTTTAGGAGATAATATTATTAAGACTAATGGGTTAAAATTGCCAAAGGGGAAAATCCAGGTAAGATATGGAAAGCCATCTAGAATCTTTCTTTAGAGATATTTAGCAGAAAGCTAATTCAAGCAGAGGCCAGTATTCTGGGGAACATAAATAACCTCTGGGGGTAGACTAGATTCTTGCATGGTGAACAGATGAAAAGACTATGATTTCTTCCCTTACTTATCCTTTCAGAACGCACTGATGAGGGGACAGAGGTTGCTTTTCCCCTTCTAGGTAAGTGGTGTGCATCCATTTGTAGTATCACTGAAGGTAAAAGATGATTGTTTTGGGGGGAACCGCTTAAATGGATGCGCTCTACTCTCATCTGGTAGAGGAAAGGTAAGCTCCACTTAGTGAAAGGAAGAGAGATTTTTCTTTTGTAGAATAGTGGAATTCTTTCTCAGAAATGAGCATTTTGACAGTGGAAAAAAGAGTTCTTTAAAATAATAAAAATTACTGCTTTATGGTGTTTATATGGCCCAGTTAAGGTCACTTCAGCTATTTTCCAAGGGTTTATTCTGTGACCTTCCTCCACAATCTCCACCCATGATATCCACAGCCATATTGAGCATTTTCTTTGACTTAAAAGCCAGCTGCTTGGCCTGCCCTTTGTATCATTCTGCAGTGGGTACTAGTTCTCTCTAATTTTCCTGAACTCTGGAGAATTACCGTGAAGTAATTATAGTTGAAGGAGAATTATTTTTAAATAGACTTAGTTGATCTTTTTAAAATCCATTTCACTTCTTAATAAAAAAATGCTTAATGTAATAATTATGAAGATTAATATGGGTGGTAGAAGTGTTCCATATAATTTGATAATTTCATCTGAAATGTATTTTTTATTTTCACATGTCATTCATTTCTGATGCTTTCATTTAAAAAATATTAATTTGCTTAATTTTAATATTATTATAATTTGTTTTTTCTACTCAGTCATATTGTAAATTACTTCAGTCATTGTTGTTTTAGTGTAAACCTTGACTATCTTTTTTTCGATTATGTTGAGCACATATGGAAGATTTTATTAACTCACGTAATTTAACATGTGCATACAAAGCATACTGTGAAATATTGTAAGATACTACAGAACATTTATAAAAGAATACTGGTGATGCTGCCTATAATCTCAAATCACATGTAGATATATGTATAGCAACAATAGAAACACTGCATTTGTGAATATAGATAGAATGTGTCATAAAAAATAAAGCCTATTTATATTTCACTGGATAGTTTTAAAGCTAGTCCTTATAATACATAAATGGCATTTTTACATTGATTTCCATAGTGATCATCTTACTCTTGAACACCCCACTATGACTTTTCTAAACAGGAAGTCAGTGCTATTTGAAATTATAGATCAGGGTATATGAACATTAGAATCATGGGTTATTGAGAAAGTTTCAATAATCCCAAAAGCCTTAGCTAATTTACAGATATATTGTATTTTTATCTGTTTCTAATTCAAAGGGTTAGTTTCCCAGTAATCATATGCATTTTTAAAGCTCTGTGGACTGTGTAAAAAGTTGAAGTTGAGGCCAAGTGTGGTGGCTCATGCCTGTAATCCCAGCACTTTGGGAGGCCGAGGTGGGTGGATCACTTGAGGTCAGGATTTCAAGACCAGCTTGGCCATCATGGCAAAACCCTGACTCTACTAAAAAATGCAAAAATTAGCCTGGCGTGGTGGTGCACACATGTAATCCCAGCTATTCAGGAGGCTGAGGCATGAGAGTAACTTGAACCTGGGAGTCGGAAGTTGCAGTGAACAGAGATTGTGCCATTGCACTCCAGCCTGGGTAACAGAGCAAGACTGAGTCTCCAAAATAAATAAACAAATGAATAAAAAGTTGAAGCTGGTAAAATTTGATAGATTGGTTACTTCATGGGACCTTTGTAGCAATAGAATAAGAAGCAGGGATGTTTCCTATACTGCAATCTTACCCATTTGTGCCAGGTGAGCTAAATTTGAGATGATAGAACAGATTTTTCTATTATTTTGTTAACTCTTTATATTTGTTTAGTACTTTATAGTTTAAGGACAATTTTTCAGTCTGTTACTTCATTTGGTCCTCTTCTAGGTAGAAACAGCAAGCCTTTATTATCCCATTAAAATAAAATCAATCAAACAAAACAAAACCTCTTAAGTTTTAGAGGCTAATAGAGGATGAGTGACCTCTTCAAATTCACTTGGCTGTTTGATGGTAGAACAGGACAGGATCCAAGCGTGATTCTTGATTCAGTTTATTTTCTGCATTATCACCCAGACCTTTAGATTTTTAGGAACTGTAAGGTTGTGAGACAGAATCACTTAATACAAAGGAGTGAATGCTACTAATGTTTTTATTGCATGTCGAACTGAGACCAAGAGATTAAAGAATGTGTATTGCCTTACTTTCCTTAAAGATATTATTTTGGGATTACAGAAATTGATTACTGCTTTGTTACCTTAATGGGATGAAAGTCATTGGAGAAAGTGAGTACAGCTCATGGGAGGATGCAACTTTAAGGGGTTTGTTCCTCCTTTGTGATAAGAGTTTTCACAGTGCTTCCGTATACATTTCTCATCTCATCCTTATAATAGCTCTGTTATTCCCATTTTGCAGATGAGGAAACAGTCTCAGAGAAGATAAGAGACTTTCTTAGAGTCACACAGCTCATAGATGGGCAGACTGTGGTCTTCTGCCTCCTAGTTCACAATACTACACTTTCTTTCTGTGATACAAGCTCACAGACATTTGTTTAAAATGACTACTGGTTACAGATGCTGTGGTGATTTCTGGAGAAATATCATCACCTCCTCTATTTTCAGTCAGCCATCGCTCCCAGCCCCAACAGCCTTCCCAGCCCCAGCGGACCCTGCTCCAGCATGTGGCTCAGTCACAGACCGCAACACAGACTTCGGTGGTGGTGAAGTCCATCCCAGCATCTTCCCCTGGAGCAATCACCCACATTATGCAGCAGGTTGTATCTCTTCTTTTTCTTCCTATCTTCTGCAACTGCCCATGCTTGAAATAAGATTCAGTGTCATCTTGTATTTTAAGAGGAGAAATAATTGGAACGTAGAGTGTTTGTGTAATTCTTTTCTAAGAAATGAGTAGAGGAAATGAATTAAGAGTCTTAACACCAGAAAATAATTCTGAAACAGTATTCTTAAATCTGTGAACTCTTACCATTTCAAAAGGGTGAGAATGTCTAGATGAATCTAATGACATCAGAATTGGTCACTGTTTTTGTGTATTTTACTGTGGAAGAATGTATCATTGAGGTAAATAAGATTTTCAAATGAAATAACATTTGGCTTGTTTAGCTGTTTGCTGCTGGGTTTGTAGTTTGTTTTTCGTTTTTTGTTTTTTTTTTTTTTTGCTTTTATAATGAATCCTCATAGTAACATTATGACTAAGGAGGAAAATAAATATTTGATTTTTTTAACTATACATGGTCAATTACAGAGGAAGAGATGCAACAGAAAGTTGAGAATATAAATCTAATGTAAAACAGGACATCTGGTATTAAGGGTAATGGGGAAAAGGAAAAATATGTTAATAGGTTGATTTTGTGTCGGATACTGTGCTTTGAGCTTTAAGTAAATTGTTTGATTCATACTATGATCTTGCAAGGTGGGTGTGTTATCCCTCTTTTACAAGTGAGGAAACTTTTATGCTCACTTCAGTAAGAAAGTAAGAAACTTGCTCCAGGTGGCAGAGCCAGGATTTAAACCCAAAGTGAACTGCCTCTGTTAAATAGTTATATCATGGATATCAGATTAAAGCATGACTTATCATTAGTAGTCACATAAGTCACCATCACTCACATGATGATGAATCTAACTGTAGGCAAACTACTGGAAAGAAAGGCAACGGAGAATGTTGAATTGAAAGCCTGTATGTGCAAAGTCATTATGGTATAGGGAAGAGTCACAATTGAATCTCAAAATTTTATAGTTTAGGATTTAAGTGTAGCATATGATAAGGCAGTAGGGAGGATGGGGATAGGGTGGATCTTGCTGTGTCATTGAGGGAAGCCAACTGGCTGGAGGTTTTGTTGGGCGGCAGGTCTCAGCCTGGAGTCCGGCCCTCAGCTGGCAGCTCCTGACATTGACCTTTCTCCGGACACCTAGAAAGGTCTGACAGGCTGGCCCTAACCGTGTCACTCAAGATGATGCCTCCTCACAACACTTATCACTGACACTGGGCACTTTGCCTTTCTACTGACAGGAATGCTGTTGTCCCCTCCTCAGTCTCCTTCCGTCCTGGGAGCCAGGGCTCTGGGATCTGAGCAAAGGGGCGAGGAATGCTAGTCGAGAGGTGCTTCATGCAGACCTTGGTGAAGCCTGAAGAATGATCTTCATCCATGCAGGGGGCTCTCTGTGGGGACTGGTACAGGCACAGGTCTCAGACAATCTCCCTGACCTTCCAGATAGCACTGGACCTACACATAGCCATGGTGGGCTTCTCTGAACCTTGGCTTTTCTCGGGACCTCATGGCTTGGTTACCGCTTTTAGAGAGGTTAACATCATGAATAGGCCAGACGGCTGTTTCCTGAGCCAGGGAGCCTTTCTCTTCTTTTTCCGTGTTTGGTTGTGCTTGCAGGGCCATCTTATTCTTCTAATCTGTAAGTTCTGGACCCTCTAAGACTTTTCTTATAGTAGTAAGTAGACCAGTTTTCGAAGCACTTACGTCTGAGAGTTGAAATTGCAAGTTGCAGTAGAAAGCTCCTTGAGGTTTCTTGGCCTTTCTAGGTTCTTCTGAAAATTTTTGAGTGAATCTCGTAAGTCTTTTTCAGTTAAGAGGAAAATGTAGCAATGTAGATGTTTTTCTTATTTCATTCTTACTTTGTGCCTTTTTTACTTAGGCATTAAGCAGTCACACTGCTTTTACCAAACACAGCGAGGAACTTGGAACTGAGGAGGGCGAGGTTGAAGAGATGGACACTTTAGACCCTCAGACAGGTCTGTTTTACCGATCTGCCCTGACTCAGTCACAGTCAGCTAAACAGCAGAAACTTAGCCAGCCCCCGCTGGAACAGACTCAGCTGCAAGTGAAAACTCTGCAGTGCTTCCAGACTAAACAGAAGCAGACCATCCACCTGCAGGCAGACCAGCTCCAGCACAAACTCCCGCAAATGCCCCAGCTTTCCATCAGGCATCAAAAACTCACCCCTCTCCAGCAAGAACAAGCACAGCCCAAGCCAGATGTACAGCACACACAGCATCCCATGGTGGCCAAAGACAGGCAGCTTCCTACCTTAATGGCACAGCCCCCGCAAACTGTAGTACAGGTGCTTGCAGTGAAAACCACGCAGCAGCTCCCTAAACTGCAGCAGGCTCCGAACCAACCAAAAATCTACGTGCAACCCCAAACCCCCCAGAGCCAAATGTCGCTCCCAGCTTCTTCAGAGAAACAGACGGCAAGCCAGGTAACGGAATATTGATAGCATGCAAAGTTAAACTTCTCTGTTCACGGAAAAAAAAATGAGAACATCACGACCCTATCATGATATCAGTGCTTTCTCCTGGCAAGAGGAAACCCAAAAGCCTCATTACGCTGGTATTACTTTGCCCCATCAGAAGGTTGACATTAGGGAAGAAATGCACGCATTAATATGTAGGAAGAAAAAAAAGCATAGCACTCAAAACTTGATTTTTCAGGCAGTTTTTATTGAAATCACTTCAGCATTGACCAACAGTGCATAGAAGCGATATCCCTAAATTATTTTTATTTTTTGGTATAAAATATTTATTTCCATGCCTATAAACTCTGATTTCTGTGGTAATAATGCTAAGTAAACTACAGTCTTTTAAGGAACTTCATTGAACATCTTTCTTTGTAGTTTATATCATAGCCATCTAGTTAACTTTATTTTTTAGATTTATCTTCTAGATTACAGAGGAATTATTGGTGGATAATTGAAAGCAAAATTATATTAGCAAAACCAGTGGCTCTGGAGTGATGTATATGTATGTATATATTATAAATACATATATATAGGATATGTTTGTATACATGTATTATGAAGCAAAAGATTGGAAAAAATCTTCTTTTTATTTTAAAAAGCAGAAGATTATATGAAATAATTTGAGCCAGGTTGAAGGTGTACTGTTTAGGGCTGTAAACCCCAAAGGAAAACTAGGCTGCTGAGACTACTTTTTTCTTTATTGCTATAAACCTTGGCTGGCTGAACAAAGGTTCTTTCAACCCCTCCTCTTTCTCTAGGTTTTGTAAAAGTAACCAGATCCTTCCTATCCAGCCCTCTTTTTAAAACAGCAAGCTTCAAAACTGTCTTCCTAGTATAGCGCACGAATGTTTCTTTTGCCATATTGTCTGGGGTGTTTGATTAGATTTTCTCAAAGAGATGTAGCTATAACACACACAACCCCAATTTATTTTCAGGTGGAGCAGCCAATTATAACCCAAGGATCCTCTGTTACAAAGATAACTTTTGAGGGGCGCCAGCCTCCCACAGTTACAAAGATAACTGGTGGCAGTTCTGTGCCTAAGCTGACATCACCAGTTACAAGCATATCTCCCATTCAGGCCTCTGAGAAGACAGCAGTGTCTGACATTTTGAAAATGTCTTTGATGGAAGCTCAGATTGATACAAATGTAGAACATATGATAGTGGATCCCCCAAAGAAGGCTCTTGCCACTAGCATGCTCACTGGTGAAGCAGGATCATTACCCTCCACCCACATGGTGGTGGCAGGGATGGCGAATTCCACTCCCCAGCAACAGAAATGTAGAGAGTCCTGTTCGAGTCCATCCACTGTTGGCTCTTCCCTAACGACAAGGAAAATTGATCCACCAGCAGTGCCTGCGACAGGCCAGTTCATGCGTATTCAGAATGTAGGCCAAAAGAAAGCTGAAGAGAGTCCAGCAGAAATTATCATCCAGGTAAGAATTGGAAGGAAAATGAGAAATCTTGTGCATCTTGGGGGTTGTGGGTTTGTTTGATATGTTTTTGACTTGTCACAGGAAGAATCAAGCCAAGACAGCAGGAAGACATAGATATTATCTTTGAGATGGTGTTTGACAAATTTGGTTTAACACCTATTACAAAAATACAAATTTATTTATTTTCTGGAAGAGGATCAGAAAATTGATGGACATTGTCACCCAGCACACTGTAAAGGCAATAAAGAGCCCATGTGTCAGTTTGATTTTGTAAGATACAAGCTATACTTGCCAATGTGTTCACTCATTAAGTCAACCCAGAAGATAGGAAGTTTCTGGGTTCAAATTTTGTACTCCTCAATTTTTGCTCAAAAAATTCTGGAATGTAACTGGATTGCACTTCTATTTCAAGTTAATTTGGGGGACCCTTTTCTTGGAAAAACAGTTCTTGTTCTTGATCCAAATTTATGACTCAGGACAATCAAACCTCAACTGCAATGTCTGGAGAGACATGTTCTAAGGTGATATTTTAAAATAATGTTTATATTTAATTTGGGACTAACCATGAACTTTACTGTTTAATTCAATCATTGTTATTAAAAAATCTTGTTTGGTTTCTGTCATGCCTTGGTAAGTACAGGCTAATTAACACAATAGAATTATTCATTGATAATAGATGGTACCTCACATTCCCTTGATTCTAAAAATCATCTCTTGTCATGCATAATAGGTCAAGACTAAAGAATTACTGAGTCCAGGCTACCCCTTAGAAGTTGTATTTTATCTCCCTCTCTCCTTGCAAGGTATCAGGTTGTTTTCTTGACATTTGTCATTCTTTGCTAAACAGATATATAGCTTGGAAGGTATCAGAATAGCACATTTTAGTTAATTGAGAATTTGGATTTATTGAAATGTGAGTAGACTAGGATTTACCATCAATTCATTATGGTAAACTTTCTCTTTGCCATGATCCCAAACTATGGGAGAATGCAAATTGACAATGTTAAACCAATTAAGGTAGAATTAAATATAGAGGAAGTGCTTAAAGGCAAGTAGAAATGGCCATTGAATTATTAAAATAATTTGTTTCCCTTTGTAAAAACAAATGTAAATGAAGTAAATATTTCCTGACAAAAGGATTTGTGATTTTTTTGTATTTTCCCCTGAAGAGGTAAGGTGTGGTGGAAAAGGAATGGTTTTCTGGCTTTGCCATTCATTGTATGATTTTGGGCAAGGCTACTTAACGTCATTTTGCCTTGGATTTCTCATCAGTAAAATGGGAATCAGTAATGCCTACTTTACAGGATTGATACAAGGATTACACAAAATCAAGCACCTAGCACAGTACGTGGCTCATAGTTGTTGTCTAACAGATGGTAATTATTACTGTTTTTACCAAAATTATCATGCCTACTGGGGGCTTAGATTCCTATACTCACTAAATTAAAAATCATTTTGAACAGCTTATTTGGGAATTATTTTTCTGCACTTTATAAACAGGAGTGAAAATGTAATTTGCTTCATGTATCAAGGATGATAGTTAATGGATAGGTTCTTTACAGAATTCGCAGCCAGCTTTTAGCATGTCCCATGTGCTAGGTGTGCTATGTCAGAGGTAAGGACAGCAGAGTGATTAACAACCAAACTTTTGGAGTCAGAGATCCCTAGATGTGATTTCTACCTGTATCCACTATGTAACAGCACTGTGGGTTTGGGCAACTAAACTAACCTATATATCTCTTTTTCTTTACCTATGAAGTGGAAGCATTAACATCTACTTCAGAGGGTTGTTTTGAGGATTAAGTGAGAAAATGTATATAAAGCACCTAGTCAAGTGTCTGTGTAGAGCAATGCTCAATAAAGATAGCTCCTATTATTATACTCATCATTAATATATTGTTAGAGCATTTTCAGGTCTTATTAGTTATGTTTAGCTTTGATCTGAAGTATTGATTTGCTGAGTCTGTAAAGTGCTTTGATTCTAGAAGAATGCTCTATAAAAATTCAACATGTTTGATATTAAATGCTTTGAATGAAAAGCATTGCTCTTTGTGGACAGTCTGTATTTTATTCATTGGTTGATTCGTTCATTCATTCATTTATTCCACATGTATGTTTAACTACTGTGTTCCAGGCACAGTGCTAAGTGCTGAGAATAGGGAAGTAAACAAGATGTATCTTCTATTATAAAAGAGTCTATATATGTGGAATTCATAGACTTTTAGAACTGCAACGATCTTCACAGTGTATCCTCCAACTATCTTATTTTACACAAGATTAATGTGGGGCTCAAAGAAGTAGAGTGACTTACTCAGAGGCCCACAGCAAGCCAGAGACAAAGCTGAACTAAAATCCAGGCCTCTTGACCTTGTCTAATAGTCTTACACAATTATCAGGTATGTGGAAAAAAGAAGCAGAAACAAACAAACAGAACTTCGTGACTCCAGAACCAATGCGTAGGCATCTTGCATTATTTTCTTGACAGTGTAATTTATATTTTCCCCAGTAAAGGGTTATTTTGGTCAGGCATATTTGCAAAGTGCTGATATTCAACTTTGCTCTGGGGTTTTTAATGTTAAAAATGTGTATTTATTCATCAAGTGTTTATTGAGCCTCTTGCTGTGTTCCAGGCCTTGTTCAAAGCTCTGGGCATCTAGCAATGAGTAAGATAGTCAAGATCTGTGCTCTGTCCACGTTCTCTTGGAGCTTACATTTTAAGAGTAAGAAACAATTTAACAGATGATAAATGCAATGAACAAAAATGTAACAGAATGTAATAGAGATGGGGGTGGGATGAACCCACTACTTTTGGGTTGGTGGTCATGGAAGGAAAGCTTTTCCAAGCATTTGAACCAAGTTGCAGATGACAGGACAGAGCCAACCATGCCATGATTTGGAGGAAGAATATTCCAGGAAGAGAGGAAGGACTAGTACAAAAGCACTAATGTACAAGTGAGTTTGGCATGAGGCTGGTAGCCATGGTAGGGTGTTTGGTTGTATAGTGAGTACAATAGGAAACAATGTTGGGGTTTTAAACAAGAGTATGACATGAACTGATAAACCTTTTTAAAGGATGTCTAATAAAGAGGAAAAAGAATCTGACAAGGCAGTGTACCTATGATATTTACTTACACAGAGGTCTACAGCAAGTGTTCTTCTACTGGTACTCGTCTTGCAGATAATAAAGGGCAAAATTAGGCTACATTTACATTTACATTTGCTTAATAATAAATGAAAGCTTTATTCAAAGTTCTTCTCTTGAATTAGGCAATAGATTTGAGCCTCCTTTGTTAGAAGAGGCACCATAAAGGAGTGGAAAGATTGCTTTCAGTTGTACAAGATTTGGATTTGAATCTTGGCATTAACCCTGACCAACTGTGTGACTTTGGTTAAGTCATCTACCCTCTCAGTTTCCTCATTTGTAAATGGGAATAATAATTTTCTTATAGTGTTGTCACAGGGATTTAGCAGAATATGATGGGATTTAGTAGAATGTGATGTGTGAAAGCACCTTGCACAGTGCCTGGCATGTAGTAGTTGTCCAGTTGTCCAAAAAATGTCAGTTTTCTTTTTTTTTTTTTTCTTGATATTGTTGGGGAAGTTATTCTGCTACCTTTTCTTACCATAAAGATTCTCCTGTGTCTTCTCTTCCAGGCTATTCCTCAGTATGCTATTCCTTGTCACTCCAGCTCCAATGTGGTGGTGGAGCCCAGTGGGCTTCTTGAGCTAAACAACTTCACTAGTCAACAGCTGGATGATGAGGAGACAGCAATGGAGCAGGACATAGACAGTAGCACGGAGGATGGAACTGAACCCAGCCCTTCTCAGAGCTCTGCTGAACGGTCCTAGTGTTTGGACACAATAGTGCACTTTAAAACCTGCTTGGTTACCAAGTGTCCAGGGAAACCCTTGTATTTTGATGACTAAAAAGAGCACTTTGCCCGTACTTAGGCTGTGGACCCTAAAACAGCAGTGTTTCAACAAGATGTTGCTGCAGGAGCAGCTTTTTAAAACAAGATAAAACTCACAGGGGAATGTACTTTTTTAAAAAAAAATGAAAAAGAAAAAAAAAGCTGCACATTTACAGTGACTTAAGACCTGGTCTTCTTTCTCTGTTGGATCATGGCCGGTGAAACAGTTTTGTCTTGCAGTGGAAAGAGACTTCCTGTGAATGTTTCTCAACTGGTTTCTACTGAGCAAAATACCATCTAAAAGGAGAATGTGAATAGTTGTATTTTGAAATGATGTGTCAGGAAAAGTTTTTTAAAAACTTGTATGTTTTTGCAAATCCCTGGAAGTGTTGAATTGGTTAAAATTTTACATTTTCTCAGTTCATAATTAGTTTATAAACACCTAGAATAATACTGGCATTAAAGAATCCTTGTTGGATGGTAGAAATCAGATCCCTAACCAGTGGGAGGTACTTTTTGGGTGGCTTGTGCATTCTTATCAGTTGTGTGCTAATTTATTGTATTGTTCCTTTGTGCTCTAAGCAGCACACTTGCCTTCTATTTATTTAAGTGTAAACATTTCAAAGCAGGCCGTACTCCTTCTGACAAATTTCTTGTAAACCAGGATTGCCTACGCTTTCCACTGTCGTCGTCTCCCCACTTTCCCTCTTCCTTTAAGAAAACTTACTAAAAAATGTTTCATTGCGAAGCAGAGGAAAAGAAACGTTTTCAGACCTAAAGGAAATGTTTGGTCATGTTAAGAAAACAAATTATTCATTCATATGATGCTTTCTTAACGTTGAAATTGCACATTCACATTGGACTGAGACTTTGAAAATAACTTTTACATACTTTTGTTTAAGCCCCTTTGAAATGTATAAAAAGTTCATTTACAGTTCTAAATGTAATGTTTTTAAGCCTTCTATCTTTTTAGGACACAGTTTGTTTAAGCAATATGTTTTGGTCTTGTGATCACTGTCTGTCACAAGTAGAGTGAAAGGGGTAAGGGGGTGGGAGGGTAAGAGTTTTGACAAGTTGTGGCAAAGGAAACTATACTTTTCATTTTTAAAAATGTAAATAGAAAAGTTTTTAACGGTTTTATATAGATTTCACTATAAATAAGCATTTTAAGACTGACAAATGTTGAACTGTACATACATTTATCAGCATAACTGCCCAGTTTTTTTGGTGCTGAAGTACTGTAAGTAGAATTCATCAACGGTCTCCTAATTTTTGCATCTACATCTGGGGGGAAAAAGCTGTGATACTATAGTTAATAAATTCCCACTAGAGTGACACTGAAGATTTAAACACAAGCATTCATAAGATGCGCTGATCTCTGGTGGTTGTCACTAGTTCTGCTAGGTGATAATGATTTACCCATAGATGGAGCTGTTGGATATTATTTTATTGTACAAATTCATGTTTAAAAAACTTTGTGACTGTTTCTAGTTAAGTAATTTTTTAACCTTTCTTGGGTCATAGACTTCTTTGGTAAACTATGAACTCTCACCAAAAAGATACACATGCAACATGTTAAATACATGTTAGACTTTGCATACAATTTTAGGGGCTCATGGGCCTCTAAGCCTATCCATGTATTCCAGGTTAAGCCCTCTGTTATGATCAATCCATTACTTACAGATTAAGTTTTTATAAAATAAAGTATCTTTTAAATATTCATGGATCAAGTAACAAGAGCAAACTTGAATAAAGTTATGTTCTACATATTTTGGCAGCATAGCATACCTGTGTCCCTTGAGAATTTAGCCTTCATATGTTTCTGCAATTGGAATGGCAAATAAAAGTGCTATCATCTACATTTTTTTAAAGAATTACAAATATTAAGAAATTATCAAGTGAAATTTAAAATTTTTCTTTTAAAGGTGTTAATTCCAAATAGAGCATGCATTCATTTATTTATTCAACAAATATTAATTGAGCATCTTCTGTATGACAAGTAGTATTCTGTGCACTGGGGATACCATAGTGAACAAACAGGAAATCCTATCCTTATGAAGTTTATAAACAGGGCTTCCTGCTCATGAAATGGATACAAGGAATGAAGACAGGAGAAAATAAGAACAATACTTAGGTTTTTTTATAAAGTGGATAGATGATGATGCCATATATGGATTTTCAGACATCCCTTTACTGAAAGTCTTAGCATTATATCTATTAGTATTCCACATTTAAGTACATAATTTAAAAGTAATTTAAAGTCATCTCTTTGAAGGATATTAACAAATTACAATGCAAATGCTACAGAATTTTTAGAATCCTAACAACTATTAGGCAGTGATAAGAAAAATCCATTTGGCTTAAAGTAAACTTTAATAAGTGCCTAGTATTGCAGATGCAGTTTATGGTGAACTTAGAGGATTAAAAACCAAAGGGGGCTTCATTGAGATATTCACATGCCATAAACTCTCCCATTTAAAGTATACCGTTTAATGGTTTTAGTATATCCACAGAGTTGGGCAAGCCATTACCACAATCAATTTGAGAACATTTTCATTAATCACAAAAGAAATCCTGAAATGAAACCACCACCACCATCGCTCCAGCCCTGGGTGGCCACTCCTCTACTTTCTGCCTCTTATGGATGTGCCATAAGAAATGTGGACATTTCATATAAATGAGATTATATAATATGTGGTCTTTTGTGACTTCTTTCACTTAGCGTATTTTCAAGGTTCATCCGTGTTGTAGAATGTGTCAGTACTACATTTCTTTTTATGGCCATTCCATTGTGTGAAATATATCACATTTTGTTTACCCGTTTATCAGCTGATGGATATTTGCATTGTTTACACTTTTGGGCTATTATGAATGATGCTGCTATGAACAATTTGTGTACAAGTTTTACGTATTTTCAGTTCTTATGGGTATATACCTAGGAGTGAAATTGCTGGGTCATACAGTGACTGTTTAACCTTCTGAGCAAGTGCCAGACTCTTTTCCACAGGGACTGCATATCAGCAGTCTATAGGAGTTTCAGTTTCTCCACATCCTTGCCAACACTTGCTGCTGTTTGTCTTTTTTATTCTAGTCATCCTCATGTATGAATTGTAAAGTGCTACCCCATTGTGGTTCTAATTTCCATTCCTCTGATGGCTAATGATGAGCATCTTTTCATGTGCATATTGGCCATTCATGTATCTTTAGAGAAATACCTCTTCAGCTTCCTTGCCCATTTTCCAATTATTTTCTTTTTCTCTCATTTTAAATTGAGAATTTTTGAAGTATAGGAAATACTACTAATCTTAAGAGAAAAGTAATGTTTATCACCCTTAAAATCCTAGGTTAGGTTCTAGTTCTGCTTCTCTAATGTAACAAATTGCTTAGCAGTATTAAAACAGTATAGCTTCATAATTGAAAACTTGCTTTTAATTACATTTCTTTTTGAGGTTCTCACAGTAGCCTGCTAAGGTAGGAGACTTAGTACAAAGGAAATAGTAGTCAGGCGGTCTGGATTTGACCCTTAGACTCTTCTGTGTATTGATCATGTGAATTTTAGCAAGTCACATTTCCTCTCCGAGTCAGTTTCTCCATAATAAAAGTGAGTATTTCTAACCCCATGGGACTATTATGAAGACAAGATGAAACAGTACACGTAAAAATGCCAGTGAGAGTCGGGTGCTCAGTATTTTTTGAGTCCAGTAATTACACCACTCCTACTTTATAAATAGAAAACTGAGGGTTCAAAGAAGTTAAATGATGTACTAAAACTCAGATTAAATGCTAATGACATCATGCTGAGCCATGAATTACTACCTTCTCTAGAAGGAAGTGTTTTTGTTACCAAACAGGACTGGCCCTTGGAAGGATGGAGGAACTCGGTGTTGGGCTATTAACATGTCTTCTAATCAGCCTTGGGTGCCTTTACACAGAGGTGCTCGATTCAGGCTTTTTTTTTTTTTTTAGTTTAATTATGTGTCATAAATCCCATATAAGAGGAAGTGGAGTGAAAAAAAAGCACTGTATAAGCAAGACCTTTCCCAGAAAGGATATTGAAAACAAAGTCTGCGGCCTCTGCTTGCAGGTTCGTAAGCTTTAAGTAAGCAAGACTTGATGACCTATATATTGAAAAAGAAGAAACACAGGATCAGATTTGTAATTGTGAAAAGTCTTGCTCTGCCTTCTTCCCTCTTCCATGCTCACACATACACACTATAACTGAAAACATATACTTGCTTTTTTTTTTTTTTTAAACCAGACAAGCCCTGTGAGCTTGGACCAGCTCTAAAAGGCATAAAACAGCAGAGGACAGAATGAAATAGTACTACTTTATCTGATTACTTAAAACTGATAGATAAGCAATCTCTTCTCTCCAAGTGGTTCTGTCTGGTGTCCTGACTTTTCTTTCTCTGTCTTGCAACAGGTAGTTAATGGGCTCTTTCTGTGTGCAGACATTGAGGATACAGTTGTCAGCTAGGTGGGAAAAGCCTCTATTGTCATGGAACATCCAGCCTAGTGAAGGAGACATGTTAATGAAGAATTAAAACTAGATGGATTAAGTGTTAAGAGATGTGATGGAGAAATGCATAGTGTCATGATAGCATATAAATGGGGAGGTTGGGGGAGTTTCCCTCAGGAAGGAATGCTGGAGCTGTGATCAGAAGGAACCAGAGGAATTAGGATATAACTAGGCAAAGAGGAGGGAGATAAGCTGTGACGAGATAGGACAGCAGGTGCAGAAGCCCTGTAGTGCGAGAGGCATGGTGGGAGGGAAACTTCGAGTAGGCCGCTGTGGCTGCAGCATGAGCAGCAAGGGCAGCATGGTGAGAGCAGACGGTGATAAACTATATGAATCTTGCAGTTGTGTTAAAGGTGTGTTTGTCTTTATGAACAATGGGAAGTCATCAAGAAGTTTAAGTCACGAGCTGGCAAAATGAATTAATACACTTACAAAATATTTGGAGTCTTGCTTGATTAGAACAGAAAAATATATTTGACATTTCTTTTTTGATAACAATGTTATCTCCTTATGTCCTTTTCTCAAACATCTTCAATGGTTCCCTAATACAATGGTATGAATCTAGCATTTAAGGCTCTTAAAGCATCATTTTCTAGATTCATATTCCCATTTTACTACCCTGACCTACTGCCTACCTCCCCCACCACATACACACTATGCTCTGCATTTGAAAGTCTCACCCATTTGTCAAAGTCCAGCTTGAATTCCACCTCCTTCATTTAGACTGCCCAGATCTCTTCAATGAGAACTCAACCCACCCCACTGCTGAGTTCCTCTAGCATTTGGGAAGAAACACATGCTTACTTAGCACTTACCATTGGTTACCTGCTATGAATTATTTGCAGTGCATAATGATCCTCTTTTGGTGTAAGAATTCACACTTTATTTTTTGAAGTCATCAAGTTCCTTGTGTGATACCTGATGGGAATTCCAAGAGTCCACCATCACTCAGTGGGTGGGTTTCTTTGTAGTCCCACACAATGTGCCTCTCAGAGAGTCCTTGAGATGCATTATTTTAGGGAGTCGTTCTAAAAAAGTTTTTTTCATCCTAAAATCATAGACACTGAGCTTTCTTAGTTCTTTTTCTCTTATGCTGTTGAATTAAATCTCAGGCTTAATGTTTAAGTTAGAAAAGGGTTTAGTGAAATCATAAATAATCTTGATAAGATTCACTCTCTCACTCAACCCAATACTGTTCCTATTTGGTCCACAGGATCAACCGCTATTTTCTTGCATGGTGGTATTCACCAGGGTTTGTACTCAACCCACATCCCTTCTCACTAAGCACAGTCTTCCTGGGACTTTCATCTGTGCTATAGATTCAACTTCCACCTAGGTATGGATTAATTAAGTCATTGAATATTTATTGAGTGCATGTGTCTCAGGCAGTGTTCTAGCCACTAGGGATATAGCAGTGAACAAAATACTAAAAAAGTACCTGCCCTATGTAGCTTACATTCTAAACAGGTGATAAGTATAAGTTAAAAATGCATAGTATCTTAGCGATAATAAAACAAGTAGGGAAGAAGAACATGAAATTCCAAGATGCATGTGAAAATTTAGATAGGTTAGACAGGGAAGGCCTTACTGAAAAGGCAACAACAACAACAAAAAAATGGAATTGAGAGAGCTAGCCGGGCTGATGTCTGTGGAAAGTGTTTCAGGTGACAGAATAAGTGCAAAGGCCCCAAGAAATGTGCCTCGCGTGTTCAAAGACGGAAGAATGAGACAGGATTAGAGTGAATGGGGAGGAAGGGAGTAGTAGAACAGAAGGTGAAAACGAAGCATTTCTAGTTTTCTGAGAGTCATCATAAAAGGGTGCTGAATTTTGTCAAATGCTTTTTTTTTTTGCGTCAGTTGAAACTGTGGATTTTTTTCTTTGTTTTATTTTTATTTGTTTATTTATTTGAGACAGAGTCTCGCACTGTTACCCAGGCTGGAGTGCAGTGGCGCGATCTTAGCTCATTGCAACCTCTGCCTCCCGGGTTTAAGTGATTCTCCTGCCTCAGTCTCCCAAGTAGCTGAGATTAGAGGCGCCCACTACCACACCTGGCTAATTTTTTTGTATTTTTGGTAGAGATGGGGTTTCACTATGTTGGCCAGGCTGGTCTCAAACTCTTGACCTCATGATTCGGCCGCCTTGGCCTCCCAAAGTGCTGGGATTACAGGCATGAGCCACCGCGCCTGGACCCTTTTCTGTTTTTATTAATGTCTTTTGTGGGCAGCATATTGGATCATGGTTTTTTAATCCATTCTGCCATCTCTTGTTTTGGATTGGAGGCTTTAATCAATTTACATTTAATATACTATTGATAAAGAAAGACTTCTACAATTTGATAGTTGATTTTCATATGTCTTTTACCTTTTAAAATCCTCCATTTCATTCATTGCTGTCTTTTGTGTTGATATTTAAAATTAATCTATTTTTATTTCTTTAAAAAATTTTTCTCCTAATCTCTGTGTTGGTCAATTTTGTGTTTTTTTTTTTTTTTTTTTGTAATGAAATGTTTTGATTCTATTCTCATTTCTTTTGTGGCTATTTTAAAGATATTTAGTATTTTCTTTGTGGTTACCATGGGGGTTATATTGAACATCATAAATTTATAGCAAACTAGTTGAATTGAAACCAACTTAACGTCAATAGCATACAAAAAATTCTGCTCCAGTGTATCTTTGTCCCCCTTTTATGTTGTCACGAATTATATCTTTATGCATATGTAACCAATAACATAGATTTATAATTTTTTTATTCATTCATCTTTTAAATCATGTAAATAATTGTCTTTTAACTCTCCTCTAGGTTTTTCTGGGCTTTTAGTTGGTTTAGTTGGTTGATTATTTGGTCGGAGGCTGTAGTAGTCCATTTGTCTAGTGGCTTTTTCTATTTATTTTTTCATAGATTGTATTCCTTTTCATGTGTGGTCACTGGTCACTGAAGTTGCTCTTCCTTAGCTTGTGTCTAACTAGGGTTTTGACAGATTTCTTTGAGTGACAGGACCTAAACAAACAAAAACACTTCTCTCAGTCTTTGCAGGTTGCTTCTGTTCTCTGGCTCTCCTTCAACACTTACGCAGACTTCCACTGAACCTACGGACCAACCTGAAGTGAAAGTTTGAGGTCTTTGACAAAGCTTTCTAAATTCCTCCATATACAAGAGTGCTTTGGAGTCCTTTAATTTCCCAAAGAAACACTCTCCTTGGCTTTTTCTTCTAGGCTTTCAGCAGTCTATTATATGTTGCAGCCAAAATGTAATCTTTTGCTTCAGGCATCTGCAGGTTTTTTTTGTTTTTGTTTTTGTTTTTGTTTGTCAGCCTTATAATGTTTATAGAGTACTGTCTGCTACTTTTCTGGCCTGGGTACATTCTGCCTTAAGCAAAGCAGACTGTCTTGCATCAGTCCTTTGAATAGCCCTGAGACAGATTAGAGCAGACCTACACAATAATTTGAGAATGATGTCTCCTCTGCCCCTTCTAGAAAGAGGGACCAGGATCCACGATAGAACGTGGGCTGACGTCTTTAAGACTGCTGCCAAGCCGGGACCAGGGCAAGGAGTAGTAATGCCACACAGCTTGCCTGTATCATATTTTTTTATTGTGGTAAAATATACATAATAAAGTTTACCATTTTAGTTATTTTCATTAATAAGTGTACAGTTCAGTGACATGAAGCGCATTCATGTTGTGGTGCAACCATCACCAGTGTCCATCTCCAGAACTTTTTAATCAACCCAGACAAACTTCTTTAAACAATAACTCCTCATTCCTGCCTGCCCCAGTCCCTGGTAATCACCCTGCAGTCAGGAGTTGCCCTCTTCTTGATTCAGTGTTCAGTTGTTGCTGTAAACCTTTGACTGTTTTCTGGAGTTCTGACAAAGTTGGTTCTGACAGTTTCTGCTTGTTTTTTGGTATTTCTGTGAAGCTGCCTACCCTGCCATTTTGCTGACGTTACTATTAATGCCAAGGTTTTTGTTCTGAACACCTTGGAAGAAGAGAATGGCTATTAACTGAGATGAGAAAGACTGGGAAGATCTAATTTGGAGAGTAGAATATCAAGGGCTCAGTTTTGGATATATTAAATTCAAGATGCCACTAGATATCAAGGAGAGAAGTCAAGTAGACAGAAAAGAAAAGAGGTCTCAGGACTGAGCCTTGGGGTGGTAAGGACCTGGGGGTCAGGAAGATGAGGCAGAACCAGAAAAGACCGAGCAGAAGTAGCCAGAGGATGGGAGGTAAAGTTGGAGATTGTGGTGTCTCAGAAATAGGTAAAGACAGTGTTTTTGCTGCTAAGTCAAGTAACATGAGGACTCATGGAATTTGCCATGTGGAAGTCATTGGCAATCTTGGGAAAAGCAGTTTTGGTGGAGTTGGAGGAGAATGGGAGGAGAGAATTGGAGACCAAGAGTACAAATAATTTCATGAGTCACTGTAAAGAGGAGCAGAGAAATGGGGCAGTTGCTGGAAAGGGAAGTGGGATCAAGAATTGTTTGTTTAATGTAAGAAATTGGGATTCCTGATGGGATTGATCCAATGGAGAGGAGAAAGTTTGTGATGCAGGAGAGGAGAGAATTGCTGTTGCACTGTCCTTGAATAATGGGAGGGGACAGAATCTAGTAGAGGTGCTGGGTTCATCTGTTAGAAGAGGAAGAAGCAGGTAGGTAGGTAAATGCATTTGCTTCAATTTTATGATGGCTCTCAAATACACATCTGCAATTGCTCTCTTCTTTGAGCCAAAACTTACTTCCTTGGGACATCCCTGACTGAATTTTTCTAAAAGTACGTCAGCCTCAAGTTGTCCCAAACAAAGATCAACCCCTTTCCTTTCAACTTACTCTCTCTGCTTGTTACTCCCTATCCTTGGCAGCCCATTCATGCTGAGAAGAGGAAGGGTCAGTTTTTTCAGTAAGGTGGAAGCATCAAGAAAAAGGCAATTCCAGAGCTGAGGCTGGAAGATGGGTAATTTATCATGTGGAGAAAGGTGGGGAAGAATGAGACAGGCAAAGCATCAATGGTGGGGAGGGACACTGAGCTTGGGTTGGGAGGTGACTGGGGGCGGTGAGCTCAGAGCAGTCATCTAGAGGCTGTTACACTCCCAGATGCCAACAAAGCATTGTCAGGGGTTGTGGAGTTTCCCATAGGTTGTTATGTAATCCAAAAGGCTACTTGTCTTGAATTTTTCTTCCATAGCATTAGATTGTTGTTCTGCCAGAAGAACCCTGCAAGCTGCTTCCACCTCCGGGCCTTGTGCCGGCTCTTCCCTCGTCATGCAGTGCACTTCCCTCTCACCCATCATCTCCGTGGTCACCTCTTGGGACACTTCCCCAGAGTCTTTCTCCCTTAGCCTCCTCATCTGTCTCTCATTTATGGCTTTTCTCATTTGTTATCCCAATTTTTGCTCTGTGAGGGTTTTCCTCTGAGGGTTGAATTAATCTCATGTCCTTAGAACAGGCCCTGGCATGGAAAAGGCATCAATAAGTTTGTTGATTGACTATATAGAAAAAAAACCCAAACCATCTTGGTCTTAGGTCTCTGCCCACAGGTGCACAAATGCTTACTAACAAGCAAAGCCCAGAAATAACCTCCTTTCAGGCTGTTTTTAGATGAGGATGTTATTGTTGTGAGACGCGTGTGTGTCATCCATTCTGGACTCAGGAGACAGTGCCCATCTCTGCTGTCATTTGTTCTGTCACTTCAAAGTGCAGGAAAACCATGGGTGGTGATTTTAGAATCTTATTCAGAACCCTCAGGGAATGAGTCATTGTGCACTGACGACTTTTCCGGATTGCTGCCGTTCAAATAAATCAAGCAACAGGACATTATTGTTGTTGTTATTGTTGTTAATTTTAACTATTTTTGATGGTAAATTTCAGAAATGTATTATCATACTTTCCTCAGTATGATTCTACCATCTCGTTTCTTCAGAATCATTATGATGAGCATAGTTATAATAATTTTTCAGCTCAGCAATGAGAATACAGAGCTTTGCTGGCCTCTCCCTGGAGCAGATCCGGACCACAGCCCTAACTGTACGGTGGAGGGAGCTGAGCTGCCCCCAGAAATCAGAGGGGTAAGTCAGGGAAAGAGGCAGGCCCAGACCCCAAGCACAGGGCCAGTGAGTCCCAGGCTTCAAGTGCACCAGAGTCCCCTAGGGATCTTGTTAAAATACAGGTTCCGATCCAGTAGACTCAGATTCCTCTGTGGGCTGGGATCGGAGTTCTGCATTTTTAACAAGAACCTGGGCAATGCTGGTGCGACCAGACCACAGACCACCCTTTCCATATCAAATCTTTCTGTATCAAGTTGACCTCCCAGAGGTTTTCTTGTGATCTTGAGTGGATTTTACTGGGAAGCTTATCTTTCTCTGGGGCTTCTTACATGTACCAGGTGGTCTCTGGTGATAATAATTCCTCTAAAGTTTATAAAATGGTCACCTATTTCTCTTCATTCTCACAATAATCCTAGGAGGTAAGTTAGCACCCTTTTACCGACTGGGACACCAATTCCTGACATCACAGGGTTCCCAGGAGGTGGAGGCAGAGCTCATGGCTCTGTGTCTAGTGCGCTTCTCATCCCTTTCTGCTGTCTCCCCTTATATCTGTGCTCTGTGCCGTATACAGCCTTGTGGACTCTCAAGGCCGTGGGAGTGCTGTGGGGAAAATAATTGTGTGTGTGCACACATGTGCGTGCCTGTGTTAACAGGAAAGGCTGATTAGCAACAGCTGTAGCACGTGAGGCCCATGTAGTCTCACTTGGGACACCCTGGCAGAGACCAACGTTTCCTCTCTGCTCCATCTCCCTGTACCCATGAAGCCCTGGCATCATATTGTATGGGTGAAATATTGTGTCACAAGCAGCAGCGGTCCCTGCAGCACGTGCTGAGATGCTGTAGCTGCCCCACCTTCACCCCTTCTCATTTGGGGGCAGGCTGGCTGGACTTGATCTGCCAGCATCTGCTTCTCTGCCTGATGCCTTTCTCTGACCACTGGGGCTACTTTGCCCTGTACAAGGCGCTGAAGTGCTGGGAAATTAATGCCCCTCAGTCAACCAAGGGCTAATGGAAGCTGATGTAAAATAATCGAGCTCTCCTAATTTAGGATAACTCCGTGGCATTTTCCCCCACATTAAGCCTCAGTTACTCACCGTGGTGACATGCTTGATAATGTCTCACTTCCCCACTCCCATAATAGTAGTTCCTGGGATCCCTTCCTAAAGGAATGACTTGCACTCAACTCCTTGTCTCAGGGTCTGCTGGAGGAGGCCAAATTAAGGCACTTCTCCCAACCACTCTTTCTACTAAGTTACATCTGAACCCATATACCTGACTTTCCTCTCATCACAGTGGAGAAGTATTCCAGTTCCTGGTGAATTCAGACCCTCCATGAGGGGCCTAGATCGCATCCTTACAGCCCTCTCAAGATTTCCCTCTTGATATTATTTCCCTTCTCTGTGGCATCATCTTTCCTTCTCCCTCTCGCTTCCCTCTTGTCTCACTTTTCTCCTCCTCCTCCGTCTCCCTCTCTTCTAGAATACACCAACCTAGAAACAGGCTTCAAGATGACCCCTCAGGCCATAGTCTTCTGTTTCTGGGCAATATGGAGCAATAGTGACTGGATTTTTCTCATGTGCCTGAAACAGCCATAACAATAACAACACCACCACCACTATATGACACTGTGGTTTTCAAGACACTGGGCCTCAAGCAACAGCAGCCAGAAGATGGGAAAGAAGCAGGGTGAAGAAGTCTATGATTGCCCTAGCACAAGAGGGCATCATAGGGAAGAGCGTAGGGAAGAGAACCCAAGTAGAGCCTGCTGGGCTCTCTGAATTGAGAAAACTGGACTAAGAGTCCAGAGAGACCAAGGTAGTTAGAATGTCCAGGGCAAAGTAGTAAAGGAGAGAACTTCACAGAGAACTCCTGAGATTTGCAGTGATCCATGCATGCTTGTGAAGAAATATACAAGGCTAAGGGAAGCACCACCGGAACTAGAGGAAATCATAGCTAGTGCTCACACAGGGCCAGAATAGTGCCTCTTCCGACCAGTCAGTCTGGAAAACCTCATGCTTCACAAGACATTGAGTACGTACTCTGAAGGGTTTTGCCTCAGTAGTGGGGAATAGTAAGCCCTAGACTAACTGCTGCTCTAGTCCTTCCTAACAAATCTTAAAAGAAATACCAAAATGATCAAACTGTTTCCAAGTGACTTAACTGCATCTCAGAACAAAGTGCAAGAATATTTATAGTAATACAAAAATGTCCAACACTCAGCAAGGTAATATTCATAATTACTATCATCAAATAAAAAATTAACAGGCTTGCAAATCAATTAAAACTGGCCCAGGATTGACACAGATGTAAAAACTGGCAGGCAAGAACATTAGCACATTTATTATAGCTGCATTATATATGTTCAAAAGTTAAGTGGAGACATGGAAGATATAAAAAAAAAGACTCAGATCAAATTTCTAGAGATGAAATCTCTAGACTTCATTTACTGAAGTGGACTTCTTCCACTGAAGTCTTGAACTCCTCAAAGTCATCCATGAAGACTGGAACCCACTTCTTCCAAACTCGTGTTAATGTTGATATTTTGACCTCCTCACATGGATCACAAATGTTCTAAATGGCATCTAGAATAATGTTCCTTTCAGGAAGGTTCTTAATTGACTTTGCCCAGATCCATCAGAGGACTCACTATCTGTGGTAGCTATTATACCCTTACAAAATGTATTTTGTAAATAATAAGACTTGAAAGTTGAAATTACTCCTTGCTTTATGGACTGTAGAATGGATGTTGCGTTGGCAGGCATGAAAACAATCTTGTACATGTTCATCAGAGCTCTTGGGTGACTAGGTGCATTGTCAATGAACAGTAATATTTTGAAAGGAATATTTTTTTTTCTTAGCAGTAGGTCTCAATAGTGGCTTAAAACATTCAGTGAGCCATGATGAAAACAGATGTGCTGTCATCCAGACTTTGTTGTTCCATTGATAGAGCACAGGCAGAGTAGATTTAGCATCATTCTTAAGAGCATTAGGGTTTTCAGAATTGCAAATGGGCATTGGCTTCAACTTAAAATCAGCAACTGCATTAGTCCCTAACAAGAGAGTCAGCCTGTCCTTTGAAGCTTTGAAGCCACGTATTGACTTCTCTTTCCTAGCTATGAAAGTCCTAAATTACATCTTCTTCCAACAGAAGGCTGTTTTGTCTACACTGAAAATCTGGTGTTTAGTGTAGCCACCTTCAACAACGATCTTAGCCAGATCTACTGGATAACTTGCTGCAGCTTCTCCAACAGCACTTGCTCCTTCACCTTGCACTTTTATGTCCCATAGATTGCTTCTTTCCTTAAACCTCATGAACCAGCCTCTGCTAACTTCAGACTTTTATTCTGTAGCTTCCTTACCTCTCTCAACCTTCATAGAATTGAAGAGAGTTAGGCCTTGATCTGGATTAGGTTTTGGATGAAGGAAAGTTGTGGCTGGTTTGATCTTTTATCCAGACTGCTGAAACTTTCTCCGCATTAGCAATAAGGTTGTTTTGCTTTCTTATTATTTGTGTGTTCACTGGAGTAGCACGTTTAATTTCCCTCCAGAACTTTTCCTTTGCAGTCACTACTTGGCTAACTGGTGCAAGAGGCCTAGCTTTCAGCCTGTATCAGCTTTCAGCATGCCTTCCTCACTAAGCTTAATAATTTCGAGCTTTCGACTTAAATTGAAAGATGTGCAACTCTTCCTTTCACTTGAACACTTAGAGGCCACTGAAGGGTTATTAATTGGCCTAATTTCAATATTGTTGTGTCTCTGGGAACAGGAATGCTGGAGGAGAAGGAGAGAGATGGGGAAACGGCCAGTTGGTGGAGCAGTCAGAACACATACATTTACTGATTAAGTTAGCTGTCATATGGGTGTGCTCTGTGGCAGTCTAAAACAATTATAGTGGTAGTATCAAAGATCACTGGTCACAGATTAACATAACACATATAATAATAATGAAAAAGTTTGAAACATTGGGAGAGTTATCAAAATGTGACACAGAGACACAACGTGAGCACATGCCAGGGCAATCAGGCAAGAAAAAGAAAGAAAGCGTATTCAGTTAGGAAAAGAGGAAGTCAAATTGTCCCTGTTTGCAGATGACATGATTGTATATTTAGAAAACCCCATCGTCTCAGCCCAAAATCTCCTTAAGCTGATGAGCAACTTCAGCAAAGTCTCACGATAAAAAATCAATGTGCAAAAATCACAAGCATTCCTATACACCAATAACAGACAGAGAGCCAAATCATGAGTGAACTCCCATTCACAATTGCTACAAAGAGAATAAAATACCTAGGAATCCAACTTACAAGGTATGTGAAGGACCTCTTCAAGGAGAACTATAAACCACTGCTCAATGAAATAAAAGAGGACACAAACAAACGGAAGAACATTCCACACTCATGGATAGGAAGAATCAATATCATGAAAATGGCCATACTGTCCAAGGTAATTCATAGATTCAATGCCATCACCATCAAGCTACCAATGACTTTCTTCACAGAATTGGAAAAAACTACTTTAAAGTTCATATGGAACCAAAAAAAGAGCCTGCATTGCCAAGACATTCCTAAGCAAAAAGAACAAAGCTGGAGGCATCACACTACCTGACTTCAAACTATACTACAAGGCTACAGTAACCAAAACAGCCTGGTACTGGTACCAAAACAGAGATATAGACCAATGGAACAGAACAGAGGCCTCAGAAATAACACATATACAACCATCTGATCTTTGACAAACCTGACAAAAACAAGAAATGGGGAAAAGATTCCCTATTTAATAAATGGTGCTGGGAAAACTGGCTAGCCATATGTAGAAAACTGAAACTGGATCCCTTACTTATACCTTATACAAAAATCAATTCAAGATGGATTAAAGACTTAAATGTCAGACCTAAAACCATAAAAACCCTAGAAGAAAACCTAGGCAATACCATTCAAGACATAGTCATGGGCAAGGACTTCATGACTAAAACACCAAAAGCAATGGCAACAAAAGCCAAAATAGACAAATGGGATCTAATTAAACTAAAGAGCTTCTGCACAGCAAAAGAAACTACCATGAGAGTGAACAGGCAACCTACAGAATGGGAGAAAATGTTTGCAATCTACCCATCTGACAAAGGGCTAATATCCAGAATCTACAAAGAACTTAACAAATTTACAAGAAAAAATCAAACAACCCCATCAAAAAGTGGGCAAAGGTTATGAACAGACACTTTTCAAAATAAGACATTTATGCAGCCAACAGACACATGAAAAAATGCTAATCATCACTGGTCATGAGAAAAATGCAAATCAAAACCACAATCAGATACCATCTCACACCAGTTAGAATGGCGATCATTAAAAAGTCAGGACACAACAGGTGCTGGAGAGGATGTGGAGAAATAGGAATGCTTTTACACTGTTGGTGGGAGTGTAAACTAGTTCAACCATTGTGGAAGACAGTGTGGCAATTCCTCAAGGATCTAGAACTAGAAATACCATTTGACCCAGCGATTCCATTACTGGGTATATACCCAAAGGATTATAAATCATGCTACTGTAAAGACACATGCACACGTATGTTTATTGCAGCACTATTCACAATAGCAAAGACTTGGAACCAACCCAAATGTCCATCAATGATAGACTGGATTAAGAAAATGTGGCACATATACACCATGGAATACTATGCAGCCATAAAAAAGGATGAGTTAATCTCCTTTGCAGTGACATGGATGAAGCTGGAAGCCATCATTCTGAGCAAACTATCACAAGGACAGAAAACCAAACACTGCATGTTCTCACTCATAGGTGGGAATTGAACAATGAGAACACTTGGACACAGGGTGGGGAACATCACACAGTGGGGCCTGTCGGGGGGTAGGGCGATGGGGTAGGGATAACATTAGGAGAACTATCTAATGTAAATGACTAGTTAATGGGTGCAGCAAACAAACACGGCACATGTATACATATGTAACAAACCTGCACGTTGTGCACATGTACCCTAGAACTTAAAGTATAATTTAAAAAAAAGAAAATATGTGTACCATCATTAACCATCAGAGAAATGCAATTCAAAGCTACAATGATATACAACATAAGGACGGCAATCCTTGTCATCAACATCATCAACATGATGTAAACTTGCTGAAGACAGGGTTTCTTTTCTTTCCCTTGCTGTAACCACAGTTCATAGAACACTTCCTGGCACATGACTGTTGACTAAAGCAGAGCCATCCAGGCCAGAGAGAATTACTAGAGGTATGCATTGAGGGTAGAAATAGTAGCAGCAGGGAGCTAGGTATGAAGGTTAGCAGGAGTGGGTGAAAGTCATGCCTAAATGAAACCAACATTGCCTCCAGCAGCTGTGGGACTGCAGGAGGGCAGGACTGGCTGCTCTCTGAAGGTCAGCAGGCTAAATAAAATGCTTAGAAACAGCCTTGGGTGGTAGGAATGGATGTTTCCGCACTCTTATTTAATAATTTTTAAATTTAGAAATTAATATATACAGAAGAGTGTGTAAAACATATATGTGCTCTTTAAAGAACAGCTATAAATCAAACATCCATGTAACCACCACCTAAGTTAAGAAATAGGACATTAGTCTGGGCATGGTGACTCACATCTGTAATCCCAGCACTTTGGGAGGCCAAGGCAGGTGGATCTCCTGAGGTCAGAAGTTCGAGACCAGTCTGGCCAATATGGTGAACCCCGTCTCCACGAAAATTACAAAAATTAGCCAGGCATGTTGGTGCATGCCTGTAGTCTCAGCTGCTCAGGAGGCTAAGGCAGGACAACTGCTTGAACCCTGGAGGTGGAGGTTGCAGTGAGCAACCTCCTGTCTTCTAAAACAAAACCACTCTCTTGATTTTTGTTATAATCATCCCTTGCTTCAAAAAATAGTTTACCATCTACTTCTGTACAGCTAGATAATATCTTATTCAGTTTTTAAACTTTATATAAATGGAGTTATAATAAATGCATTCTTCCATGATTTGCTTTTTTTCCTCTTAATATTATGTTCACAAGATACTTTTGTATCTTAATATGTAATATATATATATATATATATATATGTTTCTTAAGTAATTGATTAATTTACAATCCCATTAGCACTGTGTGCTCCCCACCTTGGTTAACAATTGATAATTTTATACTACATAATTTTTGCAATATGATAGGTAATCATATTTTCAACAAAATAAGTGAAATTTTAGCATAGTTTTAAATTTAGAGAAAAATTGCCAGAATGGTATGGGAAGTCCTGTATACCCCTCAGCCAGTTTCTCCTATTGTTAAAATCTTTACATTATTATGATATATTTGTCACAACTGAGAAAGCAACTTTTCTACATTACTGTTAACCAAACTGCACACTTTACTTGGACTTTACTAATTTTTCCATGAATGTTCTTTCTTCTAGTCCAGGATCCCACCCACTATGCCACATTCCACTTAGTCATCACGTCTCCTTCATCTTCTCTTGTCTGTGACAGTTTCTCAGTCTTTTCTAGTTTCTCATGACCTTGACAGTTTTGGGGAATACTTGTCAGGTATTTTGAAGATTGTCTCTCAATTTGGGTTGTCTGACGTTTTCCTCGTGGTTAGACTTGGGTGATGGGTTTGGTGGAAGAAAACCACAGAAGTGAAGTTCTCTTCTCATCATATCATATCAAGGGGACATACTATCCACATGACTTATCAACGATGGTGTTAATCTTCATTATCTGGCCAAGCTAGTGCTTGCCAGGTTTTTCCACTGTAAAGTTACTCTCCCTCCATCCTTTCCACACTCTACTCTTTGGAAGAAAATTACTAAACGTACTCCACACTTGAGGTGGAAAAAGATTATGCCCCACCTTCTGGAGGAGGGAAGTATCTATGTAAATTATTTGCAATTCTTCTGTATGGGAGATTTGTCTCTTCTCTCCATTTATTTACTCAATCACTTATTTATATTAATATGACTTAGGAATATTTATTTTACACGTTGGATTATAATACAACACTACATTATTTTGTTGCTCAAATTGTTCCAGCTTGGACCATTGGAGACTCTTTCAGATTGGCTCCTATATCTTTGGCACTTCCTTATTTTCTGGCTCCATAATATTCTCAAGGCTTACCTTATATTTTTTTCTGCCCCAGCTCTAGAACCAGCCATTTCCCCAAGTAGCCCTGGTCCCTTTTATTGGAGAATGGTGTTAAAAACCAAGATTTGAGTCTTGAGTGTGCTCACTGCTACTGGCTGTTGTTGATCCTAGGCCCTCTTAGCGGAAAGAGCTAGGAAATAAATATGCACATACAAATCCATAGATACACATACATATCTATAATTATTTCTGTATCTATCCATCTGTATCTACATTAAGTTAACCATACTGATGTGTCTTGCTCTATCCAATATTACTGTTCACTCTAGCCTTCCCCTCTCACTTATATGTAACTTCTCTCCCCAACAGTGAGAAATCTAACTCCCATCATCCAGCATCCATTTATTTATTTGTTCAACCTCAGTATACATGCACAGTAGCTTCAGAATTGTTAAGCCATATCCCTGTGAGAAATAACTTTACCAACTAGAACACAGTGCCTATGTATAATTCCTTTGTGTTTAGCCTTACAGTTTCCGGCTAACATTGTTTTTTCAAAGTTACTTAGGCCAGCTCCTTTCTTCTCTATCCCCTTCAAATGTTATATCATACATTTGTAACACAGTTAGATTCTTTTGTCACAGTCTGAATCCATCCTAGGAGCCCCTGACCTCCTGGTTGATTGATTTTTAAAATATACGCACATTGGGCCAGGCGTGGTGGTTCATGCCTGTAATCCCAGCACTTTGGGAAGTGGAGGTGGGCAGATCTCTTGAGCTCAGGAGTTTGAGACCAGCCTGGGGAACATGACCAAACACTGTCTCTACAAAAAATACAAAAGTTAGCAAGCGTGGTAGTGCATACTTGTAGTCCCAGCTACTTGGGAGGCTGAGGTGGGAGGATCACCTGAGTCTAGGAGGTTGAGGCTGCAGTGTGATTGCGCCACTGTACTCCAGCCTGGGCAGCAGAGTAAGACCCTGTATCAAAAAAATTTTTTACATTCATTAAAGTTCATTTTTTGAGCTGTAAATTTCTAAGGTTTTGACCATTGTATTGTATCATGTATGCACCACTCCAGAACCATACAGAATAATTCAATCACCCTAAAAATTTCCTAATATTTTCCCTTTTTAGTCAACTCCCCTTCCCCAAACCCCTGGCAAACACTTGATTGCATATTCATCCTTCTAGTTTTTCTCTTTCCAGAGATGAAAAACCATGCTTGCATATATTTCATCTCTCTAGTTTTTCTTTTTCCAGAATTTTCATATATATGAAATCATACAATAAATGGCCTCTGAAGTCTGGCTTCTTTCGCTTAGCAAAATACATTTCAGATTCATTGATAATTTTTCTGTGAATTAATAGCTAGTTCCTCTTTATCACTGCATAGTATTCCATTGTACCACAGTGTGATGGTTAATTTTATGTGTCAACTTGGCTAGGCTGTATGTCCAGTTATTCAATCAAACACTAATTTATGTGTCTCTGTGAAGGTATTTTGTAGATGTGATTAACATCTATACTCAGTTTACTTTAACTAAAGGTGATTACCTTTGATCATGTGGGTAGCCTCATCTAATCAGTTGACGGCCTTAAAAACAAAATCTGAGATTTCCCAGAGAGGAAGAAATTTGGCCTCAAGACTATAGCATCAGCTCCTTCCTGAGTTTCCAGCCTGTTGGCCTGCCCTACAAATTTCCGACTTGCCAGCCCCTACAGTCATGTGAGCCAATTCCTTTCAATCTCTTCCTATTTCAATAGATAGACAGCCAATAGGATATAGATCCTCCGGTTTCTCTGGAGAACCCCGACCGATACACACCGTTTGTCCATTCACCTATTGAAGGAGCAGGCCATCTTGGTTGTTTTCTGTTTGGGGCAATAATGAATAAAGCTGCTATAAACATTCACGTGCAGGATTTTGTGTTTATCTAACTTTTCAGTTCACTTGAATAAATACTTGGGAGTGTGATTGCTGGGTTATATGGTAAGTCTATGTTTAACTTTATAAGAAACTGTCAAAGTGTCTTTTAAAGTAGCTATACTATTTTGCATTCCCACCAGCAATGAATGAGAGTTCCTGTTCCCCTGCATCCTCATTGGTATTTGTTATTGTCAGGTTTTTGGATTTCAGCCATTCTAATAAGTGGAATCTCATTGTTGTTTTGATGTGCATTCCCCTAATGACAAATAATTTTGAGGGTAATTGTATTTTTAATTTCCCTTTTTCTAATTATTATTAAGGTTGAGTTTATTTTTCTGGATTTACTGGCCAACTGATTTTTCTTTTCATGAAGTGCCTGTTCAAGATTTTGCCTGTCTCTTATCTTTTTCTTATTGTTTCTTAGAACTTCTTTATGCATTCTGGGTATAGGTTTTCTCCGATGGTATGTATCACAAATATTTTCCCTTACTTTATGGTTTGCTTTTCACTCTTTATAAGGCCTTTTGATGAACAGAAAACTTGTCTTTGAACTAGAGCATTTGCTCTATTTACATTTAATTTAAATACAGACATATTGGATTTATATCTATCACTTATTTTGTGCTTTCTGTTTATTCCATCTGTTTTATTTATTTTTCTCCCCTTTCTCCCCTTCATTGACTTATTTGGTATCATTCAGTCTTTCCCTCTACTGCTTTGAAAGACATATACTCTTTTTTAATCTTCTTAGTGTTTTCCTTAGAAATTAAAAGATCATCCTTAATTTACCAAAACCTAATGTAGTAAATATCTTTATCCTCCTCTTGAGCAATAAAAGGACCTTCAAACACATTTATCTTCCACTCCTAAATTGCATGCTATTGTTACTGTGTATTTTAACACTGTCTTTTAAAAAAACTTTCTCTCACAGTATAATATACTGCAGAAATTTTCACATAGAAAAACGCTGACCCGATGAACTTTACAAACTGAACACATCCATGTTATCAGCACTCAGATCAAGAAAGATAACATTATCAGCACCCTGAAAGCTCCTCTTCAGTCAGTACTATGACCTGCCAAATGGTAACCACTATCGTGTCCTCTAACAACCTAACGTAGTTTTGCCTGCCTTTGTACCTTATAAAAAAGGAATCATACAATATGTATTTACTTGTGCCTGGCTTCTTTTGCTCAACATTATGTTTGTGAGGTTTACACAGATGGTTACTACCATTGTGATTTTGCTTATTGCTTTGATTGGCATCTAGTTTGATATTAATATGGCCGCTTCAGCTGTCTTCTTTTTTTAATTTTTTCTTCTTTTTTTGACTTTTCTTTCTCCAGTCTTTGATTCAGGATTCGGCTTTCTTTTGATTAATGTTTTAATAGTATATTATTTCCCATTATTTTACTTTTTTTTTTTGAGACAGGGTCTCACTCTGTCACCCACGCTGGAGTGCAGTGGCACAATCACAGCTCACTGCAGCCTCAACCTCCCCAGGCTCAGATGACCCTCCCACTTCAGCTTCCTGACTAGCTGGAACTACAGGCATGCAGCATCATGCGGGTATTTTTTTGGTAGAGACAGGGTTTCACCATGTTTCCCAAGCTGGTCTTGAACTCCTGGGCTCAAGCAACGCTTCTACCTCCAAAGCGCTGGGATTACAAGTGTGAGTGAGCCACCCTGTCTGGCCCATTGGTTTACTTTTTTTTTTTTTTTTTTTGAGACAAAGTCTCACTTTGTCACCCAGGCTGGAGTGCAGTGGCATGATCTGGGCTCACTGCAACCTCCATTTCCCAAGTTCAAGCGATTCTCTTGCCTCAGCCTCCCAAATAGCTGGGATTACAGGCACCAGTTTAGTAGAGATGCGGTTTCACCATGTTGGCCAGGCTGGTCTCGAACGCCTGACCTCAAGTGACCTGCCCGCTTCAGCCTTCCAAAGTGCTGAGATTACAGGCTGGAGCCACCGCGCCCAGCCCCATTTGTTTACTTTTAACCTATCTATATCTTTACATTAAAATGGGTTTCTTGTAGATGACAAGTAGTGTGTCTCGCTTTTTTCTCTAATCTGACAATCTTTTTTAACTGGTGTGTTTAGACTATCTACATTTAATGTAATTATTAATAGAGCTGAATTTAAATCAACCACTTTGCTAGTATTTTTCTGTTTGTTCCATCTTTTCTTTGTTCCACTTTTCTTTTTTCTGCCTTCATTTGGATGGAGTATTTCTTAAATTCCATTTTCACTCCAGCATTGTCTTACTACTCATACCTATTTTTAAATTGGTGTGGGGGGTGTGGTTCCTAGAGTTTAAAATATGCATCTTTGTCACAGTCTACCTTCAAATAATATACATGCATAATATTACATGCCTTCGCACAGGTGTAAACATTTTACAGCAACAATATACTTTCAATTCCTCCTGACCATTTTTTTATGTTATTGCTGTCACACATTTTACCTTTATATAAACTACAAACCCCAAAATACAATGTCACAATTTTTGCTTTAGACAATTTTCTTTTAGCGCAATTAGAAGAAAAAAAAAATCTTTCCACTTACCTTCATTAAAAAAAATCTCTAGAGCTACTCATTTTTTCTGTGTATATCTAAATTTTGTCTGGCATCGTATTCCTTCTTCCTGAACTTCTAACACTTCTTGCAGCTCAGGCCTTCTGGCAATGATGTCTCTCAGCTTTTGTTTATCTGAAAAGGTCTTTATTTTGCCTTCGCTTTGGGAAGATAGTTTTTACTGGAAATATATTTTTGGGTAACAGTTCTTGTTATTGTTTTCTCTTTCAGTACTTTGAAGATGTCACCTAACTGTCTTCTGGTTTATGTAATTACTTATGAGAATTCTTCTACAGCTCTGATCTTTGTTCCTCTCTAAGCAATGTACCTTCTTTTTTTCCTTGGGGGTCTTCAAGATCTTCTCTTTTTTGTTTATCTATTATGTTTCTGAGGATGAAATATGTCGATTTTCTGGTTGGTTTTTGCTTTCGTTTTGTTATTTATTCTTCTTGGGGTTCTCTTAGCTTCTTGGATCTGTGGTTTGCTGTGTATGTTTTTCATTATTTTTGGAAAATTCCTAGCCATTATCTACTTAATATGTCTTGTGTCCCATTCTCTTTCTCCTCCTTCTTGGGATCCAATTCCACTTATTTAGACTGTTAAATATTGTCTCATAACTCATGCATTCTCTGTGCTGTTTTATTGTTGTTGCTGCTTTGTTTTTACTCTTGTTTTCTTTTAGTTTGGGTAATATCTACTGACCATCTTCAAGTCCATTGACTTATTCCTCAGTTGTTTTGAGTCTTCTGACAAGCCACAGAAGGAATTTTTCATCTCCAGTACGGTGATTATATTGTCCACTTTTTCTATTAGATTCTATAACATATTACTCCTATTTGGTTTAAAGTCCCCTTATGATAGTTCCAACATATGGATCATGTCTGCATCTGGATTTATTGATTACCTTGTCTCTGGACAATGGGTTGTTTGTTTCTTGCCTTTTTTTGTGTGTTTTTATTTTTGATTGAATGTCAGACATTGTCGAGCAGTAGACACTGAGATAAATAGTTATTACACCTGGAAAAAGGCATGTCTCCTGTTCTGTCAGATCATTAGTGTGTGGAATTGAGTCAATCTAGTCAGGAGTTGAGTTGGGTTTGGGTTTTGTTGTTACTAGGGTTATCTTCAGTGTTTTGCAGTCTTCGAATTCTTCTAGAATTGCCTCAGGTTTAGGACTGGAAATGAGATGCTGAAGGATTTTTCTCAGTGATCTCAGGCTTCAGCCATCTCTGTACTCCTGTACCACATAGGGGCTTCCTCTCCACATTCTTGCTCTTCTCCCAGTAGCAGACTGATCTTGCTTGTTACAAATGCTTGCCAGGCTCATCGTGGGGACAGGGAGGCATTCTCTTTGCTGTGTCCCAGTCTCAGTGTTAGGCAGGCCCTGTGTGCTTGGGCCTTGGTGGGGAGAGGGAGGTTTGTTCAGGATTCCTGCCCCTCCTCCCAGTGGAAGCCAAAGTTTGCCTCATATCTGTGCAGAGTCTGTACTGGATAGGGTTTCCGGCCCTCTTCCATTCGTAAGAAGTCTCTAGTGGCATTTGTTTAGGATTCTGGGCCTGGAAGAGTTTCCTTTTCTTCTATCCTTCACCTATCAGCAATGGAATCTTGCCTGTGCCCATGCCCTTGAGGGTAACAGGGTTTGTTACCTCTCCCCTCATACATTGGGGTTAATTTTTTCCATATGAGAGCAGGGTTTGGGCAGGGAGACAGGGCAGTGTGTCTTTGCTGTAGTCATTTCTGAACTCTCCCTGCACATATGCACTACCCAAGGCTGCTCTCTACAATCGCTCAGCCTTTCCCTAGTTGTGATCATCAGTACTTGATGAAAGCCCAAGGAAAAGGGCCTGAGAGTATACTAAAACTTTCCTCTGGGACTCTAGACTGCCAAGCTAGCCAACACTTGGCTTTTAGCCTTTGTTAAACTTTAAGCTATTTTCTTCTCTACCTGTATGGTGGTCAGTGCCTCTTCCTATGCTCTGTTACAAGTGACCCAATCCCTAGATCTCATCTCTCCTTGGAGGTGCCTGTCCCCCTTTGGAATTCAGGGTATTTGGTTGTCCTCTGACCTCAGATCTCTGATGGATTCAAGAAAAGTTATGATTTGTAGTTTATCTGGCTTTTTCTTGCTGGGATGGGAGCAATGCTTTTTTTAGCTTCCTATATCTTGGGTGGTAGTAAAACCTCCCTCCTACATTCTTTCATTTATTTTTATTTTTTTATTTTTTAAGAGATGGGGGTCTCACTATTTTGCCCAGGCTGGTCTTCAACTCCCGGGCTCAAGCAATCCTCCTGTCTCAGCTTCCAGAGTAGCTAAGACTACAGATGTGTGCCACCATGCCTGACTCTCCCTCCTGTATTCTTTTTTTTTTTTTTTTTTTTTGAGACGGAGTCTCACTGTGTCACCCAGGCTGAAGTGCAGTGGTGTGATCTCTGCTCACTGCAACCTCCGCCTCCCAGGTTCAAGTGACTCCTTGAACTGGAGTCCTTGACTCCTGCCTCAGCCTCCCCAGTAGCTAGGATTACAGGCACCCGCCACCATGCCCAGCTGATTTTTTTATTTTTAGTAGAGACAGGGTTTCGCCATGTTGGCCAGGCTGGTCTCGAACTTCTGACCTCACGTGACCTGCCTTCCTCGGCCTCCTAAAGTGCTGGGATTATAGGCATGAGCCACCACTCCTGGCCCCTCCTGTATTCTTAAGAAAGCAAACAGGCTTCACCTCTTTTGCCAAGTCCTTCTCCCTCCTTACTGCCCTCTGATCTGGTTCCTCTCTGCTCCCCAACTCAATTCTCAATTCTTTATTCCCCAAAAGATCCTATCTAGCATTGTAAGGCCCTCTATAAAGGGCAAAGATGGGGAAGGGAGAGAAGAAATAGGGTGGAGATGTGCCAGTTGGCAGGGGTTAGTTAGAAGAAGGCTTGAATTCTCATACATTAATAAGTCTTGTCCTGTCACACTTGTAAATAATAGCGGTAACTGGGATGAGACACAGGTCACTAACACAGGCTGGTCCTCCCCCAGCCAGTCCTATGAGGGACCCAGCAGTCTTCCCCTTTAATTTCTCTATTGCTGGATGACAGGCCAAGTGGATTCACATGATAAAGTATTGGAAGTGAGAGGAGCAAAGTAGGGAGATGATGAGAAGTTGCTGAATAGCTTGGGGGTGGGGTTTTCAGGGAGTCTGAGAAGAGAGGAGCCAAACCAGACCTAGGATAGAAGTGGACAGGAGGAGAAAGTGGACTCAGTGCTGCATGGACTGCATATTAATTTTATTTATTATTATTATTTTTTTGAGATGGAGTCTTGCTCTGCCGTCCAGGCTGGAGTGCAGTGGCGTGATCTCAGCTCACTGCAACCTCTGCCTCCCAGGTTCAAGTGTTTCTCCTGCCTCAGCCTCCCGAGTAGCTGGGATTACAGGCTCCCACCATCACACCCGGCTGATTTTTAGTAAAGACAGGGTTTCACCATGTTGGCCAAGCTGATCTCGAACTCCTGACCTCAGGTGATCCACCCACTTCGGCCTCCCAAAGTGCTGGGATTACAGGCGAGAGCCACCGCGCCCAGCCTGGACTGCATATTTAGATTCATTTTTCTCTTCGAGAGAATCAAGCGAAGAATGGTGTCTTCCTGGGCTTTTCTGTGTAGGGGTGCTTCTTAAACACGATGCGACTCTGAGACTGAACCAGGAGTGTCTCAGCTTCCTTAAGAGTTACATTGCAGGCTCCCGAGGTATGTGCCAGAACTGTGTTAAGTACTTTACAGATGAAGAAACAGGGTCAGAGATGATGGGTGACTTGTCCCCAGTCACAGCTAATAAGTGACAGAGTTTGGACAAAAATCTAGCCAGGTCTGATGTTCTAGCCTAAGGTCTTTCAGACAGCTCTTCCCTGGGAAGCCACTGACCCCTGGCTCATTCCTGCCCCCTCATCCTTCCTGCCCCAGTATGCAGGGGTAGGCCTTCCCTCGGGGCCTGGCTGAGTCTATACCCTAGCCAGCCCCGCCATATCAGCCTCTAGAGACAGCCTTCCTGACACTCCCCAGACAGCCAGGCCCCAGGGCGTGCAGCCAAGCGGAACCTCTCTGGGTGCCCCCAGCCTGAGCTCTGGGTGTGCTGCTCCCAGTCACAGCCCAGGAATGTGGGCATCCAAGCATCAGCAGCAGACATGCTCGCTGGCTGTCAGCCGAACCAGGGCCCCTGAAAACTGACAGGAGCTGAAAGAACCATTAGACAGGAAGGCTGGACTGAGAGGGCAAATTTCAAGTCACCTGAGCTGTGCATGGCAACGCAAAGCAGCTAAAGCTGGTAATGTTGGGAAAGCCACTGCCTGATGGGCCTCCGTTTCCCCATCTGTAGACTGTGGATGATATCTGTTGGCCTGCCTGTTTCACCAGGCAGCTGTGAGAACATAAATGTGATTGATTGCATCACCTGATTATATTGCTACCTCAACCCATCTCAAAGACCCACAGGGGAAACTGAGGCTCTGAGAGCACACAGATGATACCTCGGTTGGTAATAGGGCCAGGCCAGGAATCCGGGCCTCCGGGCTCAGCTCTCACTGACTCAGTGTCGGACCCTGGGTAGATCTCTCTTCTCAGAGCCTTGGCTTCTTTATTGTAAAACGGAGGAACTGCCACGACAGTGCTTCTCAGGCTTAGTTGTACTCACGTAGCACTGGGCCCTTGTTAATCCACGGATTCTGATTCAGCAGGTCTGGGGCGGGGCCTGAGAGTCTGCATTTCTAACCAGCTTCCAGGGTCTGATGCTGCTGGCCCTGGGGCCACATTTAAGAGCTGGGGCCTGGAGGAGCCATATGGGCTTTCAGGTCAGACATTCCTAAACTTCCAGGGCTCTGGATGCCTCCTTCCCTTCATCGCAGCCCCCACGGGGCTGTCCTGAAACTCCTAGGTGGGAGCACTTCCTCTCTTCCCTGCGACCCTCCGCTTCATCTGCACCTGCCTCACCTTCAGAATCAAGAAGTCTCCAGCTCCTCCTGCCTCCCCCTGGGACCTGCCCTTCTCCCAGCCCTTAGTGGGAGACAGAACCCCATACCTATTGAGGATGTGAAGAGCTCAGACCTCTGGAGGATTAGAGAGCAGGGCTTCTAGGAAGTCTCTCATCCCAGGGATCTTGCTGACTCAGTAGCTTTCCTGCCCCTCCTGCCATGCCCGCCCAACCTCAGTAGCTGCTGGAGGGGATTTGTATGCCATCAGGATTTTGTAAAGAAAAGAGGGTGTGTGTTGGTAAGGAAGGAAGAAGCCAACATTTATTAAGGTCCTATTGTGTGGCAGGCACATTCGCAAGCATCGCTTCCGGCCAGCCCTTGGCCCTGTGAGGTGCACTTGCATTGAGCCGTCATTGTGGGGATGAAATATGGTGCAGCCCGGGAGACTCCTGAGGGACAAGTCAGCAGTGTGAGGAGGGGACAGAGGCCAGCCTGGTTTCCCAGCACAAAGAAAGAGGAGCCTGGGGGCAGGGAGCATCCAGCTTGGGGAGGGCCTACAGATCAGGGGTGGAGTTTGACTTCTTTCTGGGAGTTTGACTTCTTTCTGGGACAGCAGGAAGCGCGTTAAAGGGCCAGGCGAGTTTGAGAGAGGATCAAATGAACTCTTCGGAAGGACATGGCCGTTGAGTGGAGATGGGGGTCAGAGGGACCTCCATAAGGCTCCTTCCACTCGTGGGACCTTGAGCTGGACAGGCTGTGCGGTAGCCCTGTCGTTTGTCTACACGCGAAATATCTCTACAGCACGTTCTTACCACGATCTGATTCCCTGTAAAATCCCCAGGAGGGGGCAGCACAGGCCTCAGTCTCCCCTTTGGGAGAGAGGTCCAGGGAACACCACAGGCTTCCCCAAGACCACCCCAGGATGAGTCACTGGGCCAGGATTGGAATCCAGACTCCGTAGGCGGTCTGCTGCCAGGACTCTGGGTCCTGGGAGGGAAGAGGCCGGAAGGCCAGGGCCCAGCCCGGGTCAGCAAGCACCCATCACCCGAGCATTGCCCGGCTGGCCCGGCTCAAAATAGCTTTCCAGACACAAGGAAATATTTTATCCCACTCCGTTTTCCCACACAAAAAAAATAAACATCCCCAAATCTCAATGGGGCCAGACTCCGAAGAGGGGGGAAGGGGAACAAGAACATGGCTGGCTGCCCACTGAGAAGTCCGGTATTTGTCCTTTTAGTTCCTTTCTTGGGGTCAAGACTTTGCTTCCTGATATGAGCGTGGAGACTCCCACTGCTTTCCCAGTGGGGACTGGCTTTCCCTTGGTGTTAGGCTGCCCTTTCCCAGGGGTCACACACCTCAGACATTGTGATGCAGATGGGACAGCTGCAGGGACCATACATGGAAGGGTTAAGAAGCATATGACACAGCTCTGCCCTTGACGGGCTTACACGCCACTGGGAGGCATGGCTGGGCTTCCTGTCTCCCTGAGGAGCTCTTGGACACTGGGGAAGAGAAGACTAATATTTCCTGAGAGCCAACTGTGTGCCTGGTACACACCAGGCTCTTCCAAAGACACAATCCCATTTGACCCTCACCATAAGCCTTTGAGGCAGGTGAGGCTATGAGGCTATTATCACTTCCCATTTTACAGATGAAGAAACTGAGACTTGGGGCAGGCATGATCTGTGCAAGGTTTCAGAACCAGGGAATGGTAGACCGAGGACTTGATTTTACACAGGTGGCTGTAAGGCTGCACTTGGCGTCATGCTGGCATTGGTAGGGCCCACCTGGAGGCTGGTGGGTGGTGAAATGAGCCGGGGCTTGCTTGCGCACAGAGCTCCCGTTCTTCCCTTGGGTTGTGGTAAACCCAGTCCCTAGTGTCCCAGGACCTGACTGGGAAGGCAGAAATGAGGCTGCTGTTATGGATTGAATTGTGTTCCCCTAAAAGGTAAGTTGAAGTCCTACCACCCCCGACATACCTGTGAATGTAACCCTATTTGGAAGTAAGTTCTTTGCAGATGTAATCGAGTTAAAATGAGGTCATTAGGAAGGGCCTCATCCAAGATGACTGGTGTCCCTATATGAAGAGGGAAGGACAAATTGTTTTGTTTTCATCCTCCCAGTGTGGGGTACTTTGTTATGGCAGCCTCAGGCCATCTATACAGCTGGGGTCTGCCTGGGGGTCCCTCAGCCTCCTTAGGCAAAAAGGTGACCTGGAACCTGTGGGAGAGGTGCAGGGGCCAGGGCTCAGTCCTCAGCTCTGTGAGGGGAAGAGCTTTCTCCCAGTCGCAGCATCCCAGAGGAGGGGCCTTCTGAGGTGCCGAGGGCCACGTGGCGGGAGTGTGTATATGGAGGAGAGGATGGCCGTTTGATGAAGGTGTTGGGTTGATTGTCTCTTTCTTGTTGATTTTTGAGTATTAGTTTATATAGATATATCTATAGAAAGGTTGGCCTACTGGGTAATGAGTTTGTTGCAAATGTGCGTGTTGCAAATATGTTTCCTAGTTTGGGGCTTGCTTGTCTTTTCATATTCTTTATGGCGTTTGTTTGTTTGTTTGTTTTTTAAGAGACAAGGTGTCTCCCTGCCACCCAGGCTGGAGTGCAGTGACGCGATCATAGCTCACTGCAGCCTTGGTCTCCTGGGCTCAAGCGATCCTCTCACCTCTGTCTCCCAAGTAGCTAGGTCCACAGGTGCGCATTACTGTGCCTGGCTAATTTTATGCAATTTTTTTGTAGAGTCGAGTCTCACTTTGCTGCACAGGCTTATGGTGTCTTTTGATCAACAGAGGTTCTTCATCTTAATGTTATCAAATTTGTCCACCGTTTTTCTTTATACCCTGTGCTTTTGCTGTCTGCTTTTAAAAATCATTTTTCATCCCAAGGTCATAAGAGAAGCCCCTATATTTTTCTAAAAATTCAAAATATTACTTTTCACAAGCATTTTTTAATTCAACTGCAATTTATTTTTGTGTAGGGTATGAGGTCAGGTTTCTAATTTAATATAGATAAGCTACTATCTCAGCATCATTTATTGATCAGCAGTGCCATCTCTCTTATATCTGTCCCTGTATCAATACCTCAGTCTTAATTACTAGAGTTTTAGTTATTTTACTGTACTTAGTTTTAGTAAGTCTTGATGTCTGGTGGAGCAAAACTCCCTATTCTCATCTTGTTTTCTTCTGTAATGTCTTTGTTATAGTTTTTGTACCTTTTAATGGTTCCTTTAAAAATTCTTAACACAGTTATTTATGTAAAAGTTTTCTGAAAATAATTTTAATATCACTATTAATTTGAATAATTTACTTTAAGATTTGTATAACAGAGAAAGTGAGAGCTTGACAGTTTGGTAATATTCTTTTTTTTTTTTTTTTTTTTGAGACAGAGTTTGGCTCTTGTCCAGGCTGGAGTGCAATGGCACAATCTCAGTTCACTGCAACCTCCGCCTCCTGGGTTCAAGCGATTCTCCTGCCTCAGCCTCCTGAGTAGCTGGGATTACAGGTGCCCGCCACCATGCCCAGCTAATTTTTTGTATTTTTAGTAGAGATGGGGTTTCACCACATTGGCCAGGTTCGTCTCAAATTCTTTTTTTATTTTATTTTATTTTATTATTTTATTTTATTTTTTTAGTATTTATTGATCATTCTTGGGTGTTTCTCGCGGAGGGGGATTTGGCAGGGTCATAGGACAATAGTGGAGGGAAGGTCAGCAGATAAACAAGTGAACAAGGGTCTCCGGTTTTCCTAGACAGAGGACCCTGCGGCCTTCCGCCGTGTTTGTGTCCCTGGGTACTTGAGATTAGGGAGTGGTGATGACTCTTAAGGAGCATGCTGCCTTCAAGCATCTGTTTAACAAGGCACATCTTGCACCGCCCTTAATCCATTTAACCCTGAGTAGACACAGCACATGTTTCAGAGAGTACGGGGTTGGGGGTAAGGTTACAGATCAACAGCATACCAAGGCAGAAGAATTTTTCTTAGTACAGAACAAAATGGAGTCTCCTATGTCTACTTCTTTCTACACAGACACAGCAACAATCTGATTTCTCTATCTTTTCCCCACATTTCCCCCTTTTCTATTCGACAAAACCGCCATCGTCATCACGGCCCATTCTCAATGAGCTGTTGGGTACACCTCCCAGACGGGGTGGCGGCCAGGCAGAGGGGCTCCTCACGTCCCAGAAGGGGCGGCCGGGCAGAGGCGCCCCCCACCTCCCGGACTGGGTGGCGGCCGGGCGGGGGCTGCCCCCCACCTCCCTCCCGGACTGGGCGGCTGCCGGCTGGAGATGCTCCTCACTTCCCGGATGGGGCGGCTGCCGGGCGGAGGGGCACTTCTCAGAGGGGGCGGCCGGGCAGAGACACTCCTCACCTCCCAGAAGGGGTCGCGGCCGGGCAGAGGCACTCCTCACATCCCAGACGGGGCAGCGGGGCAGAGGTGCTCCCCACGTCTCAGACGAGGGGCTGCCGGGCAGAGACGTTCCTCACTTCCTAGACAGGATGGCGGCCGGGCAGAGACGCTCCTCACTTCCCAGACTGGGCGGCCGGGCAGAGGGGCTCCTCACATCCCAGACATGGGCGGCCAGGCAGAGACGCTCCTCACTTCCCAGACGGGGTGGCAGCCGGTCAGAGGCTGCAATCTCGGCACTTTGGGAGGCCAAGGCAGGCGGCTGGGAGGTGGAGGTTGTAGCGAGCCGAGATCATGCCACTGCACTCCAGCCTGGGCACCATTGAGCACTGAGTGAACGAGACTCCATCTGCAATCCCGGCACCTCGGGAGGCCGAGGCTGGCAGATCACTCGCGGTTAGGAGCTGGAGACCAGCCCAGCCAACACAGCGAAACCCCATCTCCACCAAAAAAATACAAAAACCAGTCAGGCGTGGCGGCGCGGCGCCTGCAATCCCAGGCACTCGGCAGGCTGAGGCAGGAGAATCAGGCAGGGAGGTTGCAGTGAGCCGAGACGGCGGCAGTACAGTCCAGCTTCGGCTCGGGATCAGAGGGAGACCGTGGAGAGAGAGGGAGAGGGAGACCGTGGGGAGATGGGAGAGGGAGAGAGAGGGAGAGGGAGACCGTGGGGAGACGAGAGGGAGAGGGAGGGGGAGGGGGAGAGGGAGAGGGAGAGGGAGACTTCGTCTCAAATTCTTGACCTCAGGTGATCCACCCGCCTTGGCCTCCCAAAGTGCCGGGATTACAGGTGTGAGCCACTGCACCCATCCTGGTATATATTCTTATAAAAAATTTTCAGTGGATAGACCAACACACATGCACACACATATAATTTATTTATATATACATTATGACAGAATCATTCCTCATATACTGTTCTGACATTAACTTTTTCACTTAGAAATAGGTCTAAATATATTTTCATGGTGGAAAAATAGAACAGACTCATTAAAAAAAAACAAAACCTGCACGGTATCCCATTTTAGAGAAGTACTCAAATATAGTCAACCAATTCCTTACTGAGGTACGTTGGTGTTGTTTCCAATGGCTCATTTTTTAAAATTAATTCTGCTTCCAGTAATAAATTACCCTCCAGAAAGATTGTACCCACTAGCACTGTATCACACTGCCTTTTGGATCACATGGGCACCAACACAGGGTATTTTAAACAAAATAAACAGATACAGTAAAGATAAAGCAAAGAACACCATAGGCATTGTGTATATGCCACCCACACATTTACTACACGTTTGCCACACATTTACTACATTAGCTTTTTATTAAATTTGCTTTGGAATTTTAAAAAAAATATTAAGGAAATTTCAAACATACACAAAAGTAAAGTAAATGGTATCATGAACCCATCACCCAACTTCAACAATGATCAGTTCATGGCTGCATCCATCTACATTCCCAGCCCCAGATTATTTTGATGCAGATGCCAGACACCATATAATTTCATCTATAAATACTTCAGAAAGCCTCTCTAAAACATAGACTCTTTCATACTTTAAACAATCAAATATTTTCTAATATAATATGATATCCAAATATATCAAATTCCCTTGGTTGTCTTAAAAAAAAATAATTTGACCAGGCGCGGTGGCTCACGCCTGTAATCCCAAGACTTTGGGAGGCTGAGGTGGGCAGATCACGAGGTCAGGAGATCGAGACCATCCTGGCTAACACGGTGAAACCCCGTCTCTACTAAAAATACAGAAAATTAGCTGGGCATGGTGGCAGGCGCCTGTAGTTCCAGCTACTCAGGAGGCTGAGGCAGGAGAATGGCCTGAACCCGGAAGGTGGAGCTTGCGGTGAGCGGAGATCGAGATCGCACCACTGCACTCCAGCCTGGGCGACAGAGCGAGACTCTGTCTCAAAATAATAATAATCATAATAATAATATTAATAATAATTTATTTGCAAGATTGGGAAAATGTTGGTCCAAGGACACAAAATTTCATTTAGGCAATAGGAAGAGTTTCTAACATCTGTGCTACATCATGGTGACCATTGTTAGTAATGATACATTGTACATTTGCAAATTGCTAAGAGAGTAGATTTTAAATGTACTCACAACAAAAAATGATAAGTATGTGAGGTAATGCGTATGTTAAATAGCTTGATTTAACCATCCCACAATGTATACATAGATCAAAACATCATGTTGTACAGCATAAATATACATAATTTTTGTCAGTTAAAAAATGTTGCTTAAATAAGTATTGTCAATTAAAAAATAATTCATTTTCTTGAATAAGTATTCAGAATAAAATCCAGACATTGTCTTTGTGACTCTTAAGTTTATTTTTTTAAATTTTGTAACAATCACAAACTTACAGAAAAGTTGCAAGTACATTACAAAGAGCTTTTCTTCTCCTGACTCTTTTGAGAAGTGAGTTGCAGACCTGGTTCCCTGTCACTAACCAAATCTTTTTTTTTTTTTTTTTTTTTTTGAGATAAGGTCTTACAATATTGCCTAGGCTGGTCTCAAACTTCTGGCCTTAAGCAATCCTCCTGCCTCGGCCTCCCAAAGTGCTGGGATTATATGTGTGAGCTACCAGGCCCAGCCTCCCCAAATCTTTAATGCTTCCTACAAACAAGGACCGTCTTCTCTATAATTATAATATAACCATCAAACCCAGAGATTAACATGGACTCATTACTATCATCTACTCCCCAGATACCATTCAAGTCTTGCCACTCATCTCAACAATGACTTTTATTGTCAAAGGATCTAGTTCAGATGCACACACCATATTGTATTTTAGTTGTCTTGTTCCTTTAGTATCTTTCAGCCTGGAAACGTTACTCAACTTTCCTTGAAATTTTTGAAGTTATTTTGTAGTCTATCCCTCAGTTTGAATTTGCCGATGTTTTATCATGATTGTACATCTTTGCAAAGTCTATAATTGTGCATCTTTGCATAGTATATGAATACTATGCATCTTCAGTAGGAATATCATGGAAGTGATACTGTGTTTTTTCTCATTGCTTCTTATCAGGTGGTGTGTGATTTTAATTGGTCCCATAACTGATGATTCAGGTGATGTCTACCAGTCTTCTCACTGTAAAGTTACTCTTTTCTCCTTTGTGATTTTTATAGATAGTTTGAAACGATGCAAATATCTCATTCCTCATCAAACTTTCAATTTATCCTTTAGTTTACATCAGTATGGATTTATGATTTTCTATTTTATTCAATGGGTCATAATCTCTTACTACCATTACTTATTTTTAAGCTCAAAATGTCCCCAGTTTGGCCAGTGGGAGTCTCTTTAAGCTGGCTCCTGCATCCTTTTGAGAAATACCCATAATTCTTTGGGCACATCCTTACTTTCTGGCATTACAAGATGTTCCAGGCTGATTTTGTACTTTTCCTGTCCCAATCCTGTAATTAGGCATTCTCTAAGAAATGCAAAACGGTGATATTCTAATTATATTTTTTATTTATTAGCCAGAATTCCTTTATTTAAAAAACAACTTCCTTTTATCAACTACATTAGTTCATTTCCTTGAGTGCAGTTTAAATAGCAAGTCAGGATAAATATTTGAGTGTTTCTCATTACTTACCAGTTTTAATAATAATGAGTTAGTTTTCTAGCCTTCTCCAAAGGTAATCAGTAAAGTATTTTTTAGTAGTATAATAAACTTATTCATTTTTAAGTATGTCAATCTATTTGTCATTATTTTTATTGATGTTCAAATTGTCCCAACTTTGGCCAGTGGGAACCTGTTTTGAAAATTTACATATGAATCCGATCATGAGAAAACAAATCCACACTGAGTTTTTTTCACAGTGAAAAGAACATTGGGAATTTTGTTTGGGATTACATTGACTCTACAGGTCAATTTGGGGAAAACTGACATCCTCGAGACAGTGAGCCTTCCTGTTCATGAACATGGTATACGTCTCTGTTTATTTAGGTCTCCTTTATTGTCTTTCAGTAAAATTTTATTCAAGATCTTTTATATCTTTTGCTAGATTTATTCCAAGATATTTTGTATGTTTATTGCTAATACCAATTATATCCTTTTTAAAATGCATTTTTTAAACTGAAGAAGTGGTAATATATAGAAGTGCAATTGACTTTTGCATATTGATTTGATGTCAGACATTGCTAAACTCTCTTCGGTCTAATAATCTTTAGATTATTTTGCTTTTCTAGGTAGAAAAGTATATCATCTATGAAAAATGACAGTTTTATTTCTTTCTTTTCAATCCTTATTATTTTATTTCTTGTCTTAATTTTTTTCCAGAATATCTAGAACAAAGTTGAATAGAAATAGCAATAGTAGGCATACTTGTCTTATTCTTGATTTTAAAAGGAATACTTTTATGTTTCAGAATTTAGTAAGATGTTTTCTATAGGTTTTTAAAAAAAATAGATGTTAGATTTAGAAGGTTTCTTTATATTACTTATTTGCTAAGAGTTTTGTTTTTAATCATAAATGGATATCAAATTTTATCAAATTTATATGTATGTATGTATCTATACACATGGTTTTTTTACTTGTTTTTGTTTTTTCTTAAAGACAGGGTCTCCCTCTGACACCCAGGCTGGAGTGCAGTGGTGCAATCATAGCTCACTATAACCTTGAACTCTCAAATTCCTGGACTCAAGTGATCTTCTCACCTCAGCTTCCTGGGTAGCTAGGACTACAGGCATATGCCACCATGCCCAGCTGAGTTTTAAGTTTTTTGTAGAGACAAGTTCTTGCTATGTTGTCCGGGCTGGTCTTGAACTCCTGGCCTCAAGCAATTCCTCTATTTGGCCTGCCAAAGTTCTGAGATGACAGATTTGAGCCACCACACTTGGTCTATATTTTTTGAAATAATTCTATGGGTTTTTTTCTCTTTAATTTGTTAATAAAAAGCAATAATTCATTTACAGATTTTTCTAATGTTGAACTTGGTGGTCAGAGACCATGGTTTGTATAAACTGAGTCTTTGGAATTTGTTGAGACTTGCTTTATGGCCTCACCCATTATGCAAAAGTGGTCCATATGTGCTTCAAAATGGGTATATTCTCCAGTCATTGAGCATGAGTTCTATATACATGCATTAGGCAACTTCTCAGTGGAGCGGCTAAAGTCTTACTGGTGATTTTTTTCTTTACTTGATCTATCAAATCCTAATAGAGGAGCTTCCACTATTTGCCTGATATATATAAATATCAGACAAATAAATGTTATGTGTGTATATATATATGCACACTCATATACACATATCTGAAGCTGTGCTATATCATGTGTGTACCCTCTAAACGGTTTCATTTCTTCCTGGTTAATTGACTCATCATTTTGCAATGGCACACTTTATATAAACATTTATAGTAATGTTTTTGTCTTCAAGTTTGTTTTGTCTGACATTAATATGAATAGAGCAGATTCCTTTGAGTTAATATTTGTCTGGGGTGTTTTATTTCATCCACTGACTTCTAACTTTTCTGTGTTCTTAGAGCTGAATTTTTTTGGTGTGCCTACTTTGACCATCTTCATCTTGTTATTGTGATTACTGATGTATTCAAATTATTTCTACCATGTAGCACATAGTAGGTGCTCAGGAAACGAGCCATTGTCAACCCTGAGGCCTCTAGAAGGCCTGCTGGGAGTGGGGGCTGGGAAGGGAAGTGAGGCTTCTTCTTGGGGCGGGGGTGTATGTTGCTATTACCCCCTAGTCCGGGGGGCCTACAGGACATGGGTTTTCCTGAGAAAAGCATGGCGTTTCCAGAAAGCATGGCTGAGAAAACCCCAACCTAGTCTGAGGCCACATAACTGTTTCCTAGAAACTAGATGTGAGTGAAACTGGCCCGTGCCCGAGTCACAGTTTCCTGTTTTTCATCCACTAGCTAATAAAGTTATTTCCTTCGTATGCTGCGCGGCTGAGCCGGAAGGCCCCAGCGGCTCAAGGCTTGAGGCTAGCTGTTATCCAGCACCCAGCTCCAAGCAAGGGAGGAAGCGGCCTGGGCTCCGCTGGGGAGGCGCTTCCTCTCAGTCAGCACTGTCCACGCTTCTCCCCTCCAGGGCGTCCCAGCACTCGCAGCTTCCCTGGGGCTTCAGAGCCCCAGTATGTCTCCACCCTGACATACTCCAGAACTTCCTCCCTGGGCCTGGAGACCCACCCGCCTGGGCCTCTTGGAAGTCTTCAAGATGTCTCTGACCAGATCCTCAAGTCTCTCAGGTCCCGAATGAATCTTATCTTGCCTCGCCCTGTGTCCTTCCTGGCGTTCCTCATCTCTGTGTACCATCACCATCCAGCCAGATTCTGCTCCGTCAGAATCCAGGGCGTCACCTGACCCCCACTCAGGACCTGCAGGGACCTTGATCTGGGCTCCGACACAGGTTCTACTCACAGCAGCGTGGAGAGGGCTGGCCTGCCACAGCTCTGCCCCCGTTCCCTGGCAGTGGCTGCAGGGCAGGGAGAGGTCAGATTCCTCCCTGTTCCCTAGTGCCCGCTCAGGGTGTGGCCTGGCCAGACTGCTGGAGGGTTTGTTGAATGAATGAATGAATCCGCAGGCCTTCTGGAGTCTTCTCCAGGATAACAGCTGCCACCCCAGCTCCCCAACCACCCTCCCAGACTGTGGTTTCCAGAGCCCTCTGCCTCCAACCCCTTGCTCAGAACTTGCTTCGGTTTTTGTATTCATCTGCACATGTGGGACCCAGCTGCAGACACCGTCCAGGTCACTCTTGGGAGTGCAGGGCCCTGGCCTCGGGTGGCATGGTCCTGCACTGGCAGGGTTGGCTCTTGGTGCCAGGGACATTTCAGTGGGCCATTCATTCTCTTTTCACTCAAACATTTATGGGGCCTGGAACACGTGCCATGCACTGGGGATACAGCGTGACAAAGGTGGACAAGGTACCTCCTCCCACGAGGCTTACCCACCAGAGCGAGAGCAGAGGACCCAACAACGAACGCCCCGTCCCTGGTGGCATCAGGTGGGCTGGGGCCCCTGCGGTTGAATGTGTATGGTAGATACGGCCACAGGGTAACAGGGCAGGAGGGCAGTGGGAAGCTTGTGCAGGGAACAGACCCTGCCCCACAGCAGGCTGAGCCGCAGGGCTGAGTCCAGCCCCCAGAATGGAGTGTGGCAGAAGGATGGAAGCACTGGCCCTGAGGTCCAGGGTCCCCTGCAGATGACCCAAACAGATGATAGAGTGGGGAGGTCACAGGTGCCGGAGTCAGCCAGCCCCAATACTGAGGACTGTGTGGCTTCGGGCAAGTGGCTCTCTGAGCCCATTTCCTTTTCTGCAGAATGGATGTTAAGAATCCCCACCTCACTACAGGATAAAATGCACACACATGGGGGCATTTAGCAAAGCCCCTGGCCAATATGCGGGGCTCAAGCTGGGACTCAGCTCCTGTTGGGAGCCGGCAGTCAGCCCTGGAGCACGGGGCTGAGGCCCGGGTTGCTGACAACCCCCTGCCCTCCACTGCTCTGAGGCCTCTTGCAGCTAAGAGAGCCAAGGAGGAGGGGCAGGGAGTTCAAAAGGCTTAGGGCTAGGGGGAGAGGAGGGAGGAGGATAGAGTTTTGAATCGGGCATTTGATGTGTATGAAGTCACAAAATCCTCAGAAATCTGGGGTCAAGGGTCAAACACATCACCTCCCCCCCACTGCCTTACCATGAGGAAACTGAGGCTCAGAGAGGAAGTGATGTGCCACAGGTGTATGGAAGAGCTGTGTTTAGATCTAGGGATGCAGGACTCCTGAGCTCATGGCCCTTGTCTTGTGCTGAGGTTGGGGGTTTCAGCCTGGCCCCCCACCTTCTTTCTCACAAGCCTTAGCCCCTGGGGTTAACTGAGTGGTCCTCTCTGCCCTGGATATGTGCCCCTGCCTTTTTGAACATCTTATTCATTCTCGATCAGTTCGTCTTTTGCTTCCGACCTGGCCTGGAGGCCTGCAGGTACATGGTGGACCTTATTCTCACCTTGGCTGGGCTGCTCTACATGCTGGTTTCCTGGATCTGGAACCAGAGCAAGCTGGAGCTGGAGCAGCCTCTGTGCTGAGCTCCTGGAGAGGGGGCCTGGGCCTGTCTCATCCCTGTGTCTCCAGCACCCAGCCAGGGCCCTGCTTGAAGGAGCTGGGAAATGCTTGCTGAAGAAGAAAAGGGTCAAGGGTGGGTGGCCTGGGTTACCAGAATGCCCTGAGCGGGTGACAGTTTCTTTACTGTCTGAAAGATAATCAAAAATATGGAGCCTGGTGCTGCACAGTCCCAGATGTGATCCCACCTTGATCAGAGCGAGACTCCGTCTCAAAAAAACAAAAACAAAAACAAACAAAAAAACCCCAAAAAGCTCTTCAGGAAGTATCTGAGAAGGCAACTTTTATCAAAGTGCCCCAGAACCTAAATGGCAAATCTAAAGGGTATGCATGCATTTATATGCATTTATAGAGTTTGCTTCATTTGAAGATGATAAAGAAGCTTTAAATTCCTGTCATAAAAGGTAAATTGGGGGCAGAGCAATCAGGCTGGAGTTGAGATCCCACCTTGGCCACAGTGTAGGAGTGTGTGACCAAGTCTGTGTAACATCGAGTTTACCACTTTAACCCCTTTTGAGTGCACAATTCCATGGCATGAAGCACATTCACGTTGTTGTGAAACTATCACCATTATCCATCTCTAAACTCTTTCATCATCCCAAACTTTTGACAGTTTTTCTGGTCATGTGCCCTAAGGTGAGTGAACTCCCTTCCTTGGAACCTCAGCGTCTCATTTCTGTACCAGGGAGAGAGCTCCCTGCCTCCCGGGTGCCGGGAGACTCACCTCCTTCAGGTGAGTGGGCATGGCCAGGCTTCCAAGTCAAGGGGGGGTGCACCCAGGAATGGTTCTATTGTTCCCCTGTTGGTTGGCACTTCCCACAGGGCGGGGTTGTTTGTAATGATAAGGATAATTATGGTACAATCATAAGGAGCGTTAAGAGGGGAGGGCCCCAGTGGCCGGGAGCAGGGAGACCTGGGTCCTAAACCGCTCTGCCAAGTAGCTGCGTTCTTCCTTGTATCTTCCTTGCATCTGGTTCTTCCTTGTACAGAGAGGGGTGACAAGGGTCCCCCTTGCATCTTCTTGCAGTGCCCAAAGGCCCTTCTCCTCCATGATCAACCTAACTCCTCACCTCACCTAGGCCAGGAGGCTGGGTGAGGGTCAGTTCCTGTGAGTGAGAGTGGAGAATCCAGATGCTTCTGAGGCCCTCTGCTCCCTGAACATGATCGTGTTCTTGTCCATCAAGTCCAAAACCTTGTGGACAAGGGGTCCTGGCTTTCTCCTATTCATTCACTCACTCGAGTATTCACTCGTATACTTAATGGGCCCTTGTCTGTGCCAGGCCTTGTCTTGGGCCAGGTTTGGGGGCCACAGAGATGCATCAGGCCTGGTGCCTCCCTCTCCCCATCTGGTGGGAGGTCAGAGCCAGGTATAGACAGGATGGCTCAGTGCTGGGCCTGCAGGGGAGAGATGAAGCCTGGTGACATCTACTCCGCAGAGGGGCGGAGTGGGCACGGCCTGGGGTGTGGACATGCTGCGGCAGGTGCTCAACTCTCCAGCTCTGTTTGCAAAACAGGGATGAAGAACGGCAACTGCAAGGGCAGATGAGGTGGTGCAGGTGAAGAACTTAGCTCCGTAGCTCAGTAATCTGCACTCTGATCACGAGCACCCCACGAGGCTGAATCTGTGGACCCCACTGGGAAATGCTGCATTTGTGGGTCCTTCCATCTGTCAGCCACACCCTTCCTAGCATCTGTTGGAACAAAGCACGTTTCGGGCCCAGTGTTGCATACATCACACAAAAGCGAGCTGCTCCGTTCTGCGAGGGACTTCTTGAGAAGCCTTACAGATGCTTATCTCCACTTCAGCTGTGGTTCTCAGAAGGGACCTACTGTTGGTTGAACATAAACCTTAGGTCCCGGACACAGAGCATAAGGCTCAGGCCCCTCCCTCCAGATCCTTTGTCTAGGGGGCAGACGACAGGTGTGGAGCTGCAGGTGGCCTGCTCTGTGTGTGGTTCACAGTGTGGCCCCAGCCCTGCACCCAACAGGGGCTGCGGAGGTGTTGGACAGAGACATTGGCTCCATCTCATGGAGGGAAGGTAGGATGGAAACTGAAATAAAGAACCATTTTGGCCAACCCTGATGTTTCTTCTCACACCACCACCACTGCATGCACACAGACACATGGACACACAAAGGATTTAGTTGTTATATCTACAGTTCTCATTTACAGATGTGGAAACTGCAGCTCCACAGCTCTGACCTCTTCCAGATTTTACCTTAAAGCCACAGGGCTGGAAATCTCCATCGTCTTCTCTGTTGCAAGCCATCAGGCAGTCCCTGGGAAAGTGGTGGTTTGGTAATCCCCACGTCTCCCACAGCCACCACCTGGGAATGACCCTCCTCTCTCAGGTACAGCCCAGGTCCACAGGCACCTCTTTACCTTGGGTGTGGCACTGGGGACAAAGCCTCTTTGTTGTATTGTTTGCCCCCACCTGACCCCGCCCTCAGCAGCTTGGATCTGGGGCATACTTGTGGCAACTGTGCCAGCCAAGTGTGGGGTTGCTGATGAGGCAGCAGAGCCCATGTGTCCACAGACTTAGCATGCAGCTCCCAGCCCTCCCTGCACAGCAGATCCACTTGGAAGCTTATAAAAAATATCCCAGTGCCAAACAGAACTACAGACAAAGACCACATGATTATCTCAATAGATGCAGGAAAGGCCTTTGATAAAATTTAACATCACTTCATGGTAAAAACTCTCAATAAACTAGGTATTGAAGGAACATACCTCAAACTAATAAGAGCCATCTATGACGAGTCACAGCCAATATCATACTGAATGGGCAAAAGCTGGAAGCATTCCCCTTGAAAACCAACACAAGACAATGTGCCAGGGCAATCAGGCAAGAGAAAGAAATAAAGGTATTCAAATAGGAAGAGAGGAAGTCAAGCTATCTTTGTCTGCAGACGATATGATCCTATATCTAGAAAAACCCATCATCTCAGCCCCAAAGCTTCTTAAGCTGATAAGCAACTTCAGCAAAGTCTCAGGATACAAAATTAATTTGCAAAAATCACAAGCATCCCTATCCACCAAAAACAGGCAAGCCAAGAGCCAAATCACGAAGGAACTCCCATTCACAATTGCCACAGACAGAATAAAATACCTAGGAATACAGCTAACAAGGGAAGTGAAAGAACTCTTCAAGGAGAACTACAAACCACTGCTCAAAGAAATCAGAGATGGTGGTCGGGCACAGTGGCTCACACCTGTAATCCTAGCACTTTGGGAGGCTGAGGTGGGTGGATAATTTGAGGTCAGGAGTTCGAGACCAGTCTGGCCAACATGGTGAAACCCATCTCTACTAAAAATACAAAAATTAGCCAGGCATGGTGGTGGGTGCCTGTAATCCCAGCTACTTGGGAGGCTGAGGCAGGAGAATCTCTCGAACCCGGGAGGCAGAGGTTGCAGTGAGCCAAGATCGTGCCATTGCACTCCAGCCTGGGCAACAGAGCAAGACTCTCTCAAAAAAAAAAAAAAAAAAAAAAAAGAAGAAGAAAAGAAAGAAAGAAAGAAAAGATGACAAAAACAAAAACAAAAAAATGAAAAAACATTCCATGCTCATGGATAGGAAGAATCAATATCATGAAAATGGCCATACTGCCCAAAGCAATTTATAGATTCAGTGCTACTCCCATTAAACTACCACTGACATTCTTCACAGAACTAGAAAAAACTATTTTAAAATTCATATGGAAACAAAAAAGAGACTGAATAGTCAAGACAATTCTAAGCAAAAAGAACAAAGATGGAGGCATCACGCTACCTAACTTCAAACTATACTACAAGGCTACAGTAGCCAAAACAGCATGGTACTGGTACAAGAACAGACACACAGACCAGTGGAACAGAATATAGAACCCAGAAATAAGACTGCAAACCTACAACCACCTGATCTTCAACAAACCTGACAAAAACAAGCAATGAGGAAATGATTCTCTATTTAATAAATGGTGCTGGGAGAACTGGCTAGACATATGCAGAAAATTAAAACTGGATCTCTTCCTTACATCATATATAAAAATCAAACCAAGATGGATAAAAGACTTAAATGTGAACCCCAAAACTATAAAAACTCTAGAAGAAAACCTAGGCAATATCATTCAGGACATAGGCACGGGAAAAGACCTCATGATGAAGACACCAAAAGCAATTGCAACAACAGCAAAAATTGACAAATGGAATCTAACTAAACTAAAGAGTTTTTGCACAGCAAAAGAAACTGTTATCAGAGTAAACAGACAACCCACAGAATGGGAGAAAATTTTTGCAATCTGTCCATCTGACAAAGGTCAATATCCAGCATCTATAAAAAACTTAAATTTACAAGAAAAAAACAACCCCATTAAAAAGTGGGGAAAGGACATGAACAGACACTTCTCAAAAGAAGACATACATGTAGCCAACAAACATATGAAAAAAATCTCAACATCACTGATCATCAGAGAAATGCAAATCAAAACCACAATGAGATACCATCTCACAGCAGTCAGAATGGCTAATTAAAAAGTCAAAAAACAACAGATACTGGCGAGGTTGTGGAGATAAAGGAACACATTTACACTGTTGGTGGGAATGTAAGTTAGTTCAACCATTGCAGAAGACAGTGTGGCCATTCCTCAAAGACCTAGAAGCAGAAATACCACTTGACGCAGCAGTCCCATTACTGCGTATATACGCAAAGGAATATGAATCATTCTATTATAAAGGTACATTAACACATATGTTCATTGCAGCACTATTCACAACAGTAAAGACATGGAATCAACCTAAATGCCATCAATAATAGACTGAATAAAGAAAATATGGTACATATACACCATGGAATACTATGTAGCCATAAAAAGGAATGAGAACATGTCTTTTGCAGGGGCATGGATGGCACTGGAAGCTATCATTCTCAGCAAACTAATGCAGAAACAGAAAACCAAACACTGCATGTTCTCATTTATAAGTGGGAGTTAAATGATGAGAACACATGGACACACACTGGGGCCTGTCGGAGGCTGGAGGATGGGAGAAGGGACAGCTTCAGGAAGAATAACTAATGGATGCTAGCTTAATACTTAGGTGATGAGATGATCTGTACAGCAAATCATCGTGACACACGTTTACCTATGTAACAAACCTGCACATCCTGCACATGTGCCCCTGAACTGAAAATAAAAGTTGGAAAAAAAAATCCCAATGTCAGGGTCTCACCCCAGACCAATTAAACCAGAGTCTCTCAGGATGGGGCCCAGGCACTGGTATTTTATGAAGACTTGTTACTGGATTCCTATTTTTTATTTTTATTTTTTTGAGACAGGGTTTTGCTCTTGTTGCCCAGGCTGGAGTGCAGTGGCGTGATCTCAGCTTATCGCAACCTCTGCCTCCCGGGTTCCAGCGATTCTCCTGTCTCAGCCTCCCGAGTAGCTGGGATTACAGGCATGCGCCACCATGCCCGGCTAATTTTTTGTGTTTTAGTAGAGACAGGGTTTCTCCATGTTGGTCAGGTTGGTCTCGAACTCGCCACCTCAGGTGATCTGCCTGCCTCGGCCTCCCAAAGTGCTGGGATTACAGGCATGAGCTGCTGTGCCCGGCCGTTATCGGATTATTTGTGCAGCCAGGTCCACCTCAGTGGACCATAATGCAGTCCTAATGGTCATGGCAGCAGGGCCTGGCCTGCACAGTAATTTGCACTGATCCTCCACCCTCCCTGCACCCCAACAGGTTTTATATTATCTCATGTCATGGGTTGAATCACATCCACAAAAATTCAAACGTTGAAATCCTGACCCCCAGAGCCTCAGAATGTGACCTTTTCGGAGATGGGATCTTTACAGAGGTCATCCAGGTAAAATGAGGTCATCAGAGTAGGCCTTTGTCCAATAAAACTGTCCTTGTAGGAAGGGGAAATTTGGAGACAGACACACAGGGAGAACCCTGTGTGAAAACGGAGGCAGAGACTGGAGTGATGCTCTCACAGGCCACAGGACGCGGAGGACTGCCAGCGAGCACCAGGAGGCAGGGAGAGGCGCAGGATGGGCGCTTCCTCTCAGCTCTCGGGAGGAAGCCCCTGGTGACATCTGGACCTTGGGCTGCAGCCTCCAGAACTCTGAGAGGACACCTCCCTGTCGTTTCTGCCCAGTGTGTGGCACTGTGCTATGGCAGCCCTGGCAAATGGATCCATCTCCTTTTTACTGATGAGTACAGCCAGGGTTGGGAAGTCACTCCCGTGAGCACGGTGGCCTCGCTGGCTGGAACTTGTTGCTCAGCCACCTCTTAAATGCCGATCCCCACCTCCACCTCCCCATTCCATCCTCCATCCAGAGCCCTCAGCTCTTCAGGCATTCATCATTTATGCACCTTTGAGGCAGGCAATGCTCCAAGCACAGGGCCCAGCAGAGAAACAAACAAACAAACAAACAAGCAAGCAAGCAAACAACAGACACCATTCCTCCACGTGGGGAACAAACAATAAGGAAGGTGAGTGACAGGTTAATAGTATGTTCCATGGTATACGTTCCACAGGGAAACTGAGGCACAGAGGGGGATAGGGAGTGTGGAATGGTGGACTTTTAAACAGGGCGGTTTGGGAAGGCTCACTGGGAAGGCACCCTCCTGGTCACTGCCCCTTCCCACACTGTAGCCCACTCCATGGAGGCCTCCCAGGCCCTCCCTGCCCAGGCTCTCTACCCAGTATCTCCCCCAGGACTTAAACTGCCCAACCCCAACTCAGCCTCCCCCATGTGCTCCCCACAACACATCCCAGCAAATGCCACCACCATCCATCTGCTTAGTATTCAAACCAGAAACCTGGATGCAAATTAGACCTCCCCAACTCTTGCCCTCACTCCATCTGGCCCTGGGAACTAGAGGTGCTCCCTTCATGAGTGCGGGAGACGCAAGCTTGGTTCCCCCTCCGGTCGGGCAGAGCACCCCAGTGGCAGGGGAGCGGGGACGGCTGTTTCCATAACTGGACCCAGTGGCCATGTCTAATCCCCTGTACAGACTCTGTCCTCTGCCTTCAGAGCCCATGGTCAGGCCCTGAGCCCTGCAAACCCACCTCCTCCTCTGTACCCACCAAATGCTGTGCCCCTCCCAGGGGCCTTCCTTGCCTTGACCAGTGAGAGCCAGTGGATGCCATGGACCAAGGCCCAGCAGCAGTCAGGGAACCCAGTCCCACCCCTTTCTGGACCTTCGTGTCCTCATCTGTAGAATGGGCAAAATTCCTGCCAGGCTGACCCTCAGGAAATCTTGGCTGAGTCAGTGGATGTGAACGGTGCTGCTCTGGGTGGTGTGGACACGTGGACCAGCTGGGGTGAGGGGCAGCCAGGGTGGGAAGCTGTGTGGGTTAATGTGGACCAGCCAGAGGCAGCACCTGTGACCCATGCACATGCGTGTGTCCATGGGAATGGGGAGGGGGAAAAGCCACGTTCTAGGTGGGCTCACCTGGCACCACCCACACCAGTCTGTGACAGGGCAAGATGAAGGAGAAAGAGGCTGCTGCTACCCACCTGCCTGCCTGCCCACTTCCTCCCTGACTCCTGCATGAAGAAAGGTGGCTGAGGGACTCCCCTAAATGTGCCAACCCTCACTGGGCAAGCCTGGGGCTGGGAAGACGTGTGAGGTCAGCAGTCCTGGGGTGGGGGGCCTTCCTTTGCTCCTCTGTGCCCCTGGGGTAGGGTGGGCTGCAGCATCATCTCAGTGCTGGGGGGTGACTAGCTCCCATCCTGCTAGGAGACTTTGTGCCAGCCACCCGGCTCCTCTGAGTTGACTCCCTCATCTACCTAACAGGGGTGATCATGCTGCCTTGGGTGGTGTTGAGAAGACTAAATGATACATGACACTTGGTCCCAGGACCCTCTTGTGACCTCTGGGTCCTGGCACCACTCACTGAGGTTTGCCCCTTGGCTCCTTCAGCATCCTCAAGTCACCCCTAGAGGTCTCTCTAACTGTGCGCTCCAGCTTAGTAGCCACCAGCCGCACGCGGCTACTGGGCATCTGAAATGTGGCTGGTCTGAAACGAGCTGTGCTGTGGGTGGAAAAGACACACCAGGTTTCAACAATACAAAAAAAAAAAAATGAAATACAACATTCATAATTTTTAATACTGATTACATGTTGAAAGGATAATATTTTGATATATTAAGTTAAATATATTATTAAAATTAAGTTCACTTGTTTCTTTTTACTTTCTTAATGTAGCTACTGGAGAAATGTCATTACATCCGAGTCTCACATTCTGTTTTATTGGATGGCCCTGCTCCAGAACCTTGGAAAGGCCACTTCCAGGGCATCTTCCTGGTGGCTCCCAGGAAAAGCAGCCCCTGGGATTTCCAGCAGCTGCTGAAGAATGTCTGCTCCCCTGGTGGCCCCAGGCTGCAGAACACACTCGCTGTGGCCTCACCCGCTCCCCACCCTTTCCCGCACATCCCATAGCCTCCCAGGAAGCTTAGACTCAGCTAAGGGACCCTCCCTGCTGCCCCCACCATGAGGGTAGCCAACAAAGCCTGCGGCCCCCTCCCCCAGCTGCTAAGAACCTCATAGCTGTATGGGAATTACCCTGGCGTCACTTTCTCCTTCCCAGCAGACCCCAGGGATGTGGCTTCCTTGCCCCAGGCCCTGAGTCACCCGCAAGGAATCCCCTCTCCTCTGGAGAGGGTTCTGCGGGCAGGAGGCAGCCTCTGTGGTCCTGAGGAGCATGGCTTCAGGAGTCAGAGAGACCTGGAGGTGAGTCCGGGCGCTGCCTCGTGCTCACCGTGTGGCTGGGGTAAGCCCCTCCTGTCTGCACCTCAACTTCCTCACTTATGAAATGGGCGTAATCACCGCGCCCACCTCATAGAGCTGTAGGGATGTCATCGAGGCATGGCGCTCTGCACAGCTCTTGGTTTGTAGTAAACAGCAGTTGTTAAAGGACCTGAAAGAGTTAGGGATGTGGCCTTTGACCTCAGGCTCACTAGGCCAGCCACAGAGAGGAGGCAGGTGCCAAGGTGGTGGGCCAGGGAAGGGTGGGGAGCAAGTGAGGCAGGAAGGAGGCAGGGGGATGGTAGCTCCCTTTCAGGCCTCAGGCTCTATGTAGCCCAACAGATAGCCCGGCTGGCCCATTTTCAGATGAGGAAAGTGAGGCTCTTAAAAGTGAAGCGACTTCCCCAAGGCTAGTGCTGGGGATTGATTTGGGGGCTACCTGTATCCAAGGCCTGTGTTCTCTCTGCCATCCTGTATTGTGAAGTTTGAGAGGAGTTTCTGGAGGAAATAAACACAAAATGGTTTGAGAAGAAGTTTGAGCTAATATAGTCCCTTTCCTGCAGGTGGTTTTGAGCCTTTGAAAGAAAGTATCCACAACTCCTGTCCTAAATCTCATCCCTGCAAAGCCAACCTTGACCCAAGGGCTTGGGTGCAGGTAGTTCATTCGGGAGGTGATGCCAGGCAACAGTGAGAAACGGAGAAGTGGGAAAGGGAGGGAGAAAACCCAGGAAGGTGGCTTCGATGAGCGGGTTACCACTGTGGGCACCTGGGCTCCATCCTGCTGGGCACCCTAGGAGCTGGAGTATAGAACACACATCATCAGAATCTCAAACTCAAGAGCTGGACGTTGGGGTGTTTGTCCACTTTTCATTCCCTGAGATTGAGGATTGCCCGTGAGGGTGTTGGGTCTCTGGCACATCCCTGCACAGGCTGAACAAGGTCCTTTGGTGCTGGAAGAAGCCCTTGGGTAGACAGACGGAGAGGAGAGAAGGGAAACAGGCGCTTGAGGCTGGGAGCGGGGCTGGCATGGGCAGATTATCCACAGAGTTGGCTCAGCCCCACTCCCGCCTCTGAAGAAAAGCATTCAAATAACACAATGACATTCATCACAGTTAATACTGATATAATTTCTATTGTTTATAATACATTTAACAGTAGAAATATATTATTATAATGATATATTTCTATATTATATTGATATAGAAATATAAGATATTAATATTAACACTAAATATTATATTAAATTAATATTAATATATTATATTTATATATTAATGTATTTCTATTGTGTGTGTGTGTGTGTGTGTGTGTGTATATATATATATATATATATATATATAAAAAATTTAGAAATAACCTAAATATCCAGTAAGAGGGGATTGGCTTAGTAAACTACGGTGCATCAAAAAGACAGAATATTCTGCAGCCAAAAATGAAGACTCTGTTGCTACATGGAAAGGTGCTTGGGAAAGAATATTAATTAAAACATGGTGCGTGCACACACTTCCCACCGTGGAAGGTGCTGTGGTCTGAGTGTTTGTGACCCCCAAAATTCATATGTTGAAACTTAATCCTCAGTGTGTTGGAATTAAGGGCTGGGGTACCTGGGAAGTGACGAGGTCTTTTTTTTTTTTTTTTTTTTTTTTGAGATGGAGTTTTGCTCTGTTGCCCAGGCTGGAGTGCAGTGGCACGATCTTGGCTCACTTCAACCTCTGCTTCCCAGGTTCAAGTGATTCTCCCACCTCAGCCTCCCGAGTAGCTGGGATTACAGGTGTGCACCACCATGCCCTGCTACTTTTGTATTTTTAGTAGAGATGGGTTTCACCATGTTGGCCAGGCTGGTCTCAAACTCCTGACCTCAAGTGATTCACCCGTCTCGGCCTCCTAAAGTGTTGGGATTACAGGCGTGAGCCACTGCACCTAGCCTGTGACCAGGTCTTGCGAGTAGAGCCCTTGTGAATGGGATCAGTGTCCTGACAAGAGAGGCCTGAGGGAGCTTGTTTGTCTCTCCCGCCATGTGAGATGCAGTGACAAGGCAGCAGCTATGAAGCATGGGCTGTCGTGAGACGCTGACTGGATCTGTTGGCACCTCCAGCTTGGACTTCCCAGACTCCAGAACCATGAGCAATATATTTTCATTGTTTACAAATTGTCCAGTATTTTCTGCAGCCAAAAGAGATTAGGACGGAAGGTGAGGGCTCTAGCAGAGAAACAGAACCAGTAAGAGGTACACATTAAGAGATGCGCTGCTAGGAATTGGCTTATATAGTTGTGGGCTAGGCTGGTCCAAAATTCATAACGCAGGCTGTCAGGAAGGGCAGGCTAGAATCCTAAGCCAAAGTTGCTGTCCACAGGTGGAATCTCTCCTTCTTCAGGCCTCTGCTCTGCTCTTAAAGGCCTTCACTTGATTGAATCAAGCCCGCCCAGATTGTGTGGGATAATCTCCTTACTTAAAGTCAGTTGATTTGGACTTTACTTCTACTAAAAACCTCCACAGCAACACCCAGATCAGTGTTTGAATGATGAGGACTGCAGCCTAGCCAAGTTGACACTTAAAACTGACCATCACAGAAGGTATATGGAGCTGCTGTCAGAGTGCTAGTGACAAAACTCACTTACTTAAAACTGATCATCACAGAAGGTGTATGGAGCTGCTGTCAGAGTGCTAGTGACAAAACTCACTTACTTAAAACTGACCATCACAGAAGGTGTATGGAGCTGCTGTCAGAGTGCTAGTGACAAAACTCACTTACTTAAAACTGACCATCACAGAAGGTGCATGGAGCTGCTGTCAGAGTGCTAGTGACAAAACTCACTTTGCGACCAGAGTCTGGCTCCTTCTGAGGCAGGGTCTGGGCTCACCTGAGACCACGGAGGTGAGCGAAGCCTCCAGCGGCATCCAGCTGGTACCAATCTATCCTGAGGCTTGATCTTTCCAGAGCCTCTGCCCCTGCCAGCAGATGTCGGGCAGCCAGGGCGGGGACCACTTTCTCTCCTGCAACCTTGGCCCCAGTGCTTATCACTTCTGGGCACAGTGCCTGCACTGACACAGCGCAGCCCTCTTCCTTCCTCCCCTCCTGGGCCTCCTGGGGCTGGGTGGGAAAGGCTGTGGGGAGGGGAGGTGGTGGCAGAGACAAGGCCTGAACACATGGATCCCATCAGTGACTTCACTCGGACTGGCCGTCACTAGACTTTCCCTGGCCTGGGTGAAGGTCTGGCTGAGGCTGACCTCGCCCTAGGTGTGGGATTTACACAGCCTCCAGCCTCCCAGGAAGATCCGAGGCAAAGGGGAAAGTGCTTCAGGATATGATTGACTGTTACCTTGGGCAAGTCCCTGGCCCTCTCTGCGCTCTCTGGTCTCCACTCACTGACGTGGGAAATGTTTGATGATGCCATTGGCCTTAATCTATTTGTGCTGCTATGACAAAATAATATATACTGGATGGCTTATAAGCAACAGAAACTTATATCTCACAGTTCCAAAGACTGGGAAGTTCAAGAGCAAGGTGCCAGCAGACTTGGTGTCTGGTGAGGGCTCACTCTTTGCTTCATGGATGGCACCTTCTAGCCATGTTCTCATGTGGTGGAAGGAGCTGGCTAGCTCTCTGCAGTCTCTTTATAAAGACACCAATCCCAATCCAATATAATCACCCCCGAAGCCCCCACCTCCTAATAGCATCACCTTGGTGGTTAGGATTTCAACATATGAAATTTGGGGGGACATGAACATTCTGGTCACAGCACCAGTGTTAGCCTCTGTGTATCGTGGGGTTAGTAATCAGAATCGAACTGCCCAAAGGAGGGCTGTGTGGATGTGGGGGCTGGGCCAAGTGGCATGAGCTGGAGCAGCTGGCTTGGGGTAGGGGGTACTTATGTCTGGAGTCTGATCTGCCCTTGTTGGCCTCAGGAGCCTTGTGCCACAGTCCTGGGATGAGCCCGCTAGACCCCTGGACCCTGTAGTATCCACCTCTGAGGCATCAGTGCCCAGCCCAGGGTCTGGCATAAAGGGGGCTCTCAGTGAGTAGGAAAGAAAGAACGGGAGAGAGAGGGGAGAGAGAGGAAGGGAGGAAGGGAAGAAGGAAAGGGTAAGACAAAGAGAGATTGAAAGAAAGAAAGAAAGAGAAAAGGGAAGGAGGGATGGAGGGAGGGAGGTGGGGAGACGGAGGGGAAAAGGACAGGGACTGCAGGAGTGGATGCGTGAAGGAAAGAATGAGACAGATGACCAGGCGGGTGGGTGACAGAGGCAGCAGCCATCTCCTCTGTGGCCCAGTTTTACTGCTGGCTCAAAATGTGCCACTGGATGGGCCTTTAGTGATCTCCAAAACAGCCCTTTCTATAGAAGAAGGAGCTGAGGCTCAGAGCGGAGAAAGGATACTTGAAGTCATGTGCAGAATAGAGGCAGGGACAGACGGGGGCTCTCATCTCATCTCAGGCTCATGGTCCTCCTCTTCCCACCTCCCAAGATCACCCTCAGAGAAATGGTTTCCTAGAGCCAAGTGGGGAGGTGACTGGAAGGTGGGCCCTGGAGAGGAGACCAGGGACAAAGGCCCCTTGGTCCAGGACGGAGGCCTGAAGGAGGGTGTCCTCGAGCCAGGTGTGCAGGTCTGGGTCCCTGCTCCGGGAGGAGGCAGCTGAGGCTGGCCAGGCCAGTGGGCAAGAGCTAACCGTTCTGGTATGACCATGGCTGCCCCAGGACCACTGCTATGGTGGGGACCACCTGGGCCGAGACTCCCCCTGTTCCACTGGTCTCACCAGCTCCTGCTGTGCTGGCATGTTCTGAGCCATGTTCTCTCTCTCTTTTCACACTGTCCCGCCCCCATCCCTGTTCTCCCTCCCTTTTACTCTGTCCTCTCTGGTGTCACATTGTGGAGTTTGGTGTCTGCTCCCCCCGCCTCTCCCTGAGGATCCAACTCTCAGCGCCCGCCTCTCTCCCACCTGCTCCCTGTCTGTGCACGCCATCGGCTCTGCCTCCTGCTGCTGTCAGCCGCAGCCCGCCTCTTGCTTTCAGTCAGTTCCTGTCTTGCTCTGCTCTGTCCTGGTGTCTCCCTCTGTCTCTCTCTGTCTCCTCCTGTCTCTGATGTTCTCTCTGCCTCCATCTCACTCTCCCTCTTTTCAAGTCACTAAAGCCTTGGCAGCCAGTTCTGGGCAGCACATCCCTCTTTCCTTCCCACCCCCATCTTGCCTACCTCTGGTAACAATTACTCTGGGCTGGGACGGAATCTTTCAGTGCCCCAGACAGACCTACAGACAGCACATGGGGACCAGATGGTGACAGATTCCCCAAGAAACTAACCACTTCAGCCAAGGGAGCAGGAGCCCCCAGGAAGGGTGAAGCCAGCTCAAGAGCAAAGACCTACAGTCCTGCAGCTGCCCCGGGACCCCCTAGAGCTACAGCCAGGGCTACTCTTCCCACTGAGCTGAAAGGCGTATGGGTGGGCCCAGACCCCCAAGCGCAGACACCGGCAGCAACCTAAGGCAGAGAAGGCCCCCCCAGAAACCACGTTGTCCTGCCCTGACCAGCCTGGAAACCTTCACACCCTGGCAGCGACCTTCTCAAGGTCACCAGTGACTGGGCAATCGACCAAAAGGCCTGAGTCTGAATCTGGGATGTGTTCCCAGGAGTGGGAGCCACATGATCTGGGATCTAGGCCCAGCTGCACCACATCCTGGCTGTGGGACTTTAGGCAAGTCACTGAACCTCTCAATGTCTTTGCCTGTACATCAGAAATAATAGTAGCACTTGTCTCAAGGATTGATAGGAGGATTCATGAGTTAATATGCATAAAGCACAAGCACAGAGCCTGGCCAGAGGGAGGGTTCAGTCAATGATAAATAATCCATCCACACATAATAGTTACATTATTATTATTAATCTTCCTAAATACAGCTCAGCTCAAGCCACTCCCTACTCATAAACCTACTGTGGATCCCCACTGTCCTACTGAATAAAGTCCAAGTGTTATAGTAGGTAGCTAATCGGACATGAGCAGGGCAGGAGAGGGCCCCTCCCAGGGAATGTCTGGTGATCATCAGATGACGGTCAGGTGGTTGTTAAACTGTCTCTCTAAAATAATAACTGGGCACACCCAGCACCAGGGAAAGGCAGTCTCCCAAAAAATAGAAAACACTTGATCCTGGTAGTCAGCAGCTTCCTGATAAGATCTCAGGAGTTGGGCAGGTGGGCCTAAGCATGCACACTGAGAGGCAAAATGGTGGAGTTCAACTGGTATTTGGCCTTCCTCTAGGAACACTCGACTGGTGAGGGAAGAATAGCTCAAGTGAGCATGCACACAACTTCAGTAAACACATTATGCATGCGGCCCCTCTCAAGCGCTGGTGGGCCACTGTGCATGCAGACAGCCCACCTCAAGGAAAAATCGAGGGAGGGGAGATGCAAAACCCCAGAAGCATGCCAAGGTATAAAACCTCGGGGTCAAAGGTCAAAGGTCAAGCCAGGCACTTGGACCTCTTGAGCCCTCTGCCAAGTGTACTTTACTTCCTTTTGTTCCGACTCTAAAACTTTTTAATAAACTTTCACTCCTGCTCTAAAACTTGCTTCTGCCTCTCCCTCTGCCTTATGCCCTCTCGGTTGAGAATTCTTTCTTCTGAGGAGGCAAGAGCTGATAGTACTGCAGACCCATATGGATCCGCTGCTGTTAACACAAGCACGCTCTAGTTGTCAGTTTCCTGTCCCCATCTTGCTCAGCTTCGTCCAGCCAGCGTCTCTCTCTTGGCATGGAGGCCTTTGTGCATTTGCCCCCAGGACCCTGCCCACTCCGGCGGCCAGCCCCTTCTCACTCTTCTGCTGCAAACTTCTCATTATCTATCTCTTTAGCGTGGCCATGCCCCAGGGCTCAGTCCTTCACTGCTTCTTTCCATCCGCCCCCTCCCTTGGCTGTCTCAGGCAGGCCCGTGGCCCTCAGCGTCGTGGGGATACAGAAGCCGCCCACATCGCAATATCCAGCCTGGCCTCTCCTTGGACTCCTCCCCATGGCCAGCCCGTTCTCTCCTTGCTTTTCACACTTTAAGCCAGAACTCGTGATCTGCTTCCCAAGCCTTTTCCTCCCCCGTCTTTTCAAGTTCCCATTACGCAGGCTGAGGACCAGGCAGTCACTCTGGAATCTTCCCTGTCTCTCACCCGCCACGTCCAAAATATCAGCAAATCCTGTGGGCTCAGGCTTCAGAAATATACCCAGAAGCCACTCTAAGCCGCCACGAGCGCCTCTGGCTGGTCCTCGCCTGCCACCTTCCCTCTCCAGACCTCTCCTCTTAGCAGCCTGCAGGACCCCTTTCAAAAGCAAAACGTGGTGTTTACATGTCTGCATTTGTTGAAACCAAAGAACTGTACACTAGGAAGGGTGTGTTTTACTGAATGTAAATTATATGTTAATTTTCAAAATGGAACAAAAAAAGTGAAACAGCTTGTGTCACCCCTCCTCAAAACCTGCGTAATGACTCCATCTAAATCTTTTTTTTTTTTTTTTGAGACAGCGTCTCACTCTGTTGCCCAGGCTGGAGTGCAGTGGCACGATCTTGGCTCACTGCAACCTCAGCCTCCCAGGTTCAAGCGATTCTCCTGCCTCAGCCTCCTGAGCAGCTGGGACTACAGGCACGCATCACCATGCCTGGCTAATTTTTGTATTTTTAGTAGAGACGGGGTTTCCCCATGTTGGCCAGGCTGCTCTCAAACTCCTGATCGCAAGTGATCTGCCCGCCTCAGCCTCCCAAAGTGCTGGGATTACAGGTGTGAGCCAGGCCCCATCTCACTCTTTGTAACAGTCTATAAGGCTCTATATCAGTGTTTCTCAAACTGTGGACCATGACCATTTAGTAGCCCAGGAAATCAATTTGAAGATCATTACTCATGTTATTTTTTAATGAAACAGAATAAAATAAAATAAAATATATCAGAGTGCACACATATAGTTTATCTCAGTTGTATGTTTATATGTGGATATCTGTCTTGGATTGCCATATAAAACTGATTTCTTATGGAAGATGTAATCAATAAAAATTAAAAGCCGCTGCTCAGCATGGTCTGCCCCCCAGGCCCATCACCCCCTTCCTTTCTCTCTCACCCTCACTCTGCCACAGCCCTACCAGCTCCACACTGTTCCTACACCCCTTGGGGCACACTCCTGCCTCAGGGCCTTTGCACTGGCTGATCTCTCTGCCTGGAACATTCTTCCCCCCATATCCCTCTCTCATTTCCTTCAGGACTTGGCTCAAAGGAAAGAGAAACTTCCAAATGGGCCTGTTTAAAACAGCGCCCCCATTCCCAAGGTTCTCATAGTTCCCTTGTATCACTTTATTTTCTTCACAGCACTATGACTACTTGGAGTATTGTACATTTGTTTATTTGTCCCTTTCTCTCCATGAGAATGTCAGCTCCATGTGGGCAGGGACTGTGTCATTTTGTGTCCGGAATTGGTGGGTTCTTGGTCTCATTGACTTCAAGAATGAAGCTGCGGACCCTCGCGGTGAGTGTTACAGCTCTTAAGGTGGCGCATCTGGAGTCTATCCCTTCTGATGTTCAGATGTGTTCGGAGTTTCTTCCTTCGGGTGGGTTCGTGGTCTCGCTGGCTCAGGAGTGAAGCTGCAGACCTTCGCAGTGAGTGTTACAGCTCTTAAGGCAGCGGGTCTGGAGTTGTTCGTTCCTCCCGGTGGGTTCACGGTCTCGCTGGGCTCAGGAGTGAAGCTGCAGATCTTCGCAGTGAGCGTTACAGCTCCTAAAAGCAGAGTGGACCCAAAGAGTGAGCAGTAGCAAGATTTATTGCAAAGAGCGAAAGAACAAAGCTTCCACATTGCGGAAGGGGACCCGAGCGGGTTGCCAATGCTGGCTTGGGCAGCCTGCTTTTATTGTCTTATCTGGCCCCACCCACATCCTGCTGATTGGTAGAGCCCGAGTGGCCTGTTTTCTCAGCGCGCTGATTGGTGCGTTTACAATCCCTGAGCTAGATACAAAGGTTCTCCATGTCCCCATCAGATTAGTTAGATACAGAGTTTCGACACACAGGTTCTCCAAGGCCCCACCAGAGCAGCTAGATACAGAGTGTCGATTGGTGCATTCAGAAACCTTGAGCTAAACACAGGGTGCTGATTGGTGTGTTCACAAACCTTGAGCTAGATGCAGAGTGCCGATTGGTGTATTTACAATCCTTGAGCTAGACATAAAGGTTCTCCAAGGCCCCACCAGAGCAGCTAGATACAGAGTGTCGACTGGTGCACTCACAAACCTTGAGCTAAACACAGGGTGCTGACTGGTGTATTTACAATCCCTGAGCTAGATAGAAAGACTCTCCACATCCTCACCAGAGCAGCTAGATACAGAGTGTCGATTGGTGCACTCACAAACCCTGAGCTAAACACAGGGTGCTGATTGGTGTATTTACAATCCCTGAGCTAGATATAAAGACTCTCCACGTCCCCACCAGACTCAGGAGCCCAGCTGGCTTCACCTAGTGGATCCTGCACCAGGGCTGCAGGTGGAGCTGCCTGCCAGTCACGTGCTGTGTGCTCGCATTCCTCAGCCCTTGGGTGGTCGATGGGACTGGGCGCCGTGGAGCAGGGAGTGATGCTCGTTGGGGAGGCTCGGGCTGCACAGGAGCCCATGGAGTGGGTGGGAGGCTCAGGCATGGCAGGCTGCAGGTCCCGAGCCCTGCCCCGCAGGAAGGCAACTAAGGCTCGGTGAGAAATCGAGTGCAGCACCGGTGGGCTGGCACTGCTGGGGGACCCAGTACACCCTCCGCAGCCACTGGCCCGGGTGCTAAGTCCCTCATTGCCCGGGGCCAGCAGGGCTGGCCGGCTACTCCGAGTGCCGGGCCTGCCAAGCCCACGCCCACCCGGAACTCCAGCTGGCCCGCAAGCGCCGCACGCAGCCCTGGTTCCCGCTCGCACCTCTCCCTCCACACCTCCCTGCAAGCTGAGGGAGTGGGCTCCAGCCTTGGCCAGCCCATAAAGGGGCTCCCACAGTGCAGCGGCGGGCCAAAGGGCTCCTCAAGTGCCGCCAAAGTGGGAGCCCAGGCAGAGGAGGCGCCGAGAGCGAGCGAGGGCTGTGAGGACTGCCAGCACGCTGTCACCTCTCAATTTGTGCTCTTTGTTGTATCCCAGTGCCTAGAATACTGCTAGAATAAATACCATTCTTGGTTTAATGAAACATACAGTCTGGTTAAGATGGCCTCCTGCAGTTCTCTTTAAATGGTAAAACTCCTAGAAGATCTACGGAAAGGAGAGAGGGCCCACTGGGGAATCCGTCGGGGTTCATTGGCCTGGTGAGCTTTGAACATCCTCTGGATTCATCAGGAACTGGCTTTTCCGTGTTCTGGAATGCCTCTGCTGAGATTTCCTATTGTCCTGCTGGGATCCTGGTGGTCTCTGCAGAACCCCTGGGCCTGGGCCCTGCTGAAGTAAACAACACGGAAATGCTGTGGTTGGGATGTTTTGTTCCAGTTGCCAAGACTTGTGGGCTGAGAGCTCCCGCTGAGACAAAACAGAGGAACCTGAACCAGATGGATGGCAGCTTCCCCACTTGCAGGAGAGGGAGGCCTCCTTGCACGGGAGGCTGCCCTGCTGGTTTGGAAGCCAGCCTTGCCACAGTGCCCCATCCCGTTGGCAGCAGTCAGGAACCCCACTCAGGAGCCTACACCTGCCTCAGAGGCAACTGACTTTTTGGGGAAGGATAGGGCAGGGAGAGGGGACCACACCATCAATAGCTCCAGGTTCAGGGCGAGTTCCCTTTACCAAAATGCTCTTATTCCCCCCAAATGGTGAATCAGAGGCTCAGACCCCTGGGAGAGCCCACTGAGATCATGAAATAGAATCCCATTTCATGGCCAGGAAAACTGAGGGCCAGATAGGGAAGTGACATCCTCAGAATCACACAGCAAGCTGAGGCTAGGGCCTCATCTGCCAACCATCGACCTGGGGGCTTTTTGAACCAAGTAAAGTTACAGGATGGACAAGCTTGAACCAGGGACAGAAAGCACTGAAGCATGGCCACTTACGCATGGGCCCACAGCACCAGAGGCCTTCACGGCCAAGGCGGCCTTTGACTCTTCATAGATGGGCTGGATTTCAACAGATGAAGAAGGCATTCCTGGGTGGGTGGGTTGAGGGGAGAATGGGTTATGTCATTTCAGATGTGGAGAGTTTGTTTGGGGCATGATGTGGAGCAGTGTGGCTATTGTTCAGGTTGAGTGTGTAGGGTGGGGGAGAAGTGGGAGATGAGGCTCAGGCCTTATTTTGACAGTCAGTGGTTACCCTGATGCACATTGGAATAATGTGGGACCAGTGACTTAATGCTTGGAGGGGATCAGGGAACACAGGAGTGTACCTGGAAGGTTTCCATCCAGACCATCCCCTGCCCTTCTCCCTCCGCTCGCCTTGCCCCTCACCCGGGCAGCGCTGTCCCTGAACACAGGTGGCTGCCTCTCCTTGCCAAGTGCTGATGCTATTTTAGGATGCAGAACCTGCCAGCTGAGTAGGGCTCCACCTCCTGCAGGGATGCTGGTGGGTGGGGGAGGGGGTGGCTGGGAAGCAGGAGCAGGGCCTGGGAAAACAGGCCATCAAAGCTGCTGGGCAATTCCCTCCGGCCATGGAGAGGAGAGGGCTGCAGGGTCACAACAGATGGCTAAATATAGAGACACTCGGAGGTGGAAGTGGTTCCTGCCACCCGCAGGGGGCCGTCCAGTTCCTTCTCATGGGGCAGGGAACCAGTGTGTTTGTGAGACTGAGCCCCAAGTGCTGGCCCAGCCTGAGGCTGGATCAGGCACTTGGAGGACCTCAGTCTGGATTTGGTGTCAGATATTTATCTACAGCTGGGGTCATGGCTTGTGTTACCCACTGTATTATTCCATTCATTATCTATTAGGCTCTGACTCTGGGCTAGGACTTGTGATTGGAGCTCTGGCTCAGAGGTCCCTGCTCTTAGGAACAGATGCTTTCCTGGGAAGATAAACTTGTAAATGGCCAACCGTCTGTGGGTAAATGCGATAAGGACTCACCTAGAGCATCAACATCCAGCCACTAGAATGCAAGCTCCCTGAAGGAGGGATTTTTGTATGATTGCTTCACTGCTATATACCCAGCAACCCCTAGATCAGTGCCTGGCACATAATAGGCCCTCAATAATATCTGTTAACTAGCAGAATGAATGGCTCCACCCAGAGAATCTGAGCAGGCTTTATGAAGGGGTGGCCTGGGGCTGGCTCTTGAAGAAAGTATAGAATCTTGAGCTAATCCATCGGGATGAGCCTATCAGACAAACATAGCTGCATTGCAAAGACACGAGAATGTGTGATGTATTCAGGAACATTAGACTTAGTTTTACGTAAGCGCCAAGGTGGAAGGAAGACTGGAACAGATCCCAAGGGGCTGTGAATGTGGCCAAAAACCCTATTATATACCCTAGAGGTGTCCAAAATGGGGTGCAAAGTGATCCATTCATATAGAAAAAACATTCTAGAACTTTTTTTTGTGTGACAGGATCTTGTTCTGTTGTGCAGGCTGAAGTGCAGTGGCACCATCTTGGCTCACTGCAGCCTCAACCTCCCAGGTTCAAGCAATCCTCCTGCCTCAGCTCCTCAAGTAGCTGGAATTACAGGAATGTGCCACCATGCCCAGCTAGTTTTTTTTTTTTTTTTTTAGTAGAAGCAGGGTTTTGCCATGTTGCCCAAGCTGGTCTTGAACTCCTGAGCTCAAGCAATCTGCACATCTCAACCTCCCAAAATGCCATGATTACAGGTGTGAGTCACAGCCTGGCCGAAAATTCTAGAACTTCTATTTATATTTTACCTTCTAAAAAAAGGAAGAAAAATTCAAGCTCTACTAATATTTATTAAGTAGGCTGACATTGGTGCCCTCACCTTGTTCACACCATAGTAGGTCATATGTCCAGCATGGGTTTGGCTGACCATGACGTTGCCATCCCACTGCAACACCTTCAGTGAGCCTGCCACAGGATGTCATCGAGGCACTTCATTTTATAAAAACAGTCATTAAATCATAGCATCTTATCAAAGCGTCTTAACAGAATAAGTGGCTGCAAAAACCTTTTGTACCATACAGAAACTTGCTGGTTATCTCACAGCAAAATACTTAAAAGAGTTATACCTTGAAGATGAGCTTTGCCTTTTTTTCCTTCCTTCCTTCCTTCCTTCCTCTCTCTCTTTCTTTCCTCTTTCCTTTTCTTTATTTTTTTATTTTATTTTTTTTCATTTTTGAGACGGTCTCGCTTTATCACCTAGGCTAGAGTGCAGTGGTGCCATCCCAGCTCACTGCAACCTCTGCCTCTCGGGTTCAAGCAATTCTTCTGCCTCGGCGTCCTGAGTAGCTGGGATTCTGGCTAATTTTTATATTTTTAGTAGAGATAGGGTTTTGCCATTTTGGCCAGGCTGGTCTCGAACTCCTGACCTCAAGTGATCCACCTGCCTCAGCCTCTCAAAGTGCTGGGATTACAGGTGTGAGCCACGGCACCTGGCAGAAATTTGCCTTTTTCTTCTACGAAAAGACAAATGATCCAAATGTGCTGGCTCCTTCTGTGACAATTAGGGGATGCTATCCAGCAGATGCTAAAATGAATGAATACATAGCAGAGGTAAAGGTGACATTTTAAGATTGAATAAGAAAGTAACTGCTTTGGAAACAAAGTCACCCTATAGGGAGAACACTTTGCTGAATAAAATCTTGAGATGATTTTGTTGCTGAAGTTCAGTGTGTTTTGAACTCATTTGTCAAAAATATTAAAAAGTAACACCTTCGGGAGGCGGAGTTTGCAGTGAGCCGAGATTGTGCCACTGCGCTCCAGCCTGGGCAACAAAGTGAGACTCCATCTCAAAAAAAAAAAAAAAAAAAAGTAACACCTTCAACAGGTTGGCATCAGTTAAGCCAAATTCCAACCAAAAGCCTGTGCACAGAATTGAAAATTGCACCTTGTGATTAGTAAGTGCAGTCAAGAATGCACATCCTCCACGTGGCACTTCAGCTCTTTGTGAGATATATTTTTTCAACTATAATAACCATTAAGCCAAGTGAAAAGATACATGGAATTTAGTACCAGATTCTCAAGTGAGTGTACCACTTTATTAATGCAAGATTTTATTTAAAAATGAAGCATACTTAATGGCAATTTTTAGTAATAATGTATTTAGTCAGAGCAAAAGGCTTTTTAATACCATTAAATAAAGTGAAAATAAAACTTTTAAAATTATATTATTTATTTAATCTTTCTCTCATTCTTTTTCCAGTGTCTATTATTGGCGTATGTTTTCAAATTTATCCAAGCATTTCTGTGGCAGCATATGTATATAATTTATAAATAAGCATATGCATATATTGGATTGATGGTATGCATTTTTTTTTTTTACTGATAGGAGGATGAGATTCAGCCACAGCTGAGTGTGATGGGCAAGCTAGGGAGGAGCTCAGGAGGTGAGGGCCAGGATCCACTTGAGGCCATCTCCGAAACTGGAGGCCAGGAGTCTAGAGGTTTCACAGGGACCCTCTTGGAGACTCCTATTGGGGCCAGGGGTCTACGGTCTAGAGGAGAGGCTGGGCATCAATCTGGACACAGCCCAGGAGGCAGCCAGAGCTGGGCCCAAGGTCGAAGATGAGGAAGAGTGGAGGAGGGGGTTCCAGAGGCTTTTGGGAGAAGGCAGAAGTAAGTGCAGGCTGTGGTGATGGATGGGATGAGAGGGTGAGGAGAGCATGGGAGGCACCCTTGCTGCTGCCCGAGACCCTGTAGCATGTGTGAGGGTGATGGAAGTGTCCTCACTGAGATGGGGCATGATGTGGAGGGGAAGGAGCAGTTTTCCAGGGGCAGTTCAGTTTTAGGTATGGTCTGGATCCATGCAGGGTCCCTGCTGGAGAAATCAAGAGACCAGGGGCTCAGGGAGAGAGAGAAGCCAAGGATTCAACTTCCTCTCTATTCTCCCCACAGTGTTACATGTCCCCAAAGGCACAGACAGGGCCTTCTCCTGCCCTATTCTCCTCTTACAGCCCCGCTGAGCCAGGGAGAGCTCACCATAAGTGCTCAATGCCAGCAGCCAGCTTGGGGTGGGCAAGGGCCCAGGTCCCAGGCCACAGAGCCTGAAGGTCGCCCTGGTAACAGGCCCTGTTATGATGCTTCAGGGAGCCAGGGGGCTGTTAGTCAGAGCCATGCAGGAAGGGGCCGTTATATCCCCTCCTGCCCTGGAGTCCTGGCGGGCCAAATCTGGACACGCCTGGGAGTGGTCCAAGGACTGGTCATTGTCTGGCCTGGCCCTGGCTGCCAGTCAAAGGGGACAGCTTGGTCCCACAGAGGCTCCCAGTGGGGATCTGGGTCCAAAAATCAGTCTACTGTCCATTAACAAACCATGATAGGGATGACAGGCAAATCAGACCTGATCCTCGGTAGGGGAAGAGGGGATCCTGTCTGTCACGTGAGATGGGTTATCAGAGGTGGCACCAGCACAGCTCGGGCTCAGCCTTCCAGACACGCCTCAGCCCTTGACGCAGTCCCCTTGGGAGCTCCCTGCACTGATGCCAGTGAGATGGCCAGGGTTCCCATATTTCAGGACTCCTTGTGGGGATCGCTTCAGAGCCACAGGGGAAAGGCAGCCCCTTCTGACCCGGCTGGAATATTCCAGCATACCTTGAGATAGACAGTCCCTTTTTTTCCTGGGCCTCAGTGTCCTTGCGGTATGTCAGCAGACTGCTCAGGGCACCTGCCCCTGCAAGCCCCCACTGTGTCCACACCGAGCCGCGCCCATGCCACATGGCCTCACTGTCACATCTTTGCATGTGCTGCCCTGTCTGCAGGGGATGTCCTCTCCCTTGGGCTTGCCCGTATCATCCTGTCCATCCTTCCCATGGCCTTGCTCTAACGTCACTTCCGGGCTGGTGAGTTTGATCCTTCTGTTGCGGGACCTGTGACTAAGGCAGCGGGAGGCCCGGGGCCCAGCCCTCCATGAGCAGGCCTCCTTCACCCCTCCCTAAGAGTGGGAGAACCCACTGGATCACTGTCTCCAGGCAGGGGTCCCTTCCCTGCTGTGCCCATCCCCCCAACACACACACACACACACACACACACACACACACACACACACACACACAGATGTCCTCTGGGCATCCCCAGGGGAAGATGCAGAGTCTCAGGACTGGCATGCCCCCTACTCGCTGCACAGACTCAGCGGAGCCACGTCCCCTCCTGGAGTCTCCATTTCCCATTGGTAGAAGGAGGGCAGTAAGTGACCAACAGGGGCACACACCACGGCAGAGCTAGTACCCGTGCTCTGATTACGTTTAAGGAATTGTTACTTTTATTGTAAATGTGGGCATCTCTTGTTGGCTCTTTTAGGCTGTTTGATTAATAATTGTGGGTCACACCCCACTCCCCTTGACTCTCCTGTGGGTTGGAGGGGCTGAAGCAGGGTGGGGATGGGAGGCCAGTCCCCCCAGGAACCTGCCCCTCAGCATGAATGTCAGGAAGCTCAGCAGCAACAGCAGGGCAGACCTGAATCACTCAGCCCTTTCCAGCCCCAGGGAGCTCTGATAATAGACCCGGGAGCCCTTCCAAGAAGCAGCCTAGGGTACAGGCACAGGCAAACAGGCCCCATTTGGAATCCTGCCACTGCACGCCCCTGCCTTCTTCCTGGTCCTCCCTCCAAGAATCTTATTGTTCACAATCACAACTGTCTCTGCCCGCCCTGTGGTTCCCTCTGCCACATGCTTGTTCAAGTTGTTCCTGGACTGCCTTCTCCAGCCTTCTGGGCCCAGCCACTGCCTCCAGGAAGTGCTCCTGGGTTCCTCCACCTGGAAAGGACCTTTTCCTCAGCACCGTGTGGGTGTCACTTTAAAGGTCCCAAATAAGGGCTCCAACTCAGGGTGCACTGCGGACCAGGGGCTGGGCCCTTCACCAGCACCATCACATTTCCGTCTATTTACAGACGAGGCAACTGAGGCTCACATAGGCTACATAACTTGCCCTTGATAATTTGCAAAGCCAGGATTCAAGACAAGGTGACACAGAAGCCCGTGCAGTTTCTGCAAACCCCAAGTACACTCCCACATCCATACCCTACCTGAGTGAAGACAATGAGGTTAATGTCCTGAAGGAAAGCTGAGCTTTAAAAAAAATCAAAACAAACCCGAAGTTGCCAGTGACTCTCCTAAGTTCTTTTCTCCAAACTGCTAATGTTAGACACCTCTTTTTCCAGGAGAAGTATATTTCCTAAAACAAGGCGCTGTCAGTGAACTCAAAGACCCCGGAGGAAGACAGAAGTCAACTATCTCCTCTTTCATGACCCTGGGTCTGCTTCCTCATGGGGGACCCTTTTGGCAGCTCCTGTTGGGCCGAGCTGACAACATTCCCAGTGCTAGGGACAGTAATAATCACTGTCCCATTCACGTGATAACTCCAAGATGGACAGAAAGCTAAGGTCTTTGCCTCAGTTCATCCTTACAACAATCCAGTGATGTGGGTACTGTTGTCCTATGTCACTGGGCTGGGGGGTAGGGGGAAACTGAGGCTCAGAGAGGCTGGTCAGTGACCTGATAGACCTGCCTAAGGTTCATGTTCTTAACCTTCCAACCGGGGACCTCCCCTCCCTTCCTTTCCCAGGGCAGTCCCTCCCGCTATGGCCAGGGGTCCTCTGCCTGGGGGAAGCATTAAGGCTCTTGCCAGGGACCTGCATAGTGGGTGGGCCTCCCTCAGGGTTTTCCCTTTTCCAGGGGCCACAGAACTTGGCTGACCTCAGCACCTCGTGGGCTGGCCCTGCCCCTGTGCTCACATGAACTGTGGCACCCTACTAGCGTATTGGCAGCTAGGAAGGACAGAGCCTGGACTTGGAGTCAAGAGCCTGGGGTTTGAATCTGTGCTCTGCCACTCGTTTGCCATGACCTTGGATGAGTTGCTCACCTCTGTAAGCCTCTGAGGGAGTGTCTACCAGGTGAAATGAGGGCACTGGGGGGACAGGAGCGGGAGCACAGTGGGCCTTGCTGGATGTGAGCTGGGTCTGAGAGGGGTGGAGGGGTGGGTGAGAGGAAGCTTGGCCCAGGAGATGGGGCCATTCCAGGTCTAGATCTGGAAGCCGAGGATGAGGGGCATGAAAGCAAGGATGTGCTGTGCTCATCCATGCAGGGAACTTTAGGGAGCACCCCCCTTCCTGTGGGTAGAAAAAGAAAGAGCTTTCCCCTTTGGAATTCGCCCCTCTGTCTCCCCCCACACCACAAGACACAGACCTCCAGCATTTGGGCTGAATTAAGAGCGTCAGACATCAGCTGCTTCTGAATCACGGGCTGCTCCAAGCCAGGAGAGCATGTAGGGCATATCCTGAAGGGAGGTTTTCACACTGTGTCCAACAGGCTCTGGAGGACTTTGGGGGTGCCCCAGATGAGGGGCCTCTGGGCCCCACCCTACCTTCTCTCACACATGTCCCTTTATTATCTTTACAAACTGGGTTCCTTTTATTTCAAGTAAAGAGTGGGGTCTGCATCCAAATAGAGAAACAGAGAAAAACCACCCCTGGATCCAAGGCTCTCATTTTACAGAGTTCAGGAGAAGTCACACAGCCAGACAGTGGGAGGGTGGGATTAGAATCCTGTCTGCCCGGCTCACACATGCATGCATGCCTTTATTCACTAACTAATTCAAAAATAGGTATCAAATGCCCTCCCTGTGCCACGCATGATGCTGACCAGGAGGATTTTGTGGAAGCCAAAATAGACAGCGTCCCTATTCTCACAGTTCACAGTCTAAGAAGATGACACTGATTAATAACAGCTCACACATTGGCACTTATTACCATATGCCATGTCCTTTACATATATGGACTCTTGTGATTACCCTATGAGATTAGTAAGTCCTCAGTTTGCAGAGGAGGAAATTGAGGTACTGATAGGTGAAACAATATGCCTAGGGCCAGGCTGCTAGAAAGCAGCAGAGCTGGGATTTGAACCTTGACTATCTGGCTCCAGAGTATGTGTTCATTTCTACTCCATTATATAGATCAGTGTGATTTAGAACCTATGGTGTTATCTATGTGTTTTACATATATACAGGGGAACCTGGGTAAGCTGAGGTCAGGGTAGGGAGAAGTGCCAGCAAAGGCTTCCCTGAGGAAGTGATGTTGTTTTAAAATGGAAGGACAACATTTACAGGCAATTGATTTTCAACAATGGTGTCAAGACCATTCAGTAGTGTTTGCAATAAAAGATGCTGGGACAATTGGATATCCACATGAAAAAAAATGAGTCTGATCCTCTACCTCACACCATATACCAACATTAACTGAAAATATATTGAAGGCCTAAATGTAAGAACTAAAAATAGAAACTCCTAGAAACTTAGAAGAAACTAAGACTCTATACAACTCTTAAAACTAAAAGACACTAAAACTCTATAAAACTCTAAAAACTTAGAAGAAAACATGGTTGTAAATCTTTGTGACTTTGGATTAGGCACTGGTTTCTAGGATATAATACCAAAAGCACAAACAACAACAGAGAAAAAAATGCATCATATATCATCAAAATTAAAAACTTTCATGCTTCAAAGAATACCACCAAGAAAGTAAAAACAAAACTCACAGAATGAGAAAAAACTTTGCAAATCATGTGTCCAGAAAGAGACTTGTATCTAGAATATATAAAGAACATTTACAACTCAATAATAAAAAGACAAATAAACCAATTAAAAATGGGCAAAGGCTCTGGATAGAGCCTCTAAAGAATAAGTACAAATGGCCAATAAGCACATGAAAAGCTGCTCACCATCACTAGCCATCAGAGAAATGCTGTAATGAAATACCACTTCATTGAGGAGCCCCTCTGCCTGGCCACCACCCCATCTGGGAGGTGTACCGAACAGCTCATTGAGAACGGGCCATGATGACAATGGCGGTTTTGTGGAATAGAAAGGGGGGAAAGGTGGGGAAAAGATTGAGAAATCGGATGGTTGCCGTGTCTGTGTAGAAAGAGGTAGACATGGGAGACTTCATTTTGTTCTGTACTAAGAAAAATTCTTCTGCCTTGGGATCCTGTTGATCTGTGACCTTACCCCCAACCCTGTGCTCTCTGAAACATGTGCTGTATCCACTCAGGGTTGAATGGATTAAGGGCGGTGCAAGATGTGCTTTGTTAAACAGATGCTTGAAGGCAGCATGCTCCTTAAGAGTCATCACCACTCCCTAATCTCAAGTACCCAGGGACACAAACACGGCGGAAGGCCGCAGGGTCCTCTGTCTAGGAAAACCAGAGACCCTTGTTCACTTGTTTATCTGCTGACCTTCCCTCCACTATTGTCCTGTGACCCTGCCAAATCCCCCTCTGCGAGAAACACCCAAGAATGATCAATTAAAAAAAAAAAAAGAAAGAAAAATCTACTTCTGGAGAAACAAATTACCTTCCCATCTCTTTTGTCAGGAAACTCTGGATGATGTACTGAACAAAACAGGGAATAACCTAACAGAGAGGAAGACAGGGATTTTAGGAAACCGGAGATCACACAGGAAGGAGGTAAAGGGAAATCCCAGGATGATGGCAAAGGGAAGTCCCCAAACAACAGCTGCGCAACAAGAATAAAGAACAATCAGAGGACCTCTTGAGCCCAGAGGTCAAGGCTGCGGTGAGCCAAGGTCGTGCCACTACACTGAAGCCTGGGCAACAGAGTGAGACCCTGTCTCAAAACAGAAAAGGACCTATCAGCCCCAAGTGGAGCAGAACAGAGGGATTTGGGAGGAATGTCCTCAGAAAAAGATATTAAAACACAGTTATCTGATGAGTTTGAAGATGTAAAAAGTTCTACTGAAAGCCATTGTACATAGCAATAGGAAGACATGCCATAGATTAAAAAAATAATAACCTAAGCAAATCAAAATTAGGTAACAAAAGTCCAGGAAAAACAAAAGCTTATAGATGGGAAATGTAGACAGTATACATCACTTAACTTAGAAATGAGCCATCATCGAAAATAATAAAAACACTGATTATGAATTTAAAAAAAAAAAAAAGAAATACCACTTCATGCGCACTATGATGGCTGTCATTAAAAAGATGGACAATAAAAAGTGTTGATGAGGATATGAAGAAACTGGAACCCCAGCAGGGGCATGGGCATGTAAAACAGTGCAACTTCTGTGGAAAACCATCTGGCAATTCCTCAAAAGGTTAAACATATTTACCCTATGACAAAGCAATTCCACTCCTAGGAATATACCCAAGAGAAATAAAACATATGCCACACAAAAACTTGGAAGTGAGCATGCATAGCAGCATTATTCATCAGAGCTAAAAAGTGGAAACAACCCAAATGACCATCAACTGATGAGCAGACCAATAAAATGTGGTATCATTCATGCAATGGAATATAATTTGGCAACAAAAAGTGATAAGTACATGCTATACGTGACACATGCTACAACATGGGTGAACCTTGAAAACATGATGCTGAGTGAAAGAAGTCAATCAAAAAGACCACATTTTGTATGATCCCATTTATATAAAATGTCCAGAATAGGCAAATCTATAGAGGCAGAAATTAGATTAATGATTGTCTAATTGGGCACTTGGGGGAGTGACTGCTAATGAGTATGGGATTTTAGGGGTGGAGACGTGATAGAAATGTTCTAAAATTGATTGTGGTGATGGTTACTCAGCTCTGTGAGTATACTAAATCACTGAACTATACACTTTTAATAAATTAATTGTATGATATAGGAATTATATATCAACAAGGCTGTTATTTTTAAAATATGGAAGGATGAAGAGGCACTAACTATGAACATGGAAGGGGCTGGGGTTTGGGGAGTGCCTTCTAAACTAAGGGAACTGCATGTACAAAGGCCCTGTGGCTGGGAATTTGGGGTGGTTAAGAAAGCAAAAGACACCAGGTGACAGGAGCTCACAGGGAAAAAAAAAAAAAAAAGAGAGAGAGAGACAGAGAGGAGAGAAGAGGCTGGAGAGCCAGCCAGACTAGGCCATCCAGGGCCTTGAGGACCAAGGCAGGGCCTCAGGTGCACACCAAGGCCGGTGAGCAGGGTGAGGTTCTTACCATGGTGCAGGTGGTGGCACGCGGCTCCTCATGCCCAGCCTGTCCCGCCCTTCCCCTCTTTCTGACCTCACCCATCTGTCTGGGGAAGCCCTGGCGTAGGATGTGAGTTCTGGAGGAACTGCAGGGATCTCTTATCAGAAGTCTTCATGGAGGACGGGCTTTGTGGCAGAGCTGAGGTTGAAGTGCCACCTCTGCCACTCGCTGAGTGACTTTGGTAAGCTCTGTCCTGTCTCCTAGAGCCCTGGTTTCTGCATCTGCACAGTGACCTGTTCCACCTTCCAACAGGGCCGTGCTAAGGAAGATCCATGCCATGGTGTGCAGTGCTTTGTAAAGAAAGTCTAAAAGGTCATCATCTGTCTGCGCCAGCTGGCTTCTTTCTGAATTCCAGGGTCTGCTGATGGGCTGGGCTGTTGCACCCCCACTCTGGGGCCGATGGGGTTTACTGCGGAGCTGGCTGTAATCCTGAGGTTGGAAAAATGTCTCCCAGGCCTGTGAGCCACTCCTCCCCAACTCCAGGACGCTGGGCAGGGGGCAGGGGGAGGGAATGGGAGAGCCGGGAGCAGACAGGCCGTGTCCTTATCCTAGGATGTGACTAATTAGATGGTGAGGCAGGGTGAGTGTGGACTCCTTGGACAACAGCAAAGTCTGGGGACTTCGCAGCTGGAATCTGTTCACTTGTGCTTTGAACAAACATGGAGGCCTTCTTTGCAACCTTAGGAATCATTCCAGCCTAATCCATGCTCCAGATTGGAAGAGGCGCTGAGGCCCAGAGGTGGGGAGGCCTTGTGTAAGGCCACACGGTCAGTAAGGGGCAGAGGAAAACAAAGAAGCCAGAAGTCAGAAAGGGGAGAGGTTGGCGATCCTTTGGTCCAACCTCCACACGCACACACAGAACAGAAGCCCACAGAGCTCAGATCTCCACAATGATAGGGACAGGCCAGCCTGCAGGCACAGGCTTTCTACTGTCCTCAACCCCTGAGGCCTCTTCTTCAGACCCCTGAGAAGAGGATGCCTTGGGCATCTTCCCAAAGTCCCATTCCTGGTCCTAGTCATCCCTCCTGACCCTCCCCTGCAACGGCCCCTCCCACTGTCCCTCCATCCTTGCCTGACCTAAAGTCTGGATCCCCACAGTGAGGGCTGAGCCGTGGCCTTCACTGGCCCTGAGCCCAGGATCCAACCACCATATGACAATGCTTCGTGTGCCCCCAACAGGACCCATTGCCTGGTTCTACTCCTGACCCTCTGGTATCTGTCAGTGAAGGACCCCATCCCCCACTCTGTGCCCAAGCCAGCTAGACACCTGGGGGTCACCTGCCTCTCCCGCCTTCCCCTGACACCCACCTGCTTCCCAAGGCCTCCCTTCATCTTTGAGATAACCCCTCCCTGCCCACTGCCCTTGCCCGAGTTCAGGCCTCCTTTCTCTCCTGCATCCCCAGCAGCCTCTCTATTCCAACCTCTTCACAGGAGTCAGAGACACCTTTGGAAAATATGGCTCTGCTTGTACCCCTCCTCTCCTCAATACCCTTCCATGGCTTCCCAGCACCCTCAGGGAAAAGCCCAAGCTCCTCAACCTGGAGTTCAAGGCCTTTCTTAATGTTCTGCTGGCTCCTGTTGACCCTGTGAGCGGCCATGCTGCAGGTGTTCCCATTGTGTGCTGTTTCCAACAGGCCAGACTTGGTCCTCATCTGCAAGCCTTTGTCTCCCAGCTCCCTCTGCCCCAGGCTCTTTTCTCCTCCTCTTTCTGGGCTGCGTGGTAAGCACCCACTCACTCTTCAAGGATCTATTCCCCACAGATTTCCCCACAGGTGGCACTGACTTCCCTACATAGAGCCCTGTGCAGACTTAACTGAGCCCCTGTGACACTGGATGTACCGCCCCTCCCCATTCTGGGAGTGCCTCAGGCCCCGGCCAGGTTTTACTGGGCTCAGGTAAAAAGCACAGAAGGAAGGAAGGGAGTGGAAAGGAAGGCACTTATTGTAGGTCCCTGCTCAAGCACCTCCTCTCCTAGAAAACCCCTAGACAGATGGCATCTCCTGTCACTGCCACCCAGACACTTATGGCAGAGTCGCCGGCTAACTCACACCAGAGTTACTCGTGTTGACATGGCCTCTGGAATGGCGGAACTGCAGTCCCATTTAGGCCACACTGATTCACAGATGGTGAAGTGAGGCCCAGAGACAAGCAGGCAGGGCTGGGTGTTACTCAGCAGGCTGGAGCCGAGCCAGGATTTCAATTCTTACCCGTCTGACTCCAAACCCCATGCTCTTTCCCATGAACCCGCTGTCTGCCTCTGTCCCCAGGCAGCGGAAGGCCCTGCTCTCGATACCTGATGTGGGCACTTCTGGACCCTGAGAGCCCATCGTGGGGGCAGCAGAGCCCGGAGCCTCACCTGGGCCCATAGGAGCCGCAAGCTCCTAGGCCCAGGCACAACACATCCAGTGGCTCCACGGGTGTGGTGGGTAAGGGGCATTCAGAGGCCATGCAAAGTCCTTGTGAGGTTCTGGGGTGGGGGCAGCAGGGACTGAGCCTTTGCAGGGCACTCACTCTGCACCCAATCCTTCCCAGGCCTTGTCTCTGTAAAGCTCACTCCAGCTCAGCCAGGCAGAGGTCACTCTATGATTCGACCCCCCACTCCCATTTCCTCCCTGACCCCAGCCCTTATCACACTGTCCACAGAGCCAGGCCTCTTGGGCTTGATTCTCAGCCCTGCCACTCACTTGCTTTGGGAACAAAGTGCCTTAAGCTCCCTGTGCCTCAATTTCCTCCTCCATGACAATGTTGGGAGACAATAGGGTTGTTTTGGGAATTAAATGAGTCAATACTGTGTAAATCACTCAGAACAATGGCGGGTGGTAAGTGCTCTAAGGCAAGCCTCATCATCATCATCATCATTGTCGTCGTCATTTTACCTGTTTGTCTTGCCCACTGGACAGTGGACTCCAGAGGGCTGTGTTTTCTGGACTCTGCTTCTCCCCAGTGCCCAGCCCTGAGCCTAGCTAGCAGGGGGACTTACTGCATGTTTGTGTGAGGACAAACTTTCGACGAGTGAAGTGAACAGACTTGCTCTAGGTCACCCAGATCCACCACCGCGGACCATGTTTCCCTCGTTCTCCGGGCAGGGTGGGCACTGTGCTGCACACATACATGGGGCATATTGGCCAAGATGGCATTCACAGAAAGGGCTCCTTGCGGCCCCTCGAAATCTGAGTGTGACTTAAAGGAAAAATATGCCCCAGGTGTTAGAGAAGGGGGCGCCGGGGCTGGCCTTCCCATCTCATGCATTTGCAGGGCTGCAGAAAGCGGGTGGGGAGGAAGGTGGGGTCTGGCTAGGGGAAGGCCCACCCCACTGCGTCTGCTTTGTGTCTTCCTAGGGCGGGTGTGTTGCATCCAGGGCTGTGTGGAGGGAGAGTTTACATTCCCAAGTACCTTAGACAAGGGTGACTGATAAGAATGTCTCTGGTCTGGGAGCTTCTGCAGTGACTTTATCTCTCTAGATAGGGCCAGGCTGGCCTGGGCTAAGGAGAGAAGGGGAGGGGACCTTGTGGTATCTGGGAAGCCTCAGAGCTCAGGCTTAGCTGCGGCTGTGCCCACCTGGCTCTGAGGTCCCTGGCCCAGCTCCTGCTGCTGTGCCTTCCACGCCCCCACCTTATTCACCCTTGACCAGCTCCTGCCTGGGCCTGCCCAGCCACACTCTGCAGCCTCCCATGTCTTGGTCAGTCTGTGAGCCACCTGAGGACAGGTCCTCCTCAGGAACCTGCACAGAGCTAGGCACCTTGTTTTTAGCATCCAGCCTAAACTTATTTCCTCCCAGGCTCCCTGAAAACCTGCTCCTCCTCTCTCCCTCCCAGTCAGAGACTGGGGTGACGTCTTTGACCCCTTCCTTTTTCCCAAGCCTCATGTCCCTGCGTCCACTTAATGAGCACTCATTATGTTCCAGGCACTTTATTAAATCTCTCCAAGACTCCTCAGGGGCACTATTATAATTCCCATTTGACACAGAGGGATTTGTCATATAGGGTTGGTGACTTGCCCTAGGGCACCCATCTGAAAGCAACAGAGCTGGGCTTTGAGCTTAGTTTGGAAGGCACAGTTGTGGGTGGGAGGACTGACTCCAGGTTCTGTCTGTGGGGTGGGGATGAAGCATGGGTTGGGGAGCTTGCCTGTACCTGGGGAGAGCTGCAGAGGAAGAGGGGGGCTATTCCTGTTACCTGGTGCTGTGTACCAAGCCACCCTGAAAATTGGTGGCTTGAGACAATGACATTTAGTTTGTTCTCAAGTCTGCATTTGGGCAGGGCTCAGAGAGGATGGTTCATCTCTGCTCCTCTGGACATTACCTGGGATGCACTGAAGTCTGGAAACTGAAATCATTTGAAGAGTTGGTTTATTTATATGTCTGGCAGCTGAAGCTTGGGCTGTTGGCCAGAACAACTATAGTGGCCTCTGCATGTAGCTTGGGCTTCCTCACAATATGGTGTCTGAGTCCCAAGGGCAAGCATGCTGACAGAAAGAGACAGAAAGATAGACAGACAGATGGGTGGCGGCTGTACCACCTTTTAGGTTTAGCCTAGTAAGTTTTCATGTCAATTCTATCACATTCTTTTCATGGAGGCCATCTCAAAGGCATGCCCAGTTTCAAGGGGAAGAGCAATGGACTCCATCTCCTGATGGGGAATGACAAGTTTCCAGGGTATAGAATTAGGAACACTCCTGAGATCATTTTTGGGAAATTTCAGTCTACCATAGGGACCTCCTCTTCTGGCCTCTCCTGGGTGGTTCCACTTCCCTGACCTGGCAGGACACTTCTGGGAGCTCGACCAATGCTGCTCCTCTCACCCCAGCTTTGGAAGCATAGATGTCAATGGGGGGAGGAGCAGAGCCAGTGAGTGGCTGTGTACTGAGCACTGGCTGCATCCCAGGCCCCCCCCGGGTGCTTGTGTGCCTTCTTTCATTAGATCCCCACCATACTCCCACATCATGTGCAGTGTGGCTCCTATTTTTTCAGTGAGGAAACTGAGGCTGAGAGAGGTGAGGTGACTTACCAAGACCACCAGGGCTCATCAGGGAGGCTGGGATTTGAAGCCAGGTCTGCGTAGCTCTGAAGGCCTTTTTCTTGCCACTGCACAGCTGTCCACAGGCTCAAGATAGGGAAGACCCCACAGGGAGAGGGATTAAGGATAGTGACCTTAGGATCAGAACAAATTGGGTCCAAACTGAAGCTCCTTAACTTTGAGCAGGTCACTTCATTGCTCTGAGCCTCAGTCTCCTCATGAGTCCAGTGGAGCTATGGCCTCCACATCACAGATGTAAGAAAACATAATGAAATAAAATAATATTTGCTATAAGCTTGGCACAGCCTCTGGCTCATCATGCATGGGACCCAGGCCACCCAGCCCCTTCCTAGACAGGACCTGCTTGCCTGTGGGGAGTGAGCAGGTTGGTGGCTGCCTGAGGACTGGGCCTGCTGCCACTCACCAAGGGGGAGCCCCTGGGTTCCTGTTGGCTATTTTTAGGACTGTGTGGGCAACCACAGAACCACATGTGGGGTTTACCACCGCTTGGCCAAGCCCGGAAGAACAAGAGAATGCTCCTGACGACAGAGGACAGGCATCTGAGGTGGGATGGGCCTCACTTCCTTCCCAGCATCTCCAGGTTGACAAAGGCAGAGAGCCTCTCCAAGCCTCAGTTTCCTCATCTATAAAATGGGGATAATAGTAAAAACAATAGCCCACATTTTTGCAGTCCTCACCATGTGCCAGATGCCAGTCAAGCCCTTCATGGGTGTCATCTCACGTGATCTGTGATTCCCGTGAGGGAGGCTGGAAGAGGCGGAAGTTGCTCAGCTAGAAGAGGGGTCAGAAATGGAACCAGGCCTGGCTCTTTTAACCACTCTGCTCCCAGCCTCTCCAAACAGACTAGAAGAAAGGTCACAAGGATTAGCTAAGAGTACGGATGTGGATGTCTTTTTTAAACTGTAAGAGAATGTCAACCAAACAGGCCCAGGAACAGGGACAATGTAGGCTAGGAGCTTAGGACTATGCTCCGTGGAGACGCCTCCAAAAAAATCAAGCTTTGAAAGCTACTACTGAGAGGTGGACTAAAGACCAGAGGTGGCAGCAAGATTTCCCTGGTCCACAGCAGTTCTCAGAGGAGCCCCAGACTCAGGCCCACCCACTTCCTCATTCACGTGGGTCCCTGACAAGCTTACCTTTTGGGTCCAGGAAACCATGTTCCTGGAAGAGCCACCAGCCATGGTTAGGACTCAGAAGTTCTGTAATTTCCCAACAGGAAAAGACAGAAAAGGGCAACAGGGCATGTGTGTGCCCACACAGACATTTGCCTGCGACCATGTGCACTCACACCACGTGAATCGCACATGCGCACAGGCAAATATACCTATCCACACACTCATAGACCTCCAGCCGCACCTGTTCACACAGGCACACACACACACATACACATCGCACCCATATTCCTGTATTAAGATGCACCTATGGAGTATGTACAGATGTTACACAAACATCCACACACATCCCATACGCTTAAATGGATCAGCATAAATACACAAACATGCATCTATGCACAAAGTATAAACACATGCAAATACACATATTTACATATGTCCAGTCATCATACACTTCCGTGGATAAACAGGTACATGTACTCAATTCACTTATTGTGTAAAGTTGTATACACATTGCAACTCACACAAACACATGCATGCATATACACACACGGGTATACATATGTGCTTAATAATGGTTGGCACAGATCCATAAGCATCCACATGTATATATCACCACCACGCATCATAGCCATCTGCATCAGCACATGCAAACTCGTGTGCACACACCTGCATGCACACACTCTTACCTGCATGCCTGCAGCTCGCCCATGCTGCACACGGTGTGTACACCTTGCCTTTTCTGGCTCCTTTGTTGCTGAGCGATCCTGCAAAGGTGCAGAAACACAAACACCTAGTTCCACTTCACCTGAAAACCCCCAAACCCTGGGTGCGTGGGAGGGTGAACCAGATGCCCTCCCTGTTGGGGGCACAGTGGAAATTATGACCCGAGTTGACTTTTACAACAAGAGCAAAGGTGAGGGGTTTTTCCACCCGGTTACCTCACTGTGTTGGGGCTGACCAGGGCCACCCCTGCTAATCCACCTCCTGTGGGCCCCTCCAATTACCCAGGGTGCTCAGGTTCAACACAGGCTCCACATCTCCTTAGTTTACTCAGCAGTTAATGAGCAAGAGCCTGGACCCACCTGTGTGTCAGGCCCTGGGCTGAGGGTTGGGCTGGGGAGATGCGGTGGATCTGGCCCGGCCCATGCAGCTGGAAGGTGGGAGGAGGCCTGGTTGGTGGGGTCTGTGGGAGGCTCTAGGTCAAATTCCTAAAAATGGATCTGCTTGATGACCAGCTTGCCAACTGATCAGGTTTTCAAATGACCAATTTGCCAAATATACCAAACTTACCAATTTACTATTCATTTTTTCCAAAGTATATAGCAATTGTATTGGATAGATTGACACTGGTTTTCATTTCATCTTCATAGTTCATTTTAAGGAATGTTTAGATGGTCAAAAGCTAAGTGTCAGGGAGTGGTTTCATTTAGTAAAGGCACTTAACATTTGGAATTGGAGAGGGACTTTCTGGGAACATCTACCAGGAATGGGGCATTCTGGGAGCTCTGTAGCAAGACAGGCCTTCAGGGACCACCTGACTCCCCAGAGCCATGTGGCCTGTGCCTGGGTTGTCCTCTGACTGGCTCTGTGTCCTGTGCCAGGCCCCTTCTCCTGTCTGGGTCGCAGTCTCCTGGCTATAAAGAGCTCAGCTTTTGGGCCTTGCTGATGTTTGATGAGACCCTGGAGCTACCTGTGACCTCAGTCTCCGAGTGTGGCCAGGGTCCAGGCCATGGGAGCCAGAGAAGCTGCTGACTCTGCTGAGGGCAGCCCAGCCCTGCTTGGAAGTCAAGGCTGTTGTGTTGGTGCCTGTATCTGAACTGTGACATTTCTGGGTCCTGTCCCCAGCCCCAGGCAGAGGGGCCTTGCTTGCTGTGTGCGGGGAGCATGGGGCTGCAGAGGGTGGGGCCCAACTAACTTTCCTTTCCTGGTAACACGCTTGCTAAGCTCATTTCCTTTTTCTGAAGGGAAATGCCATTGACATCACACCACTGGATTTTCAGTGACGCAAGATGAGAACTCGTGAGCCCTTCGCAGGCAAGAAGGGTGCACGTGTGGGCTGGGCACAGATCTGACCCGGGGCAGATTCGGAGAACCTCTGATCTGAGGCTCCTAGCCCTTGCTTTAGAGATGGGGACCCCTAGGTCAGAGAGGGGTAGAGACATGCCCTGGGTTCCACAGCCAGACAGCAGGGCTGGGGCCAGATCCCAGGCCCCTGTCTCCCAGCCCAGGGCTCTAGATGAAGGGGCCTGACTTGCCCTCTCAACCTATCTTAATAGTGGCACCAACATCCACCAAGTTGCCTAGGCCACAAACGGGTCTCACTGCACTCCTCCCTCCCAGCACCCTCCTCCTGGCAGCAGCACTCATAGCTGTCTCCTGCAGTCCATCACAGGCCACTCCCTGGCTCAGGCCACCTTGTCTTCTCCAGGACCCCAGTCCAGGAAATACCTGGCCACTGCTCAGGCCTCCCTACCTACATCCAGGCTTCTCCCTCCAGTCCATCTTCTGTTCAGCTGCCTGGGTGACTTGGCTAAAACACAGAGCCCACAGTGTCAGTCCCCAGGGCAACCCTTCCAGGGCTCCTTGGCTGGGCATCCCAGACTCTCCGTGGTGCTTGCGCCTCCTTCCAGCAGCTGCCCCTGACACGCCCCTTTGCTCCCTCGGTGCAGAAGCTGCCTGCCCTCTTCAGAGTGTGCATCCTCTCTGCATTTGCTGTTCCTGCGCCGTTTCCTCTTTGGGAACTCCTCCCTCTGCAGGCACGTTCCTGTTTTTGCTCACTCCTGAGGAAAGCTCACACGGCCCGATCTCCCTTCCCCCACCCCAGCCTTGGAGGGAACGTCTAGGTCTTCCTCCCCACCTCCTTGACAGCAGCAAAGACATTTTATTGTGGAAAATTTCAAACACACAACAAAAATAGTACAAAAACTACTGTGTATTCCTCACCCAGCTTCGACCCTCCCCGACTCAGGGCCACTCTTGTTTCATTTCTATCCCCCAACTCCTCCCCACTGGATTACTCAGAGCAAATTTAAACATCAGATAATTTTATCCACAAATACTACAAGGAGTTGGGCGCAGTGGCTCATGCTTATAAATCCCAGCAACTTGGAAGGCTGAGGTGGGCAGATGACTTGAGGCCAGGAGTTCACCACCAGCCTGAGCAACATAGCAAGGCCCTGTCTCAAAATAAATATTGCAGTCTGTATTTCTAAAAGATAAAGGCATGGCCAGAAACTATTATCCTGCCTACATTTTTAATAATAATTTTTTATTATCATAGTATATAGTGGTGTTTAAATTTCCCCAATAAACCAGGCGTGGTGGCTCACACTTGTAAGCGTGATTACTCCAGATTACTCCAAATCATGCTTCTAAGTATAATTACTCCCAGAACTTTGGCAGGCTGAGGCAGGAGGATCACTTGAGCCCTGGAGTTCAAGGCCAGCTGTCTTCCAAATAAAAAAATTCCCCATTGTCTAACAAAGATCTTTTACAGATCTTTTAAAGTTGATTTGTTCAAAATCAGGATCTACACAAGTTCCATACATTGCATTTGATCGTTTTCTCTTAAATCTCTTTCAATCTTTTCTACTTCCTCTCTCTTTTTTGGGGGGGGAGGGGGTGGTTTTTTTTTTTATTTTGAATCAGGGTCTAACTCACTCTGTCACCCACGTTGGTATGCAGTGGCATGATCTTGGCTCACTGTAGCCTCAACCTCCTGGGCTCAAGTGATCCTCCCACCTCAGCCTCCTGAGTAGCTGGGACCACAGGCATGCGCTACCATGCCTGGCTAATTTTTTGTAGTTTTTGTAGAGACAGGGTTTCGCCATGTTGCCCAGGCCGGTCTCAAACTCCTAAGCTCAAGTGATCCTCCCACCTCAGCCTCCCAAAGTGCTGGGATTACAGGTGTGAGCAACTGAGTCTGGTCTCTCCTTATTTTTTATTTTTATTTTGTCTTGAGACACTGTCTCACTCTGTTCCCCATGCTGGAGTGCAGTGGTGTGATCTCGGCTCACTGCAACCTCCACCTTCCAGGCTCAAGTGATTCAGCCACCTCAGGCTCCCAAGTATTAATAGCTGTGACTACAGGCATGTGCCACCACACTGGCTAATTTTTGTATTTTTTTTTTTTTCATGGAAGATGGGGTTTTGCCATGTTGCCCAGGCTGGTCTCAAACTCCTGGGCTCAAATGATCTTCCCACCTCAGCCTCCCAAAATGCTGGGATTTCCTGTTTTAAAAAAATATATATATATATATTTGTTGACTAAACAAAGTTGTTGATCCCATGTAGTTTTCCACCTTCTGGCTGCATTCCCCCATAGTGTTATTTAACACATTCCTCAGTTTCCTGCCTTTCCCGTAAATTGGTAGTTAGATCTAAACACTTGATTAGACTCAATGTGCTAGGAAGAATGCTTCATAGGTGGCGTGTCTACTTCCCTCAGAAGGAACATCATATTTATAATGTTTGGTTGTCTCTCCTTTTGTGCCTTTAGAAGGCTGTGATGATCATTGCCTATATCTATTATTTCATTAGAGAATTACAAAACAATGATGTTTTAATTTTATCATTCTTTCTTCATTTATTAGCTGGAACACTTCTATGGAGAAAAACTTCTCTCCTGATGCTTTGGTTCCCCTAAGGTACAATTGGTTTAGGAAGGACAGAACTAATGCTGGCTGATTTCCCCTTTACTTATCAGTTTTCAGAATAATGAGCTGATTCCCTCACAGTCTCTAGAGGTGATCAGCAAAGTTTTTTTTTGTTGGTTTTGTTTTTTTTTTTAAATTATTATCTAATATTTTTAAATGCATTTGAAAATTTTCAATTTATTGCAGTTATTAACCTTGTTGTCACTCAAATTGTCCCACCTTTGGCCCATAGAGATCTCTTGGTCATCTGAGTCCTTTTGGCCTGACCCTAGTGGTGTTTAATACTGTCCTGACTTTCTGGTATAACGAGATGTCCAGGTTTGTCTTGTGTTTTTTCCGCCTGGACCTGGAATTAGATATTTCTTCAAGAAGCCCTGGTTCTTTTTTACAAGAAGTGGCATTTAGAAACCACAAATCTGGGTGTGAGGTGTGAGATATGCTGAGTTGGTCTTTGCTTTTAGATCTTCTCAAGGTGCAGAGCTAGGAAATTTTTTTCTTAAGAAGATATATATCAAGGGTTCATATTGATAGTTTGAATAAAACCTTCAGCTATAGGGCTTTTACATAAGTATTTTGATTTTGTATCTGAATCTCTTTTGTCTAATGCTGAACATCTTGCTTCCTAACAACATTGACATTATTACTGATTCATTTCTCCTACTTTCTTTCTATATATACATATTATAAAAATATCAGAATAATAACACCAATAGTGGTATTAATAATATGATTACTGAAAATACTTTATAATTTGTCTGTGATTCTTTTATCCTTAGAATATATAGCCTACTAGTCAAGCTATAGTCAAGTTACCAGGTTTCTAAATCACTTAAAATAATTCAGCTTTGCTTGGTGAAGAAAACAATTCAATACACAGATTTATTGATTTCATTTTGCTCTTTATTTGGGGTGATTGCTTTTGACTTTTATTTAGATTTAATTTTGTTTTATTTTTATGGAAAGAATTTATGTACTTCTAAAGCTAACCTATATAATAAGGTATATTCAGAGAAGCCTGGCTTCTACTCCATTCCCTTACCACACTTCCTCCCCACTCCAGCAGACAACAATTGTTTAATTTTATTTTTTATCTTTTAACTGATACTTAATTTTAAAAACACGCATGTATTTGTGTATTCCCTCCTTTTTGTTGGATAAAACGATAACGTACTATATGCATTTTAGTCCACTCTGCTTTTCAGTTAACGTTGTACCCAGCCCGGAGGTCACACTGTCATGACACGCATGCAGAGATCTTCTTCATCCGCCCCCCCCTTTTTTTTTTTTTTTTCTTTGACGGAGTCTTGCTCTGTTGCCAGCCTGGAGTGCAGGGGCGTGATCTCCACTCACTGCAACCTCCGCCTCCTGGGTTCAAGCAATTCTCCTGCCTCAGCCTCCCAAGTAGCTGGGATTACAGGCATGCGCCACCACGCCTGGCTAATTTTTTTTGTATTTTTATTAGAGACGGGGTTTTACCATATTGGCCAGGCTGGTCTCCAACCCATGATCTTGTGATCCACTCACCTCGGCCTCCTAAAGTGCTGGGATTACAGGCATGAGCCACTGCGCCTGGCCTCCTTCCTTTTTCTAGCTACAGAGTTGTCTATTGTGTGGTCAAGCTGCCCCTACTGATGGACATTTGAGTGGTTTCTAGTTTTTTTACAATTACAAATGATGCTGCCATGAATAGCTTTATGAATCTGTCTTCTCTTATTTTTGCCAAGAGGGGATTGCCAGGGTAAAGGGTAAATTCAAATGTAATTTTGCGGCAAAAGTTCCCCTCCAGGTAGGGCTTGCACCATTTTGTTTTCCCACCAGACAATGTACGAGAGGGGCCTCTTTTCCCACAGTCTCGCCCACAGAGCACGTTCTCAAACTTTTGAGTTTTTGCCAATCTAATAGACTAGAAATGATATCTTGGCTTAGCTTTAATTGGCATTTCTCTGATTATGAAGAAGGTTAGACATTTTTCCATATGTTTACATTCTGGTTCATGTTTGGGTCCCTAGTGCCCAGCACAGGGCCTGGCACAGGTGAGTCCCTTCTCGAATGAAGGAAAGGAGGAACAGATGAACAGACAAGGAGGAAATGAACTTTGGAAGAGGGTCGCTGACTTGCCCAAGGTTGTGTCCAGTTATCACCGGAGTTGGGAATAGAATTAATCTCTTCTTTTTCTCTATGTCTAATTCATTTTTCCTGATTATAAAAATAAATAGAAGTTCATACTATTAAATAGAAAGTTTGGAAAGCACAGGAAAGTATAAACATATGAAACATTTTAATCTTTCTACCCTAACTCAATCATTTTCTAGCATTTTTGGATATTTCCTCCCAGATTTTATGCATTTTTTCCGTTACGATCACACTACATACATGCGTTTGTATTCTGTCCTTTTTCACTTAACACTTCTCCACATTAATAACAATTGTTTGCAAACATAATTTTAATGGCTGTACAATTTTTCACTATCTGAATATACATGAATGTATTTACCCTTGCTGTTACTGCTAGACTTCTAGATTGTTTCCAGATTTTTGCTATTATAAATAAATTCTGCCATGTTCTTCTTTGTCCACCTTCTGGATATTTGTCTCTCAGGATTAATTCCTGGAAGTGGAGCTCCTGGAATTTCAGCTTTGAGCTCCAAGTTTGGGGTTTTTCTTGGCCATGCTTGGAGGGGATTGTTTGTAGGAAGCTCTGGCCCTGTGACTTCACAGAGCCCCGGGCCTGGCCTGCTTCTCCACATCTGTGATGTTCGGTAGAGACTCACTTGCACCCACGTTGAATCAGCAGACGGGCAGAGCAGGGAGCACCAGAGCCTGCTGAGGATGAGGAGTCAGAATCTCTTACCTTTTGCCCCCTGGCTCATTCCTAAGGCTAAGGACAGATAACCTGCAACCAACAAGGGGAAACTGCACACGGACAAGGTCAAACCTGGTGGAGGGCGCAGGGCAGGTAGGAATGCTGAGCAGACGTGGTCTGTGCTTTGTAAGCATTCATGGTGCAGTGGAGCAGATGCTGGGGTCAGACCTTCCCATCCTGCAAAGGGTTCCATAATGGACCTATACACTGTGCCATCCACAGAAGGAGGGTTCTGGGAAAGCTGCCTGGAGGAGGCAACAACTGAGTTTAGTAGAAGGAATATAGGTCTTATGTGACAGATGAGGCTGGGGAGTGGTCAGTCATGAGGGGCCCTTTCTGCCAGCCTAAGGATCCTGAATCTTACAGACAATGAAGCAGGGGGATGACAGAGTCAGGTCTGCATTAAGAACAATCCTGGCAGCTGTTTGGGAGGCACAATTGCAGATGTGAACTGGAACTTAGAAAGAGGCCACTACCAGTCTAGAGACCATGACACCTGAATCAGAGCAGTGGCCATAGAGACAGAAAAGATGGATGAAGACAAGAAACATCGGGGATAAAGTTATGCCAATTTCTGGCCTTCCTGCAGTTGATGGGGAACAATCCTGGACCAGGACTCAAGATACCTGGGTTCCAGTCCCAGCTCTGTGTGACCTGGGACAGGTCTCTTGCCTGTATCTGGGTCTGTTTCCACTTTTGTCAGCTCCAAGAGTTCCTATGTTTTGAAAACGCTGTGATCCTAAGGCTGTAAAGGGGCTGAGGTCCTTGGAGGAAAGAGGAGGGGAAATAACTGGAGGCTGAGCAGAGGGAACAGCCAGGGCTGGGGTCTTGGAGTCTGGGCTCTCTATCTCCCCGACCCATCAATCTTGCAGCATTAATGCCAGTGGGATGGCCTGGGTCCAAGCCAGAGGCCAGCTTTAAGGAGGAAGGAATTGTCTCCGCCCCAAGGAACAGAGAAGAAAAAATTCAGAGCTTCCAAAAGCCACCAACAAGTCATCAGCTCTGGCAGTGCAGCCAGGGGTTTTGAATCTGCCCTGGTGTGAGCCAGTGGGAGGCAGGGCGGGCCCATTTCCCCCCTCTCTGTACATCAGAGACTGCAAGATGATGATGAAGGGCATGAGGATGACTTTGGCTACAAGTAAGGGTAGACCCTACTGCCAACGGCCTAAATAAAGCAAAGAGGCATATCCTGTCACACCACTGCAAGTCCAGAGCAGCTCCTGGTATCATCAAGAATACAGGCTTTACCATGCTCTCTGGTCCTTGACTGGTTCCCCTTCCAGCCTCATGAGGATGGCTGTCATCCTCCCCGGGGCTGAGGGTGGCTGCCAGTGTCAATGGGGAATCCATGCTTGCATGGCAATGTCCAGTGCGAGACAGCAGGAGAGGACTTCTCTTCCAATGCAGACCGTAAGTTTTTTCCTTAGGTCTGAATGGGATGACTTGGGTCATGTTTCCAATCAATGACAGTCTTTCCAGGAATGGCATATCCTGGTTGACTTAGATTAATCGGACTCTAGTGCTAAGCCTGGGGGCAGGTAGAATAGCCAACAGAATTGGGGTTCTGCGAGGAAGGAGGAGAGGACCAGATGCTGGGTCAGCAGCTGATGTGTCCACACAATGATGAGCGTTAGTTGCCCCTCTGCTCATGCGACCCCTGCACAACCTGGGGTCAGCAGGACAGGCATCATCTCCAGATCACCAGTGAGGACTCAGGCACAGAGAAATGGAGTGACTTGCTTGGCTCATAGAGTGGGTAAGTGGCACAGCATGAATTAAGAGAAATAAATGCCAACCAAGTAGACCTCAAGCTGCCAGCATAAGCCTCTGACCCCATTCCTCCTGTTGCTGTAGGGGGCTGCTGCCTCCTCTGAGCTGCCACAGCCCCTGCCCACTAGGCCCCAAGGCTGGGGTCGTGGGTTTGAATCCTGGCTTTGAGCTTCTGTGTCCTCCTCTATGACATGGGACCATGAGCCTCACTGCCGATGCCTCTTGGTGTAATCGTTGGGGGAGATTACATGAAATGAGATGATGCTTTGCTAATGGTGAAGTGCTATGGAACCACCAGGCTTCCCTACTCCTGGTGGAAAAGGGCTCATTCCATGGGCCTCATCTGTACCGAGCACTGGCAGAACACAGGAAACAGGTAGCCAGAAGGACCAATGAGATGGCCAGATATGGAATCCTTCAACTGCAAAGAGCTGATAAGGAGACAAGTCCAGAGAGGGGTGGTGGCCTGCCCAAGGTCGCACAGGATTAGAACCCAGCCCCTTGCTCTCCAGCCCTGTCCTGCACCAGGCCTCCAGGGTCGAGTGAGGACCATCCCCTGGACTGGGTGGGGATGTGCAGCTGTAACACACTCCGTGCCTGCCGTCACGTCCCCCAGGTTCTCGGGGGCCATTCTTCAGGGGTTCACTGAGGCGAGGCCACACTTCCCCTCGGGCGGCTTCCTGTTTTGGCCAAACAATGACTCTTGCAGGGACCCGGTGCCAGCTGGCTGCAGCTGTTGCCAAGGCCTTGACTTCTTGCATACAGAGAGGTGAGAGGTCCCGGCCCCCGGGGTTGTGCTTCTGGCCTCCCTAGGCCACAACCCCACACTCAGATGTGGCCTTTGGGTCCCACTGGATTCAGTCAATCCTTCGGGTACTGATCACACACACAAGCACCTTCTGTTTGCCAGGCTGTGTCAGGGCACCCAGAACACAGAGATACATGAGATGAGAGTTAAGTGAGTCTACAAACTTGTATCCAGTACTCACAAGGAGCAGGGCATTGTACTAGATTCAGCTGATACAGATACGAACAAGATACACCCTCTAATCTCACCGGCTGATTCATTTGTTTATCCTCCCATTACCCTGTAAAAGCTTGAAGTTCATCACCAGTCATTTACATGTGCATATGAATTAGTGCAGGCAGCTCTGTTCTGAAGGAAAGTCTCAGGGCATGTGGAGAAAGGATACTAAGGGTGTAGGTAAAAATAATGGAGATGAAGTTTTTTATGATGACTTTTTTAACAGGTGAGGAAATCAAGATTCAGATATGGAAAGAGACTAACTTAAGGTAAAGTGTGGAGTCAGGACCTTAATCCAGGTCTTCAGACTCCAGCCTTGAACATCAGAGAGCTTCAAAAAGCAGCCTACCCGATTGAAAGCCCCGCAGGGTCAGAGCTGCTGCATGAGGGGCTGTGTGTGCATGAGGGTGCTTGCTGCTGTCAAATATGAAGGGGGACTAGATGAAGGGAGGGAGGTCTGGAGTGCCCGCTATGTGTTGGACACATAGGCCTTGTCATCATTCCCTCTCTGCTGATGAGACATGCAGCTCCACAGAAGAGCCTTCTGGAGCCACTGCTGAGCAGTGCAGTGTGGGGAGACTCATCCAGGTTCCATGCTGTAAACGTTGTTCTTTCACCCCCAGCCCATCCTGCTCTGTGCCTGGTTGGCCAACTTCTGTGCATGCATCACTTTTCCGTTAGGTTTGGCCAGCAGATGCCTTGGTGGTCTGGCCCAGGCTTGTCTGCCCCCACTTCAAGCTGGGGGCAAGGAGAGTTCTGGAGACCAGAGAGGAGAAGAAGCAGAGGTCCTCCTGTGCATCCAGGAATGGGCCAGGAGGGAGGGAGAGGACCGAGGTCACTAGGTGGACACCTCCCAAGTCTGCTCCAAGCCTGATCTCCCCGTTGAGCACCACACACAGACCTCCAGTGTGCTCCAGAGACCTTCGTAACACGGTCCCTTCCTCCCCTACTCCTTGCCCCATGCCCTATCCATCAGGGAAGGGCCCCAGATGCCTAGAGTCAGCCCTGACAGTCTCCCTCCCCTGCCTCCAGCCCCTGAGCTTATGAAGCTCTTGCTGAGGCTCAGTGGTCCCATTCTCTAAGCTACGCTGGACTCTAGCCTTCTCTTCAGGCTATAGCTGCCTCCTTGGTCTGGGTCTTATCTACGCTTAGTTACAACAATGGCCTCCTCACCAGTCTCCCTGACCCCATTCTGGCTCCCTTTAATCCATCTTCCACTGGGCAGTCAGTGTGTCTTCCAGAAATACAAATCTAAGTCTCTGTTTTCTGTGCTTAAGTGGAGCCCAAACTGCGTGATATGCCCCAGGTCTTCCTCTCCAGCTCTACCCCTGAAGCAAAATCCTTGTGATGTTCCGTAATCCATCAACCTTTGCTGGCTTCTTGCTCCCTGCTTTAGCCAATTTCAGAATGGCCCCCTTGGAAAGGGGAAATTTCCCACTGGCACCATCACTGTCTTGGTTTGAGTTTCTTCAAAAGCCAAGTGCGAGACAAAGATTTGGGGCAACTAGTTACTGGGGAGGTGATCCCAGGAGGCAGGAGTAAGGGAGTGGGGAGAACAGGACAGGAAGGAAGCAAAGCCATTGCCAGGGTGTGTTTTATCAGTCTCCACAGTGGGCGACAGGGCTGTGTTCCACCAGGACCCCTGAAGCCTACAGAATGCCTTCCAGAATTGCTCATCTGCAGGACTGGAAACTGATGATTGATCTGCTGACTCCAGCCCCCACTGGGTAAGGTCCCTGAGACTTCTGGGCTGTAATGCCTGCCCAAGCAAGGTCAGATGGTGCCAAAGAGCCTGCAGCAGATGCAGAAAGTCACAGCTTGGGTAGGATGCTGGCCATGTGAGGTGAGCCTGGGCTGGCAAGGAAATGTCCACCCCAGCTGCAGCTGATGTGGCATGGGCACTGGAGGCGGCTGCACAGAAACATTCCTTGGTCAGTCAACACACATGGATTGCTGGATCTCAGCTGTTCATGAGGTGCCTGGGTTGCTAAAGAAAAGGCTACAGGCTGGGCACAGTGGCTGACGCCTATAATCCCAGCACTTTGGGAGGCTGAGACGGGCAGATTGCTTGAGGCCAGGAGTTCGAGAGCAGCCTGGCCAACGTGGCAAAATCCCATCTCTACTAAAATTACAAAAATTAGCCGCACATGGTGATGCATGCCTGTAATCCGAGTTACCTCGGGAGGCTGAGGCACGAGAATTGCTTGAACCCAGGAGGTGGAGGTTGCAGTGAGCTGAGATGGCACTGCTGTACTCCAGCCTGGGTAACAGAGTAAGACTGTCTCACAAAAAAAAAAAAAAAAAAAAAAGAGGAAAAAAAAAAAGAAGAAGAAGAGGCTATGCACAAAGTGCCCCTGCGGGACTATGGAATGAACATGGGCTTTGCCATCAGACTTCCTGGGTTCAGACCCACTTCTGCCGGTACCTTCTGTGGGACCTTGAGCAGGTCACATCACCCTTGAGGCACCTTGAGCCACGGTGTGTAAATAGGAACTGTAAAATAGAAACAATAATTTCCACCACATAAGGTGTTTAAGAGAATCAAATGTACTTGCAAAAATGAATGCATATGGCAGTGTGATGCTGAATGCAATTAGTTGTGTCCTCATGAAGCCGGCTGCCCAGGCTTTGCCTCACTCTACTCTCTCGTCTCCTCTTTGCCTTGCTGCACTGCTTTATCTTGTGTTGCCTAGCAGCCCTGGCCTCCTGTGGGCAGTGCTGGTTTTGCCCTGCCCAGCTTTGGGGCTAGCACATCAGCAATCCCCTCCCTGACTCTCCTATCCAGAATAGAAATCGATTTTGTGGAAACACAGAATAAAGAGCAGGCATGGCCTACCACATAGCAGTGACGTGTGTTTTTAAATCCTTATGAACTGTTTCTGTCTCCCCTAGATCCCTCTTCTGACACAGCTGCCTTTCTCACAGAGGAAAATGTAGCTTGAACCCAACACCCCATTTTATTCTTCCACACTCATCCCTGCCGTTTGGGTTCTGGGCTGTCCCCATCTGTTATGGGTTAACTTTTGTCCCCCCCAAAAACTCATATGTTGAAGTCCTAACCCTCAGTACCTCAGAATGTGACCTTGTTCGGAAACAGGGTTACTGCAGATGCTATGAGGCTACACTGAAGTAGGGTGGGAATTAATTCCAATATGACTAGTGTCCTTGTAAAAAGGGGACATGTGGGCACACAGACATATATACAGGGAGAACGCCATGTGAAGACTGAAGTTATGCTGCCACAGGTCCAGGAGCCACCAGAACTCGAAGAGAGGCCTAGACAGATCCCTCCCCAGAGCCTTCAGAGGGAGCACGGCCCTGCTGATGTCTTGATCTTGAACTTCCAGCCTTCAGAACTGCGAGGCAATAGATTTCTTTTTTTTTGAGACAGAGTATCACTCTGTCGCCCAGGCTGGAGTGCAGTAGTGCGATCTCGACTCACTGCAACCTCCGCCTCCCAGATTCAAGTGATTATACTGCCTCAGCCTCCCAAGTAGCTGGGACTACAGGCATCTGCTACCACACATGGCTAGTTTTGTATTTTTAGTAGAGACGGGGGTTCTACCACATTGGCCAGGCTGGTCTTGAACTCCTGACCTCAGGTGATCCACTCACCTTAGCCTCTTAAAGTGCTGGGATTATGAGCCACAGCGCTCAGCCAAGACAATAGATTTCTATGGTTTAAGACAACAAGTTTCACAGTAGCCCTAGCAAACTAATACATTACCTAAAAAGGCAACTTATTTTTCTGCTACCTATATAGTTTTCCTGTCCTTTTCTTCCCATCCAGCCTTTCTGGCTCTGTTGATGTGCTTCTATTTCTCCACTCCTTGATGGACTGAATCCTTGGAAGCAGAGCCTGTGTCATCCTCATTGTTGTATCCTCAGGGCCTGGCAGAGCCTGGCCACAGTTCCCATTCAGGAAAGGTTTGCTAAAGCCTTCTTGAATGTAGTAGCTTTGATGCTTGCCCTTCAAGGATAGTCCAGAGCTGGGCAGGCTACACTATCAAGGGAAGGCATTGCCAGACATGAGCAAAGGCGCAGCGAGGGGCAGGAAGGGGCAGGCTGGGGAGATGGTGAGAAGCCCACAGTTGGCTGGGATGTAGATAATGGTAGTGGGGAGAGGTAGGGTGGAACCAGAAGGTGGGGAAATGTGACGTCAGGGTATTGGGGTTTGTGAATGCATTTAGTTGAGTAAGCAATGGAGCGCTGGGTGCCATGGAAAGGAGATAGAAAAATAGCAGGGCTCTGGGATAATTATTCAGCTACAGAATGGACCAAACACAGGGAGACCAGGGAGGTCTGGGCTGGGACCACAGTCCAAGCGAGAAATGATGAAGGCTTGAACCCTCATGGACACGAGGATGGAGACAAGATCAGAGACATTTAAGAGGAAGAAACACCAACCTGCTGACTGCCATAGAGGTGTTTTCCCCTCTGAGGTGCTGCCTCCAAGCTCCGCCTTCTCCTGCAGATGCCACGCTGAGAATTTCCATGATGTCTGTAGTGACATATAAATCACCCCACCCCCAGTCCCCTCTCTGAAGGCTGACAGTTCTGGTGAGAGAGCAAAGACGCGCGATCCCCACCCCAGGCTGCTCGGGTTTCTGGTTCACAATTCAAAATGTCAATTCATGGAAGGAGGTGATATTTCACCTTTTTTAATATCAATTTTTTTAATTATCAATCATGAGTAATATAAGTTAATAGTACAAAAAAATCTGAAAATACGGTGTCATTGAAATCTTACAGGTATAAGGTGAAAATTACAGTAAAAAATGACCCTGAATAATCCCTTAAGAAGAATGACCTGGGATACTAGAAATTCAGAAGACAAAGATTACATTATTTCATCTTCTTTACCTTTTGACCATGAGCATCAAAGTCTAGTTCAAAGTGGAATGGGAGGGCAGGGTTTGGAGGTGGGTGGTGGTGAATTAAATGCTTGCTGGGTATGGGTCCACTATACTGATAAACCAAAGAAAAGAGAAATCACCTGAAATCCTTCTCCCACTCTTATTTTTTGGAGAGTGTCCTCATTTCAGTCTTTTAATTTTTCCTAATGCATATTACAAGCTAGACTCAGTGGAGTAGAATCATGTAATAGTTTTATTTTTCTGACAACAGTACCTCGCAAGCCTGTTCCACTGGCTTTCCTTTCCCTCAACCTGGATGATGATATCTTGAGCAGATCTTATAGCTTTGGGGGCAGGGGACAATATCATGTTAGATATCAATGAAGAGCCTCATTCTCAGTTTTATTTTTATTTTAAGTTCCAGGGTACATGTGCAGGATGTGCAGGTTTGTTACATAGGTGAATGTGTGCTATGGTGGTGTGCTGCACCTATCAACCCATGACCTAGGGATTAATCTCAGCAAGCATTTGCTATTTTTCCTAATGCTCTCCCTCCCCCTACCCCTCCTCCACAGGCCCCAGTGTGTGTTTCCCTCCCTGTGTCCTTGTGTTCTCATTGCTCGGTTCCCACTTAAAAGTGAGAAAATGCAGAGTTTGGTTTTCTGTTCCTGCGTTAGTTTGCTGAGGATAATGCCTTCCAGCTCCACCCATGTCCCTGCAAAGGACATGATCTCTTTTTTTAAAAAATGGCTGCATAGTATTCCATGGTGCATATGTGCCACATTGTCTTTATCCAGTCTATCATTGACGGGCATTTGGGTTGATTCCATGTCTTTGCTATTGTGAATAGTGCTGCAATGAACATACATGTTAATGTATCTTTGTAATGGAATTATTTATATTCCTTTGGGTATATACCCAGTAATGAGATTTCTGAGTCAATGGTATTTCTGGTTCTAGATCTTTGAGGAATCACCACACCGTCTTCCACAGTGGCTGAATTAATTTACATTCCTACCAACAGTGTAAAAGCATTCCTATTCCTCCACAACCTTGCCAGAACCTGTTGTTTCTTGACTTTTTAAATAATTGCCATTCTGACTGGTGTGAGATGATATCTTGCTGTATCACCCAGGCTGGAGTGCAGTGGCACGATCTCTGCTCACTGCAACCTCTACCTCCCGGGCTCAAGCAATTCTCCTGTCTCAGCCTCCCAAGTAGCTGGAATTATAGGCACCCACCACCACACCCAGCTAATTTTTGTATTTTTAGTAGAGACGGGGTTTCACCATGTTGGACAGGCTGGTCTCAAACTCCTGACCTCAAATGATCCACCCGCCTTGTCCTCCCAAAGTGCTGGGATTGCAGGCGTGAGCCACCTTGCCTGGCCGTGAGATGGTATCTCATTGTGGTTTTCATTTGCATTTTTCTAACAATCAGTGACGTTGAGTTTTTTTCATATGTTTGTTGGCCGCATGAATATCTTCTTTTGAGAAGTGTCTGTTCATGTCCTTTGCCCACTTTTTAAGGGGAGTGTTTGTTTTTCTTCCCGTAAATTTGTTTAAGTTCCTTGTAGATTCAGTTATTTTTTTTTAAGTCTGCCAAATAAGGGTCTGGCATAAAGTGCCTTCTGATGTGGTTCCCCAAGAAAGACACTACCTCACTTCTGTGGTGTGATAAGTGTGATATAATAAGAAACATATATATTTGATCTCTGCCCCTAGTTCCTGAAACAGCTCCCCAAACTCTGGGAATCTCCCGAGTGATAAGAATGTCTTTTGTATGCCAATGAGATGACTGGTGGCTGGAAGCCCCTAGATAATTTCAGCATAGGGGCTGGTCACAGGAAAGATCCAGCCATGATTAGAGGGTTGGAACTTTCAGCCCCAGGCTGAAGGTTGAGTCGCTCACCAAAGGCCAGTGATGTAATCCATCATGCTTACCTAATGAAACCTCCGTGAAAATCCGAAAGGACTGGGTTTGGAGAGCTTCCAGATTACCGAACACCTGGAGGTGCTGGGAGGATAGTGTGCCTGGAGAGGGCATGGAAGCTCCCCCATACCTTGCCCTGTGTATATCTTCCATCTGGCTGCTCTTCTGTATCTTTTCTAATATCCTTTATAATAAATGGGTAAATGTAAGTAAAGTATTTCCCTGAGTTCCATGATCTGTTCCAGCAGATTAATTAAACCTAAGGAGGGCATCTTGGGAACCCTGATTTATAGCTGGCTGGTCAGAAGCATAGGTCACAACCTGGGGCTTGTGATCGGCATCTGAAGTGGGGTGGAGCACTGTGGATCTGACGCTATCTTCAGGTAGATATTGTCAGTATAGCATTGAATCATAGGATCCCCAGATGGTGCCCGCTGGAGAAAATTGGTGGTTGGTGGGAAGAAATCCTGCATGTTTTGGTGACCAGAAATGAAGCATTCTATGGTGAGTGTGAGAGTAGGAAAAATACTGGTTTTTCTTATCTCTTGCAAAATGGCATTCTCACCAAAAAGGCAGAATCTGACAGAGAAACTATCAGACAAAACCAAAATGAAAAACAGTCTATGAAATAATTGGCCCAGAGTCATAAAAAATGTCAGTGTCATAAGAGACAATAACATACCGAAGAACTGTGCTGGATAAAAGGAAACTAAAGAGACATGGCAGCCAAGTGAAATGCATGATCTTAGATCCAGTACTGGATCAGAGGTGAAGATTGCTACAAAGCCTGTTACCAGGGGCATTTTGTGAAATTTGGATCTAGCCTAAGGATTATATAATAGTATTATATTAATGTTAAATTTCCTGAATTTGATAACTATATTGTAGTTATGTAAGATAATATATTTTGTCTTAGAAAATACATGTTAAAATGTTTGGGGGTAATGATGTATGCAACTTACTCTAAAAAGGTTAAGAAAAAAATGTGTGTATAAAGAGAAAGTGACAAAGCAAAATGTTAACAATCACTAACAGCTGGTGAATGTGGATAAAGGGTATACATGGGTGTTCTTTGTACTATTCTTGCAATTATTCTGCAAGCTTAAAGGACTTTTATTGAAAATATATAAAGAGCTCTTAAAACTCAACAATAAGAAAATAATCCATTTTATAATGGGCAGAAGACTTGAACAGACACCCCACCAAAGAAGATATGCAGATGACACATAAGCATATAAAAAGTTGCTCAACGCCATACATCGTTAGAGTTGCAAATTAAAACAACAAAGAGATACCACTAAACACCTGATAGAATGGCCAAAATGCAAAACACTGACAACACCAAAGGCTGGCAAGGATGTGTGGCAACAGGAACTCTCATTCATTGCTGGTGGGAATGCAAAATGGCACAGCCACTTTAGAAGACAGTTTGGCAGGTTTGTGTGTGTGTGCAAAACTAAACATACTCTTATTCTTTGATCTGGCAGTTGCACTCCTTGGTATTTACCCAGATTAGCTGAAAACTTACATTCACACAAAATCCTGCATACAGATGTTTATAGCAGCTTTATTCACAATTGCCAAAACTTGGAAGCAATCAAGATGTCTTTCAGTAAGTGAGAGGATAAATAAATTATGGCACATCCAAACAATGAAATATTATTCAGCACTCAAAAGCAGCTATCAAGAAAAGAAAAGACATGGAGGAAACTTACACTCATGTTACTAAGTGAAAGAAGCCAGTCTGAGAATGTTACATACTGAACAATTGCAACTATATGACGTTCTGGGAAAGGCAGAACTATGGCAAAAGTAAAAAGATCAGTCATTGCCAGAGGTTAGAGGGGAGTGGAATAATTAGGCAGAGCACAAAGGATTTTTAGGTCAGTGAAACTATTCTATATGATGCTATAATGATGAGTACATGTCATTATCGATTTGTCAAAATCCATAGAATGTACAACACTAAGAGCAAACCCTAAAGTAAACTATGGATTCCAGGTGATAATGATGCATCCATGTAGGTTAATTGTTTGTAACAAATGTTCTACTCTTCTGTGGGATGTTGATGGTGGGGAGGTTGTGCTTGTGTGGAAGTGGGTGGGCATGGGAACTCTGTATGTTCTGTTCAATTTTACTGTGAACATAAACCTGCTCTAAAAATTAAAGCCTATTTTAAAAACACGAAAATTTAGCCTCTTACTACACTCCCATTAAAGGGATTAAAGAAAAAAATAACAATACTAAGTGTTGGTGAGGATGTGGAGCAACTGGAACTCTTACACATTGCTGATGAGAATTAAATATTGGACAATCACTTTGGAAAACAGTTTGTCAGTGTCTTTGAAAGTGAAACATACACCTGCCCAGTGACCTAACACTCCCACTCCTAGATATTTCCCCAAGAGAAACAAAAACTTTTGTTAACACAAAAATCTGTATATGAATGTTTATAGCGGCTTTATTTATAATTGCCAAAAACTAGAAACAACCCCAATGTTCTTTGGTAGGTGAATGGTTAGACATCCTGTGGTACATCCATTCAATGGAATACTACTCAGTGATAGGAAGGAACTTCTGGTACTTTCAAAAACGTGGATGAATCCCAAGTGCATTGTACTAAGTGAAAGAGCCCAGTCTCAAAAGGCTACATATTGTGCGATTTCATTTATATGACCTTCTGGAAAAGGCAAAACTGTATCCAAAACTAAGCCCTATCACTTTAGGGTGAGAGAAAGCATTTATATCTTGACTGTGGTGGTGGTAGTAGTTACATAACTTTATGTGTTTTTCAAAACTCATAGAAGAGAACGTTATTAAGGGTGAATTTTACCATGTGTAAATTATACCTCAACTAAGCCAACAAATCAACTTGAGTTTCTCCTAGAGTTCTGTGACCTGGCTCAGAGACCTGCAGTGAGGAATGGGAGCCTTGTTTGTCTCTCCTGTTATCTATTCTGCTTCTTTGAATTGGCTCAGGGTTGAGAGGGGTTTGGGGGAGATACAGGCAAGTGCAAGGTGTGCTCTGAATGGAGTCATTGTAACCTGGCGTTAGACTCCCCTAGGGGTCAGATACCCAAACTCTGGCCCTTGCTTTAAAGGGACAAACATTTTTTGGGTTGTGTGCAGGCTTCTTTGTTGGTCTCCTCCAGCTGGTTCCTGGGCTTGGGTGACATATTCCCCAAGACTACCTGTGCCTGTCCCCTTCACTCTGGCTGAGGGTCCTTCTGTAGGGGTCCCCTTCTCCTGGAGGGCAGACTTCTTGGGCAGGGATCTTTCATGATGACTGACTTTTGGATACCTTGCACTGTTTCTGGTTGGTAGCATAGGAAACATTTCTCTCTTTTGCACCCTGCAAGCACAAGCTGCTCCCATGGCAGCCCCCACCCCTCATGCCACCACCAGGGATAGCTCCCATCAGCTTTTTCTCTTTAGACTTTTCCAGGGGAGAGGTGGGTCAGGTTCTGTTTCCCCCAAGCTCCAGGGAAGCCCCAGTCTCTTGGCTTGAGTTATGTGGGGTGAGGCACAGCACTGAGGTGACTCTCCCCAAGGAAAACCCCTGCATCCATCCTTCTCTCCCAGGTCAGTGCCTGCTCCAAGGCTGCTCTGAGCCTGTATGAGGGCATCACAATCTGCCCAAGTCCTGCTGGATTGTGTCTGGTGCTGCTTTTGAGGCTCTAGGGTACAGCAGCAGTTCTGAGACAGGAAAGTCCCATTTCACATCTTACTACACATAAATATTATGTTATTTTAACAAAACTGGGATTTTGATACGTAATCACCATTTTATAACCTGCTTTTTCGCTTCATACTATGTTTTGAGCATCTTTCCATGTCAGTAGACTGCTACATTCATATCATTTTAAATGAGTGATTAATATCACTTATGCAAATATACTAAAACTTATATCCATCCCCAATTGTTGGTCATTTTAGGTTGTTTCTAATTTTAGATGATTATGTTTAATAATGTTATGTTTGGGGTGAATTTATGTGAAGCTGATGAAAGGACCCCATTTGCACAAGTCCCTTTCAAATGCCTGGGAGTGATCTAGCAATTCTATATTCATAATTTTGTATTCTTTGCGTTATAGGGGCCCCCTAAATTGTATAAACTTCAGGCTCCACAAAAACTGGATGTGTCCTTGGCTATGACAAACGTCTTCACGCTCAATTTTTTTTTCTATTTTTTGGCTACGTCTTTATTTCCTTAGGATAAACTCCTAGAAACAGAATTGCTAGATTAAAGCAGATGCACATTTTTAAGATTCTTGGAACGTATTGCCAAAGGGCCCTCCAGAATAGGTGATTTCATTTACACTCCCACTCTGCCTTGAATGAGAACAACCACAACTGGGGCAGTTTCTAAGGGATTGTGTTTCCTTGTTATTGTGACTTGGTTGTAGCTGACATTCCCACCTTTTCCCGAAAGTAGAGGTTTTGATCTGAGATCCACGGGATCTGTGGGTAGAATTCTTGGGGTCTGTGAACTTGGTTGAGAAAAAATTACGTCTTTATTTTCATCATTAGCTTCTCATTGAAATGTAATCATTCTTTCCATCTTGAATGTAGCCACGAATCCCCATAGTATTCAGAGTACAAATGACTTTAGCAGTCCTGTAACCAACAGAAATCACACGTTTTCCTGCCTTCTTACAGATCTCTCAGAATATCATTTATGCTCATCGGTGCTTCAAAATTACAGTAGTTATTAGACTTGCCACTAGATCTTGTTATGTAATGTGCTCATAAAGAACATGTATTACTAATTCACAATTTATTTTTTAATATTTTGATAAGCAGTCAATAGAATTGGTTTCCTTTGTAATCATGTGTATTTTTTATTTTATGAATTTGAAAACCTTATCCTGAAAAGAAGTCCTTAGGCTTCACCAGACTGCCAAGGCATAATAAAGTTCAGAACCCTTATTGTATGGGTCAACTCACATATCTTTAAAACTTACTGAAGGAAAGGAATTAAGCTTTCATGAACCCCTGCCTGGAGCCAGGCTCTAGGGGTACATGCTGGGGGTACAGAAGGGGCAGGATGACCTCCTGCTTTTGAGGAGCTCATAGTCTAGGTAGGACATGTGATTTCACAGCTCCTGCCACTCATTGTCCTGTGGGCTGAGGGCCCAGTTTCTCAGATCTTTCAGGATTTTAAGAAAAATTAGAAATCCAGATTTTTATATGTTCCCGTGTAAAACAACTCTTACAATTTTTAAATGTTGGCAACTAATCAAAATTTTTATAAACCACTGTGTGGGCCAAATAAAGCATGTCTGAAGGCTAAATCTGGCCCAAAGGCCACCAGTTTTCAACCTTTGCTCTAGGAAAGCTGAATTCCAGTGAGGGTGGGACAAATTCATTCTGTGGAACAAAGCAGCAGAGAACCTGAGCACCCCCACCCATACCCTACTCTGCTCCTGTAAACCAGGGAAACAGGGAACTGGAGTCTTAGCTTTGAGAAGAGAGGAAATGAGAGAAGAAATTCTATTGTGGGCAGTGGGATTCCCTGTAACCTGGGTGCAGGCCGGGTGAGGAAAGACATGGCTGGAGGTAGATGCTACTGTAGTGAGAGTGTCAAGGGAATTGTGGGAGCAATGAGGCAATTAAATTATTGTATATCTAGAAAACCTCAGAGCCTCTAGCAAATAAGATAAAATAACTGCAAAAGAAAAACATATTTGAATTATTAAGAAAAAATGATGTTATTAGATATAAGATAAATGTACAAAAACCAGTTGCTTTTCTTATTTTTGACAATAAATGCATAGAAACGGAAATAGAAAAAATATTCCCATTATGATATTGACAAAAACGATATTCAGAAATAAATGTAACAAGAAAGATATAGGGTCTCTATGAAGAAAGGTATACAATCTTGTAGCAACATAGAACACAAGATCTGAGGCTGGGCGTGGTGGCTCATGCCTGTAATCCCAGCACTTTGGGAGGCTGAGGTGGGTGGATCACCTGAGGTCAGGAGTTTGAGACCAGCCTGGCCAACATGGCAAAGCCCCATCTCTAATAAAAATACAAAAATTAGCCGGGTGTGGTGGCACATACCTGTAGTCCCAGCTACTCAGGAGGCTGAGGCAGAAGAATCGTTTGAACCCAGGAGGCAGAGGTTGCATTGAGCCAAGATTGCAACGCTGCACTCCAGCCTGGGTGACAGCAAGACTCCGTCTCAAAAACAACAACAACAACAACAACAACAAAAAAAGAGAACACAAGATCTGAACAAATGGAAAGATACATCATACTCTTGGATGGGAAGACTTAATATAGAAATGTCAAACCTTCCAAAATCAATTCCAAACAGAGTGCAATGATCTTGATGTTTATATGAAGCAATAAATTCCTGAGAATAGCCAAAAAGACATGAAAAATAGTAACAGTACAAGATGACTTGTCTTGCAGGTATCAGAACCAACTCTAAAACCAATCATTAGAGTAATGGTATAGAAACAGAGAAATAGATTAGTGAAAAAAAAAAGAAATCCAGAAATAGATCTCAAATATATATCAGAATTTAATATCTGACAGAGTAACCTTTTAATTACTTAATAAGCAATGCTTTCAAAATTACTATTCATTTTGAAGCAAGTAAAATTGGATGATTATTCAACTTCAAAATAAAAAACACATCTCAGGTTGGCTGGGCGTGGTGGCTAACACCTGTAATTCTAGCACTTTGGGAGGTTGAGGCAGGAGGATCTCTTGAGCCCAGGAGTTCAAGACCATCCTGGGCAACATAGGGAAACCCTCTCTCTATTTAAAAAAAAAAAAAAATCAACAACATCTCAGGTTATGTAAAGATTTAAATGTAAAATAAAAAACAAGATAACAATTTTGGTTTTTTTTTTTTTTTTTTTTTTTGAGATGGAGTTTTGCTCTTGTCACCCAGGCTGGAGTGCAGTGGCACCATCGCGGCTCACTGCAACCTCTGCCTCCTGGGTTTAAGCGATTCTCCTGCCTCAGACTCCTGAGTAGCTGGGATTACAGGCATGCACCACCAGGTTTGTCTAACTTTTTTTGTATTTTTAGTAGAGACGGAGTTTCACCATGCTGTCCAGGCTGGTCCTGAACTCCTGACCTCAGGTGATCCACCCACCTCGGCTTTCCAAAGTGCTGGGATTAGACATGTGAGCCATCGCACCTAGCCAACATAACAAATTTTACAAGAAAATTTAGGAGACTATATGAGCAACCTGAGTGAAACTTAATAAAATTGAGAAGCGATTAAGGAAAAGTGAGACCTTGGAAAACATTGTAGGCCAAAAGATACATAAGCAGGGTCAATAGACAAACGAATTATGGAAATGTGAGACAAAGTTTAAGATCTACAACATACAATAAGGATTTACAAATTAATAAGAAATAGTTAACTCAGTAGAAAAATGGGCAAAGGATAAAAATGGGTAATTCACAGAAGAGTTCATCCAAATGGCCAAAAATACAAATGAAGACGTGCTCAGCTCCAGCAGCAGGAAAATGCAATTTAAAGTAACAATGAGAGATCGTTTTATACCCACAGCTAAAACCTGCATTTCTGGTAGGGAGGCACAGGATAAGATACTTTCATACGTTGTTTGCGGAAATGTGAAACATTACTGTTTTTTTGAAATGCAAACTTTATTAAAAGTATATATAATATACATTAAAAGTGTATAAAATATATATATCTCCATTGATTTACTTCTAGGCATTCATTCCATGAGAACACAAACCCTAGAGAGTATAGGCATAGGAATAGAATTTTTTGCCTCATGTTTATAGTTAAAGAAAAGATAAAGCTATTGTTCATCAATAGGTGAATGGCTGAATAAATCGTGCAATATTCACGCTATGGAATATTATGTAATGTCAAAAATTATGTGAAACTTATATCAGTTTATTTCGGGGGATTTCCTTGAAGTACTATTGCATAAAAAAGCGAAATGCAAGAGAGTATAATAGAATATGATCCCATTTTTGTAAAATAACAATTAAAATCTCTAATACTTGCATATGTGTGTTTGCATACAATGTAAATGTGTCTGTCAGTGATTACTCAATTAAGGAGAAAACATACAGGAGGTTGGATACAGTGGGTTATCTGGGGTCAAAGGGGAGGGTAGTACAAGCTGACATGAGCAGTGTGGAAAGTGAGGAGGGAGACATTATTGGCTCATCCTCCACCAAAAAAATAAAATAAAATAAAAAAGCACGGGCCTTTGGAATTGGACTCCCTCATCCTGCAGCCTAGCTAGCCCCCTCCCCCCAAAATGCGTGACTCCCTTGGGCATCCCTCCCACCACCCTATACGTGGCCTTCCATGTGTTTTCCATGATGCTAGAATAGGGCAGTCAAGTCACCAAGTCGCAGGGAGGGGCCAGGGCTGGGGGGCTGCTTTCAGTGCATGAGAAAGGACCTCAGGGTCCAGAGTTCAGGCCCCATTCTCCCCAGGCGACTTGGCAAATTCATGAGAGTGAGTGGAAGAGGCCACGGAGTATTAATTGACTTGTTCTCTCAACTGAAGTCCTCCTTCCGTCTTAGCTGACAGGTCATGTCCTCAGAAAGGATTCTTCTGAGTCCCACCCCTCAGTGATCTTGCCCTTCACTCCCTTTCATAGCCCTCATTACAATTTGCCATCGTTTTTGTTTGTGTGTGATTAATGTCTATTTCCCAAGCGCCACAAGAGGAGGAACGCTGCCTGTGCAGCACCCAGTATGAGATGCGGCAGGGTCCCGGCAATGCTGGCTGCTTTCAGTCATTTGCTCACTCACTCTCTCCTTCATTGACTCAATCTTTTCTGCATTTCTTTATTCATTTTTTCCCTTATTCACTCCAGAAACATGCTATTGGTCCATGCCTTTTCCCGATCTGAATCTTCCGCTTTCTAGGGTGGCTTTTTCAGAGAAGGAGGGAGTGGGGACATGATGGCAGAATTCTGGGAATGCATCCACAACTTGGGAGGGCCTAGCTGGGTGAGTTGGAAGCTCTCCAGGGAAGGAGGGAAGATTTCAGAAGGCTGGAAGTCCTGAGCAGAAGGTGCTGAATGAGGAGAGAGGAGAAAGTGATGCGATGGAGGCTGGGCCAGGCAGACCCCTCTACTCCCAGACATGCCCTGGCTCTTCCTGCTGCCAGGCCTTGGGTCCTGCCATTTGTTCTGCCTGGAAAGCCTCTTCCCATCTCCACGTGTTGAAATCCTACCCTTCCTTGCAGAGCCAGCCCAGATGTCCTCGAAGTCTTGCCTCACTTCTCCAGCTGGAAGGGCTGCTCCCTGCTGCAAACAAACTTCCCGAGCACAAAATCTGGACCTCCCTCAAGGCGCTGACCACTTCCTGGCTTGGGTTGTGGTGTGGCCCCTCTCTCCACCCCATAGACAGAGGCTCTGTCCAACTGTTCCCTGTATCCCGCAGGGCCTAGGGCCCAGCACAGAGCAGATGCCCAAGCCACTCTGGCCGAACGAATGAGCAGTGCTGAGTTTGGGGGTGTGGGCGATGATTATGACCCCATTTTACAGATGCAGAAATAGAGGTGCAGCTAAGTGACGGTCTTGGCCTTGGTCCCACAGTGAGGAAGCAGCAGAACCTAGACTCAGGCCCGTGTTTCTGGTCCCAGAGGCCAGACTCTTTCCAGGGCAGCTTGGTGGGAGGTGAGGTAGGGTGGGGTGGAGTGAGACTGGATCCTGGGAACCAGGAGGCCAGGGAGAGCTGGAGTTCGGACGGCCAAGTTCACGGAAAGCGCAGCTGGGGAGGAGCCAAGGTATTTATTATGCTTGGTCTCCAGTTCCAAACAGAGCTGATGGATGGAGCTGCTCCAGTTCCTATAAACAGCTCGGGCCTCCCTCTCCCCCACCCCGCCCTCCCCATTCTCAGCCACCACAGCCCAACTGTTTCCAGTGCGATAGGGGTGGGGGTGGGGGGAGATGACCAAGAAGAGAAGAATGGGAGACGAGGGGGAGCAAAGGAGGGGGGGAGGACAAAGATAAGACGGGGTCCTAGAGGCCTGAGGAAGCTGCAGGGAATGGAGGGTGGTCAGAGAGGATTCTTTGCCTCCCCACTGGCCCCTGCTGCCGTGGGCAGCCCACAGTCTGCATTCCCCTGTCCTCTCTGTGTCCCCTAGGTCTGTTCAAAAAGCCTCCTCACCACACTCTCTGAGGGCTTGTCTCAACTCCACAAGCTTCTGAGTCCTGGAAGACAGGGGCCATTCACTCAGAAAACCTTTTCTGAGCTGGCTTTAGTCTGTGTTGGCTCACAGGCCCTGGGGACAGATAGGACTCCAGGTAGGACCTCCCCCCAGGACCTCCTGGCCTGGTGGGTGGGTCAGGCAGACACCCAATGCTGAGGGCAGCCCAGACCTGTGGGCAGCTGGAGGAGAGAAATCCAGACAGTCTCCCCAGAGAAGGTGATGGAGGTGATACAGGCGAGGGTGGTGAAGGAGATTGTGCAGGTGGGTGGGGGGGTGAGCTGGTTCCGGCAGAGGAGGCGGGAGAGGTGCAGGAGGCAGTGCTGCCTAATGGTTAAGACTGCTGGCTCCAGAGTGGGACAGCCTGGGTTCAAGTCTCATCGCTGGAGCTCAGTTCTCTAAAATGAGGATGGTAACAGTAGAAATCTCTTCAACGGCTGTCAGAATTAAACATGACAATCCACATCCAGTGCTCAGCATGGGCCCGCCCGGAAGTGCTCAACAATGGCCATCTCTGAGCATGTTGTGAGAGGTGGCGGGAGAGAGATGGGCCTCATGGGCTCAGTGAACTGCCTGAAGGACAGGGGCACAGAACACAGACGGTGGGTCCCAGATCCTGGAGGATGTGGCCAGCCTGTGGGTCTGAGAGGGTGAGTTGCTGGCGCGTCCCGGGACCCGTTCCTGGTGGAGTGCCACGCCAGCGCATGGAACCCCAGGAGTTGGGCCCTGCACCTCAGGCTGACTGTGACCTGGGAGTGGCAGGGCCTCCCCTCTCCCTGCAAGCTAAGAGCTCGGGAAGCTGGATGTTCTGATGACCTAGTTGGCTGCTGTGTCCACGTTTGGCTGAAAACAGGAATTTCTGCCTCACCGGGGGTCTTGGCCAGGTGAGCAAACTCCCTGTTTGTCAGGAAAAGGGGTCAGGGGCCTGCTGGGCTCCCTGCTGGAGCAGAGGCCCGCAGACCCTAGGCGAGCTCAGCCCAAGCTCCTGCTTTCCCCTTAGGCCTTCACGGAGCACCTATCGTGTGCCAGGGGGTGGGGCTCTCTCCTTTCTCCCCCAGCCCTACCCCATGAAATAGGTGTTTAGAATTTCCCTTTGCAGACTGGGAGCCAGGAGCAGGAATGGGGAGGTGAGAGGGCACGGACCAGAGAAACGGAAGAATCTCCAGGAGGCAGAGCTGCCAACGCTGGGCCCAGGGGCTGCAGGGCCAAGGGGAGGGGTCCAGGCTGACTCGGGGTGGGCAGGAGAAGCATCACTGAGCAGGAGCTTGGGGGAGAGGCAGTCAGGGAAGGGAAGGGCAAAGGCGCAGTGCCAGGCTGCTGACAGGGCGAAATGGAAGGTGTGAGGGCCAGAGGAATAAGCACCCCCTGCTCTGCATGCTCTGCCCTGGCCTGTCACGCCTCTCAGTGCTCCCCTACCCAGGTGAGGCTGCTTCTGTCCCACACCCGACACTCACCCTCCAACTCCAAGCCAGGAACCAGGTGTGGTTTTCTTCCAAGTTCAACCTTGATCTGCAGCCTGGCTGATCACTGAATTCTCCAGTCCCTGGGGACCTTTAGCCCTCTACCTGGGAAGGCCTCTGGGTAGCAGAATTGGACTTTCAGGAGAGGTGGGGCTGGAGACAGAGATGTGGGCCATCAGAGCAATGGGGTGTTTACAGCAATGAGGCCATAGTGTTCCCAAGGGAAAAGGGCTTAGGATGGAGCCCTGGCCATCACCACTTAAAGCTGGCTCAAGGAAGATGAGCAAAGAGTGGCCTGAAAAGGAGTGGCCTGGGAGGGAGGAGATGGCTTCCTGTGTGGGATCACAGCTGTGGGGAGAGCATGCCCAGCAGGGGTATGGGTGGGGGGCCTGCTGCACAGGGCCTAGGGAGAGGAGGTCTGAAAAGCGTGCTGAGTTTGGCAAAGGATACCCTTGACGCTGTTAGCAAGGGCAGCATGGAGCTGGGAGGGGCTGAAGGCAGCTCCAGGCGGGTTGAGAACGGGAGGGGCGGGAAGGGAAGTGACTTTACCAAGAACCTGGCCTGTGAAGAGTGGGAGGACGAAGGGGAAAGTGGCTGAGGGGCTTCTCACTATTTTTAAGACGGACAAGACTTGAGTCCAGCTGAAGTCTGAGAGGAAGACGTAAACAGGGAGAGGCTGGAGGCAGAAGAGAGCATGACGGGGTAAGGGAGAGAGGACGGGGCTGGGGACCCCAAGGAGGAGGGGCAGTGCAGCCTCTGAGATAGGGCACAGAGGGCTGAGCACAGAGAAGGGGAGGGGGCCTGTAGCTGTAGCAGGAAGGAAACAAACGGAAGCCCTCAGCCTCTCAGCCCTGGGGTGGGGAGCACAGTCGCCTGTTGAGTGTGGGGCAAGAGGTGTAGCAGGGGCCATGCTAGTGGCTGCGGCTTCAAGGTCCAGGGTGGTGCTGGCCCAGAGTCTCAGTGTCCCCAGGGATTTGCCATGATGATTGAACGACCGTAATGGGATTGAGCGGCAGGGTTCTAGTGGACGCAATGAAGCGGATTGCAAAGAGGAAGCTGGCAGCCACACTGCTTCTCCAAAATTAGTTTTTAATACATTCAGGTAGGTTATACAAAGAGTTGGTCCCGAGGCCTGGGCTGAGGCCTGGGCCCTGGGAAGTGACAGCAGCCCTGTGTAGTGTTTTCAAAGATCAGGCGTGGGGACCCACACCTTGGCCTCCAGGCCTAAGGAGGAGTGTTACGTGCAGTAGCACCCGTGGGTGTGATCCCAACCAGGACTGGGTCTGCCTGGGTGCTCCACACACCACCAGGGCCTAGCCCTGGCTCTGCCCATTGACTCTCCCTTAACTTCCTCTGGGCCTTGGTGTTCTCCTCTGTAAAATGGGGTGGAGAGAGTGGCATTTTCACTTTCTCGCACATTACTGAGCCCACATCATGAGCCAGACTGTGGGCCAAGCACAGGTAAGATGATGAAGACAGCAAAACAAGGTCTTGAGTTGGTCCCAGCACGTCCATTCTTCCCAGACAGCTCATGACTCCATGGTATGAGGGATGGGGGTCATCTGGGTGAGGCTTTTTACCTGTTTTTGTAAGAGGGAAAAAAGATCCTTGCATGATGAGGCACAGAAAGGAAGTTTGGAGCCAGCATTATCTTGTGATGTGATAGCTGAGAGAGGACATCACTCTGGTCCAACCCCCAATCTCACCCCACAAATAAGGGCTCTTTTTTCCCCCAGAGGCTCTGTATAAGCTCTCCACAAGTTTCATTCTCTTCCTAAGCCTCAGTTTCCCCATCTGTGCAATGGGGAGGTTGGATTCCATAGTCTCAAACTCCAGGCTCTGCTCAATAGAGGAAAAGGGAATGAGAGAATGCAAGAGCACAGAGAGAACAGGAGAACCCACACCAGGGTGGAAAGGAAGGGAGGAGGGAAACAGGCAGAGAAGGAGGAGAGCGCCTGCAGCTGCCTGCCTGGGAGAGAGGAGAGAGCAGGTGTGCACAGCACAGGATGCTTCCAGACCCTGCTCGGGCTATGTGGGGCCACTTCCTGTCCACTTAACGGCCTGCAGCCCCTGCAGTGGTAAAGATCAGGCCCTGGAGACAGAAGGATGAAGGTTTGAATCTCACCTATGGCATTAGTTAGCTGGGGCCCTGGAAGGAGATTTTCAGAACTTCAGTTTCCTCTTTTATAAAACGGGGATAAAATATAGAGCTGTCACATAGGGGCAGACACAAGGCTTGGATTCAAATCCACATCTGCCAAGCTGGGTGCAAAACAGAACCAGATATCTAAGGTTTTAGCTCCTGGCTCAGCAGCCAAGGTGGGGCTGCGATGGAGAAGTGGGGCTGGGCAGGGACGGTGCTTAGAGCAGCACTGGGGTCAGGGTATGCAACATGAGAGTGCCAGGAAGGGAGAGGGCAAGTCCAGAGCAGGAGACGGAATGGTCCAGTGCTGGGCTGGACCCCTTAACCAGACCCTGCTGGAGCCGCCGTGGCCCACCTAACAACACCAGATCCGAGACACACTCGTACAGCTCCAATTCTCTCTTCTGGTCCTAAGCTTTTCATTTTCAGAGAGACTGAAAGTCATTCTCAGAAGACGTGACAAACAGTCTGCTTGGAAATGTCTCAGACAAATCCTCCTGGGCTTGGCCCTCCCTCACCCTGGCACAGCCGGGGCAGGACTCACCGCACCAAACCAGCGGGGCCTGCCGAGCTCTGGAGCCCTGGGCTTTCACACCTCAGGCCCTAAGCACACTGCGTGGCGGCCACGTGGCTCTGCAGCACTCTCTCCTACCAGACTGGGAGATTCTTGAGGGCGGGAATGTATCTCATTTCCCAGCATTCCCAGTGCCCAGAGCAGGGTGTGGCACAAAATACATGCTCAGTGAAGATTTGTTGATCTGACAGGTCAACATTATTCTCGGCTGTCCCTGAAACCGCCCAACTTCTGGCTTCCACAGCTGGACCCAAAGTGCAGCCCGGGAAGGGGGTCACCCACTGATGCAGCAGGCGGCAGAGAAAGGTGTCCTGGGCTGTAATTTGGAGACCAGAGTTCTGGGATCCCGGATCACTGTGTGACCTTGAGTCAGTCCTCACTCTTCTCTGTACCTCAGGCTCCCCCACTGACCTAGAGTGTCTCCCGGCTTCTTTAGGCTTTATACTGTTGGTTAAACTTCTGCCGGCGGACGCAGCAGCAGGCGGCCAGCGTGGTGAGGAGGATGGCAGAGACCAGTATGAAGGTGAGGATGATGATGAGGTTGATGTTCTTCAGTCCCCCCTTCTCACAGTCCTCGGGACGCACGTGGCTCAGGGACACCTCCTCCTGGGAGCTGAAGCGGCAGATCAGGTCCTGGGTGGCGTCCACGTCCACACGGCCCTGGTGCAGCTGGGCTGCCAGCCAGCCATTGCCGCAGCAGCTGAGTGGATTCCCCTGCAGGTAGAGGCGCCGGAGGCTGGTCTCCAGGCCACCCATGGCACTGCCTGGCAGGAGGCTGAAGCTGTTGTTTCGCAGGTCCAGCACCTCCAGTGACACAGCCTGTGTCCAGGCGGGAAGGTGGCTCAGGCGGTTCTCGGCAAGATTGAGCCGCTTGAGGCAGATGAAGCAGGGCAGGTCCACCTGCAGGACCATCAGCCCGTTGCCCTGCAGTGCCAGGACCTCCAAGGAGGCCTCCAGGCCTCCCAAGGCCCCCGTGGCCACCTCCAGCCCAGGATTGGAAGAAAGGTCCAGCTCAGTCAGTGGGGTGTGGAGGAAGGCCCCTGCCCTGAGCAGCTCTATCTCATTATCCACCAGGCTCAGGCTGCGGAGGGAGGTGATGCCGGAGAAGGCCACACAGCCGGAGGGGCCAGGCTCATCTGGCCCCCCACAGGGGCTGACTCGGTTCCCCTGCAGGTTGAGCCGCTGCAGGCTGGCCAGATTGGCAAAGGTGTATGGGGGCAGGTCCCGCAGGGCATTGCCCTGTAGGAGCAGCGTCCGCAGAGACCCCAGGGCTCTGGCGCCCAGTTCCAGTGTCTCCAGGGCATTGTGGCTTAAGTCAAGGAGCATCAGGCAGGGCAGGGAGCCTAAGCGCCGGGCCTCAAAGGTCCGCAAGCAGTTTCTGCTGAGGTTCAGGAAGCACAGGGAGGTCAGGTGCTCAAGAAAGCTGTCGGGGATGAGCTCAATCTCATTGTAGCTCAAATCCAGATTCAAGAGCTGGGAAAGGGGGCGGCCGCTGGCATTCCCGCTGGGGGCTGAGAGGGGCAGGGCTGACCAGCCCTCGGAAGGTGCGTGGATGCCCTTGCTGTCCTGGGGTGGCCCTGTGGGGAGCCGGATGAGGTTGTTGGACAAGTTCAGGTAGATGAGTCTCGGGAGCGCGGCCAGGTCGGGGAAATGGAGCAGTTTGTTCTCCCGCAGGTCAAGCCAGGTGAGCTGGAACTCAGCCTGGGGCTGGGAGGCCGTCTGAAAGGCCTCGATGCTGTTGCAGCTCAGGTCTAGCACCCGCAGCTGCTGGAGGCTGAAGTCGGAGATGCAGGTGAGGGAATTCCTGGAGAGGTTGAGATGGGTCAGGCGGGGCAGACCCTCGAAGGCGCCATCCTCGATGTCCATCAGCACGTTGCTATGCAGGTCAAGCTGCTCCAGCGCAGGCATGTCCCGGAAGGTGTGGCGGGTGAGGCGAGTCAGACTGTTCTCCGCCAGTGAGAGGGTATGCAGGCTGGGTGCCTCCCCCAGCAGCCGCTCCAGCAGGCCGCTGTACAGGCTGTTCCCAGACAGGTCCAGGGAGGTCACGCGTGGCAGGGGGCCCAGGCCACCAGCACTCAGCGCAGTGGCCATCGCCAGCCGGTTGTGAGCCAGGCTGAGGTGCTCCAGGTGGGTCAGGGCCTGGAAGGCTCCTGGCTGGAGGAAGCTGATCTCATTGGTGCTCAGGTCCAGGTGACGAAGTGCTGTGTAGAAGCCCAGGGGTGAGGCCAGGATACTCCGCAGCTGGTTCCCAGATAGATCAAGGGTCTCAGTGTCTGGCGGGAGCACCGAGGGGACCTGGAGCAGGCCCAGAACCTGGCACGAGACCTTCTTGTCCACCTGGGGAGGGGTAGGGTGGGGAGACAGCTGGCATAAGTGGGCACGGTAGGGGATGAAACCAGACATGTTTATCCAGGAACCCTGCCTGGCTGGGGAACCCTTCTCCCATGGACTCCCAGAATGCTCAACTTTCCCCCACCGCAGCCTGATCACCCCATGCCTGGATGACCCATCCGGCTCCCTGCCCCATCTCGGGCACCCAGCGCAGTAATGGGCATTAAGGAAGGAACTCGATGAAGGTTCCATGGGTGGACAGATGGAGAGATGATAGACAGATAGAAGGACAAATAAACTAACAAAGAGAAACCCTGTACTTATTATTACCCCTCTTACAGGAAACAGCCATATATCCCACAGAGTGACCCCAAGCCAGTGAGCAGCAGGGCAGAGCTGGGACCCAGGGCTCCTGATTCTATGTCCTAGGTCCCTTCTATGGGCACAGATAGTTAAATTTCTGGTGGTAGATGGGAATTTCTCCACTTTGGGAGAAATGTTTCCAAAAGGGAAAACTGTAATTTGTGCTCTGTCATCAGTTTTTATCTTGGCCTCCCTGCCTCAGACCTCATTCAGGCTCTCGTGTCATGGGCAGAGCCTGGGTCCTGGGGCCTGCCTTCCTTGTGGATGCTTCCGAGATGTGGCTTCCTCTCTGTTGCTGTTACCTCCTAGGAGGTGGCTTTCTTCCCAGGCTGGGTCAGGGGACCGGGCCCCTGGAGGTGGGAAGGGCCAGGGAAAAGATGGCCAGAGCCAAATCCACAGTCTTTGGTGATGAGACTGTGTTTGTGCTGTGCGACCTCCAGGAAGTCACATAACCACTCTGTTTTCTTACGTTCTTCCCCAGCAGCCACTCAGCATTTGACATCTTGGTTAATACTTTCAGGCCCATGGTCCCATTGGTCTTTACCACAGCCTGCCCATCTGATACGATCACCCCTATTTACAGAAATCTAGGCTCAGGGAGGGGAAGGGAGGTGCCAGGATTGCCCAGCTGGTGAGGAGCAGAGCTGGGATTTGAACCCAGGTTTTTTAACAACAAAAGGCCGAACTCTTGTTCTTCCACAGATGTGCCTTCTGGGACCAAAATTCTTCCTGTGCAAATGCAGGTCTCCCTCTTCTCTTCCAGGCCTCCAGGAACCCCAGCCTTTCCCAGAAAAAGGTCTGACTTCCACAATCACCGGGCTCAGGCTCACCGCCCCCAGCTTCTGTCTCCGCCAACCCGTTCTGACCCACTCACTGCTAAATGCCTGACAACTGCTCAAAAGCTCTACTCTGACAATGAGGCAGCTTGGCTTAAACTTCTCCACGGTGAAGTCCAGGATCCCCAGCAGGGCCTTCGAGGCTGTTTGTAGCCCCTGCCAACCTGTCCCCCACCTCCCACCCCAGCCCACATGCAGTGACCACAGCTGACCACTGCCCATCATGCGCTCCCACACCCACTGCTGGGGCCTGCTCCCTGAGCTGGTTATGCCATCCCCAACCAGATCCACACATGAACTCTTCACACTGAGCTTCAGGGCCTCCTCCACCAGGGAGCCCTCCCTGACTGTGCTTCCTCTCAGAGCTTTGCCCCGCTGAATTGTGGCTGTGTGTGTGAGGACCTGCTAGACAGCGAGCTCAGAGCAAACAGGGACTGGTTTGGTGGATGTGCATGCCTTGGACCTGACTAGCAAGTCAATTTTTCCTAATGAATGAGTCCCAGACATCATCAGTTTAGTAAAGGTCTGAGGCACTGAATCAATCACTTCTCTAGGAGGAAAGAAAATGCATAATTGATATTTTCAAAATATAGTCAAAGACGGGTAGAGCAAGAAGAGTTCAGCTGACCCACTTCCCAGATGTGAACACTGAGGCCTGAAGATGGCAGTGACTTGCGTGAATTCACAGTGAGCCAGTGGCTGAGCTGGTAGGGAGGGAACACAAGCCGGTGTGTTCCTCCCCTGGTCCAGCTCTGCGCTTCCTCCTGAGAGCCCCAAGGTGAGTAGGGGGAGGAAGAGACCTGCCCAGCCTCAGGCCTCCGTGTGGCTCTTCTTACTCCATGCAGCACAGTGACTCCATGTAGCCTCCAAGGGAGGCAGCTTCACAGGGGCCTCAGGAGGCCCAGGGATGCCCCGTCAGTTGGGCACCTGTGTGAACCTGAAACCTGCCCAGCTGCCTTGCCCATCCTTGCCCTTCCTCCCTCACAACCTCTCTGTCTGCAGGGGCCACTAAACATAGCCTCCTCCTCACAGCCCTTACCCCCTGGGGCATTCCTTACTTAAAGCAGAAACAACAAAATGACCTGTGATGGAGCCCCAGCTGTGTCAGGCTGCGTGCTGAGTGCAGAGACCCCCTACCCCATTAAATCTTCCCAGGCATTGTTCACCCTGTTCCTATTGTACCCCTAACGAAACTGAGGCTAAGGGGAGTGGGCTGCCCAAGATCAGACAGTCAGGGGCTCAAAACTCCCATTTGCAAATTCCTTTTCCTATTGGTGCCAGCCAAGTTCTGACCACTGGGCCCTCAGCTGGTCAGCACAGCAAAGAGCATCATGGACCCACTTACTGACTGTTACAGTGTGGGGGGCACCGTGCTGTGCCCCGCGTGTTACCCCCGGGCAAGTGCAGAGGCATACTGCCTCTGGATAGGCAAAGGCTCCCTGGGGCACCAGCCCCTGAGACTTGATCCAGGACACAAAGTTTGCCAAGCCCACAGCCCAAGACTGGCTTTCCATTCAGGGGCCCAAGACCCCTGCTCTAGAAGCCTGGGGGCCTGATGGTGGGCAGGGCTGCACTGGGATGCCCAGATCTCCAGTCCAGTCCAGGAAGAAGCTTGAAGTCCAGGGCGGTGCTCAGAGCTCCACTTCCAGGGTCTTCATGCCTCCTTCAGCTCTGAGCTCCCAGCATTGCCTGACTTACCGTCGGAGGGAATTGGAGGAATTGGCCCTTGACCAGAGTTTAGAGCTCCCACCCACTGTCCTGGGCTATCAGGACACCCACTGCCCAGCTTCCTTTTCAGAAGCAAAGACTTGCCATCCAACTCCATTTCACCACCTGATCATGGGAGGAAAGCAGAGTAGGGAGAGGCACCAGGCAGTGAACAGTGGCAAAGGCAGCTGGGTTCGAATCCTGTAGGTCCCTGGTGGGTCACACATCTTCTCCTTACTTCCCGTGTGTATTATTCCCATGCTGGTTCAGAAAGTGCTTTCCTATCTCTTATCTCATTTCCCCAGACTCCAAAATTCACCCGCTTCCCCTCTGCCTGTTGGGTAGTCAAGGACTTTCCCCTCTGAGCCTCGTCTCCCTGAGGTAGAATGTGCGTTTGTATTTGGTGACATCTGAGGCCTTCTCTGCCCGCAATTCTGGGCTCCGGGAATCTTAGAAGGGCTCTGAAGAGCAAGAAAGGTGGTGGCAACAGGAGACATTGCACCCCCAGGGAAGGGCTGCGGGCAGGCAGCTGCCTGCACTTCCTGCCTCCTGAAGCAGCTGCCGGTTCTGTGTCATAAGCTTCTTCGAGTCTCAGGTCCAAGAGGGGCTTCCGGAGGCCCTGCCCTTTCCCCAGCCAGGCTCTGGCCTCAGTGACTGCCCGGCCTTACAAGTGGATCTAGGTGTTCTCTTTGCCCTGTATCTCATAGAGTCACAAGAACTTTAGGGCTAGTTTCCCTGGCTTGGGACAGGAAAAAGGAATAGAAGCAAATCAAACTTGGTCCTTGCCCTAGGGAAGTTCATGGTCTGGCAGGTGAGACAGGCTTGGACCCTTTCACCAACCACCCCACATGTTCAGTCTTCTCAGTATTGAGATAGGGGGAAGCCTGGGGACCGCAGGAACCCAGAGGAAGGTGTGATCAGACTAGGCCAGCCTGGGAGGGGCTGGGGAGGCTTCCTGGAGATGGCAGCATTTGATCTGGGCACTAAGAAGTGAGAGGCACTCCAGCGGGCAGTCCCAAGTCAAGGAGCCCAGCTTGGAAGGGGATTTGTCTCCAAGAGGGATGAGCACAGAGGAGCCCCTCCCAGCTGGCCTACCCCAAATTCCCCACACATATATATATATTCTAGATCCCCTAGCTGGGCCTACTGCTCTGTGGGGACAGCTTGGGGGAATACAGTGTAATATCAGCCTCACTGTTCCCAGCTGAATGACCTTGGACAAGGCCCAATCTCTCCAAGCCTCAGTCTCCTCCTTTGCAAAATGAGAATAATGGTGCTTACCTGGCAGGACTGTGGGTAAATAAGGTGTTTAAACATTCTAGTAGGTGCTCATTAAATGCAAGGTACATTCCCTTTCCTCTCCTGACTCTTCTAACTTCTGGCTTCTGGGGCTGGGGCACTAGCACACCCTAGGGCAGGGAGGTGGGGGTGGTCCTCACCCTGTCTGGGCAGAGCATCTTACCATCTTACAGGGCACTTTGTCTTGGTGTTGTGCAGCCAGGCCTAGGGTCAGCAGGGCCAGGAGCAGCAGGATCTGGGGTCTCATGGCTCTGTGTAAGGCGGAGAGGAAAGGGGAACACTGTAAGCCCACTGGCTCCTTCCCACTGCCAGCCCCCACTCCCACCCATTCTGTGCCTGCCCTCAGGGAACCCCAGAGCACGGCTGGAGCTGGAATAAAGATGCTTTGAGCAGGGCAGAGAGCCAGGTGGGAAATGGGCCTGCAGCCCATCATAGTAGGCCTCTCACCCAGGCCAAGGAGCCGCCCATTACCCAGGGGAAGCAAGAGTTTTAAGCGGCAGGTGACTTGGTCAGACGGGGGTTTTCAAGAGACCCCACCTGGCGGAAGACAGCCTGGAGGGGATGCACAGAAGGCTGACAGACCCTAAGGGTTACCCTAGGCCATGCTCAGGGCCAGGGACTGGGGGCATGGAGATGTAGAGGGGGTTTGGAGGGTGGGCCTCTGACTACATTTCCACCCAGGCCACACAAGTCCTCCGTACCAGCTCTTCAGTCCCCACATGCAATTCCTCGTTTTCTGCCCACTCCCCCACCTTTATTTTGCCCTTTTCCTTTTGATTCTCTGATTCTCGAGCCCTTGCCATTGTTCAAGGGCTGGGCCCGGGCCTTGGCAGGAAGTCCCACAGGAGGCCTGGCTGCCCCGGCACTGCTCTGCGGACTTCCCCAGGAGCAGCCTGGCAGGCCCTGTACTTTCACTGAAGCCACACTCCGGCCTCCTGGGCCAGCCCTTCCCTCTAAGAGCAGCCAGGGGTGGGGCTAAGGGGACCGCACAGGCCCTTAGCAGGGTTAAATCCCAGTGCTGCTGGAGGCTCACTCACTCCCTCACTAAGGACATCAGCCAAGTGCTAGGGATGTACAAATCCACCCATGAATTTCATTCATTCATTCACACCTTTACTGAATACCTCCTCATGTCTGGCTCTGTGCTGGGAACTGGGAACTCAAAAAACAAATGAACACGAAAAAGAAGTGACAGTGACGGTGATACAGACAGAGAGTCTTAAAGAGGGACACAGAAAGCCTTCCAAGAGCACCAGGCGCACAGTCACCCACATCTGACTGCTCCCTCTTGTCTCCTCTACCTTTCTGCTGTGTGATCTTACAAGTCGCTTCACCTCTCTGAGCCTCAGTCTCCTCATTTGAGGTTAATGGCAGCCATGCCAAGTTTTTGTTGAGAATCAAACGAGATGCCACCTACAGAGCCTCCATTATGCAGTAGGCCCTCTCCTCAGCACTTTCTAGGCATGAACTCATTCCATCCTCACAAAAATTCAATGACTTGGTTCCATCATCATTTTACAGAAGGGAAAAAGAAGTCTCAGAGAGCTTAGGTACTATGCCCGAGGTCACACGGTGAACAAGCCACCGGCCCAGGTGAGTCTGGCTCCTGGGTCTGTGCCCTTCAAATCCACACTCCCAGGCCTCCCACAGTGGGTGCTCCCTCAGTGAGTGCTGAACCGCGATTCTGAAGGATGCTGCAGGAGAAAAGGCATTCACAGGGCATTTGAGGGCAGTGTCTTTGACTGTTGGAACCCGCTAGTGATGAGCTATGGACGAAGATGGCTGCTCTGAATCCCATCTCTCTTGAAGGCGCACAGACCACAGCCGGACCCGGTAAACCCTATTCCCTGGCTCCCCTCAGGGCCACAGGCGCTGCCCCTGCAGCTGCTCTGCTCTCACCTGCATTACAGGTTGTGCTTTCACAGGAAACTTTGTTCTGCTGTTTAAAAAGCAGAACGCCACCGCCCGTTAGAAAGTTAGCATATTCAGAACTGAGTGAAAACCCCTCCGGCAGGGCCTTCCAGGCCACTGGGGAGCATGCCCTGCCTGGCCAGCTCTGCTCTCCAGCCTGCTTCCCCGGTGTCCCCTCTCACATTCTGGGTTCTGGACACCTCATATTTCCTTCAGTTCCCTGAGCAGATTTTCACTGCCCCAAACCTTCACTTTCTCCCCTCTCCTCTTCTGCTAAAGACCTCCTCATCCTTGGGGTCCCAGCTTAGATGGGCCAAGAGGCCTTCTTTGGTTCCCCAAGTCTGGACTATGTCCTCCAGTCCTCCCAGAGCCCCTGAGCTTCCAGTGAGCACAGCACCAAGCCCTCCGTGGCTACTGGGCCCCACCCCCTCCCATGGGAAGTGCCCCTAGAGAGGGGCTCACCATCCTTTAAGATGCATCTCACAGCACACAACAGGTCAGCAGCGGACAGAAAACCGACACTAGGAGTCTCGGTGACATGGGGTCGTTACTGAGAGCAGTTCTCCTTGGCTCTCCCTTCACCTCTCTGCAACGTTCCCTTCACCCATCCATGCCGTCAGTGGGCTCTGACTGCTCTCCCTGAAAGAGACCCCGGATCTTCCTACTTCCCTCTTATCACTGCCACAGACCGAGACGCCACCCCAATCCTGGCCTTGACCACAGCACCCTGACCTCTTATAATCTGTCCTGTACCTAGCAGCCAGAGTGATAATATAAAATCATCTGTCAGATCCTAAACCTCTTCTGTTTGAAAATCTCCAAGAAAATCCAGGCTATCCACAGTCTCCTCTCTGACTCTTGCCCATTTTCCCTTCCCTCACCACATTCCAGCTTTCCTGCTGTTCCTTCAACACAGCAAATTCATTCCTGCCACAGGGCCTTTGCTCCTGCAGTTTCCTCTCCCTGAATGCTCTTCCTCAGCTCCTCACACATGTCATTGTTTTCCCACATTTATCATTTCCTCATCATTTATTTCTTATCATGTGGGAACAGGGGCCTACTAAGTAGGTACTCACTAAAGACTAGTGAACAAGTGGCAAAATCAGGGCAGAAGCTCAGCTGCAGTGGACTGAGTGGTGAGTGCCAGGTGAGGACAAGGAAGGGTCCTAGGCCCTTATTTCCCCTTCCTCTGCCAAACCCCACTCTATCCCCAAGGTGGCCCTGTGCACATCCAGAAGGGATCGTCCCTGCAGCACATGGGCACTCTGTCCTGGCATCTGACGGGAAGGGCCCCTCAGCTGTGGGCCCTCCTCAGTGGTGCCCAAGTACAGGGTGTAGCATTTAAAGACTACTCTCTCTCAAAAAGGAGGACGGTGTCACTTAGACCCAGGCTTGCATCCAAAGCCCACCACTCACCAGCTCTGCTCCCTAAGGTAAGTCCCTTCCTTTCTTGGTGCCCCAGTGTCCTGTCTGCAGGGTAGGCAGCTGGGTTCCAGTTCTGCCACTGGCCAACCCCAACTATTGTGATGATCAGGCAAAGAATGGTGGCGAAGGTGCCCTGCATCCTCACTGTCCTTCCCAGCTGACACAGTGACCCTCGCAGGGCTGAGCATCCCAGGTGAGGTGTGCTCAGTGGGGAGGCCCCAAGCCTGCAGACAAGTGGCCTGGGCAAGAGGAGGCAGGAGAGTCGGACTCTCAGGAGTCCAACTCAGAAAAGTGCCAAAGAATGTGTGTGTGTGTGTGTGTGTGTGTGTGTGTGTGTGTGTGTGAGAGAGAGAGAGAGAGTGAGAGAGAAAGAGCAGGGGTACGGGGGGCAATGACTACTACCACAATAAGCCCACCCCTACATTTAAGGATGTTAGTCTTCTAAGCACTTGACCTATATCATCTCATTTAATTCTCACAATCACCTATTGAGGAAATTACTGTAATTCCCATTTTACGGATGAGAAAACAGTTTCCGGAAAGTGAAGTGACTTACCCCCAGAGTTACCCAGCTCATAAGGGCTTTGGAGCTGGGATTTATCCAGTTCTACATGACCTGAATACTGTGTTTTCTCCAGCACATGCTGAGCCGACTGCCCCCAATAGAACTGTCTTTTTTTTGCCCATGAAGAAAAGGAGGCTCAGAGAAGTGACTTACCCAAAGTCACACAAGGAGAAAATAGCAGGGTCACGATCAGAATCCAGTTCATCTGTCTCCAAAGCAAATGTTCCCACTATACCAAATCAAGGTCTCCTTCCCTAAGCCCTGCCAACGACCCCTCACACGCAGGAGCAGGGCAGACTAGCTCACAGTCTGGCCTCTGAGGTCCTCTCTCCCTCCTCTCGGCCTCAGCTGACTTACTGGCAGAGTGGGGTCCTGGGAGAGCTGCTGCGGACGTTCCTGTCAAGCAGTGAATCACTAAGGGCAAGCCTCGTTCTGGAGACATGTGCATCCCACGGGGGAATTAGACCTTAACCCAAAGGAATGTGGCTGTGATGGCGGAATTTCAGGCAGCTCGGCGTGGGGGTGGGGGCCCCTCACATCTTACCACCCATGAAGAAGGCTGGGTTCAGAGCCCCTTGGAGAGCGGTGGGTGCCCCCTACCCCACTACGAGAAATGGGCAGGCCATCTAGTGCTGTGGGATGGGCAGCCCCACGCCTGGCTGGGATCGGAGCGTTGCAGGAAACCTGAATTCAAATTCCGGTTTGCCCTTGCCTAGCTGTGTGTTCCTGGGCAAGTCACGGTCTTCAGGCCATTGTTTTCCCAGCTGTCAAATGGGAAGGCCGGCCTCACCCCTTTGCGGGAAAGATCCGCCAAGACAGGAGCGCTGGGGAACTCCCAGGGACCGAGGGAGGGTCAGCCCCGGCTCCACGCGCGCAGTGGGGATGGCGGGAGGGGAGTGTTTGGGGGGCGTCCCTTGGGACCAGCCCCCGCCTTGCGCTCGCTAGAGGCGCGCGACAGTGCGCCCCCCGAGGGCCGGCCAGCCTCGCCTGCCCGGCGGCTCCTACCTGGCTCAGCGCGGCCGCAGCTCCTCTCCCGGGCAGTCTCGGCACATTTTGCGCAAACCCGCCCCCGGGTCCCACCCCGCGCCAGACCCCGGGGTCACGGCCCGAGGAGGAGCAGGCCGCTCAGCTGCCCCACCGGAGCCCCCGCGCTCCGGCTGCAATTTAAATACCTCTCCCGCCGGCCCGCCCCGCCACGCCCCCCTCTGGCGAGGCCGTGGGGTCCTAGCGCCTGGCCCCGTGCCTCGGTTTATCCGGAGCCGGCGGGGGCGGAGTGGGGTGGGGCGGCGAAGCATCTTCACCACCCTGGGACCTCGGCCGGGAAGGGGCGGGGGCCCAGTGTGGGGGGATGAGAGGGCGGGAGGGAGAGGGGTTGCAGAGGAAGCGCCGTGGGAGCGAGGCCCATCCCAGCGGCCGCCGCACGTGCAGTTCGCGGCCCCGCGGGGTCCGGAGGGGGGCGCGGTGGCTCTAGGAGCCGCAGGTCCACAGAGGAAATCCGGCCTGGCCCCGATTTCCCAGCTGCTGGCGCCGCCGCACTTAACGCGGGGGCAAACAGGCGAGGTGACGGCGGGGCTGAATGCGGAAGGAAATGACCCTTCGCTGGCCCTGGGGCGGCCGCGGAGGGGGTTCCCCGCACCAAGCCGTCCACTCTGGTGGGTCCTGGCAGGTCACTTTTCCTCTCCGGATTGTGCTCTAGTGTCTGGACCCGTACTCCTCCATCATCTGCGGGACCCTTCAACAGCCTGTGAAACGGCACCATCAAAGTCCTGTTTTCGGATGGAGAAGCTGAGGCTAGGGGTGGGGGCAGTGTGTACACATGAAAACCAATTGTCTGAGACTAGTAAGGTCCCTATTTATAGCTGGGGAACCTGAGGCTCAGAAAAGGTTAAATGGCGTGTCCAAAGTCAACACAGCTAATAAGAATCAGTGATTTGAGCCCAATCTGTTCATAAAGCTAAGTCTGATTCAGTTTGGGCATTATCTTGCCCGAATTTTTAAAGTACTGTGCAAATATGGGGTGGCGGTATTGTCATTTAGATTGGAGGTTGAAGCAGATCTTTCCCAAAGCCACCTCTCTTCTAGATGCCTTGACCCTACCAAATCACAGGTACCCTGCCTTGCTGCCTGTGGACTCTAGTATGCGGGTCCCTAGAAGAGAGGGGCCCTGGCTGTCCTCCAGGTCCTGGTTCCAAGTGTAGAAGGGGCCTCTTCCACAGTGTTTCTCTTCCCTGATCGTCACCAGCCCTGAGAGTGGGGCAGGGTGCCCCATTTTACATGCATGAAAGTGACCACCCAGGGCCTTGTGGCAAATCAGGGTAAGGCTGGGCTCAGAAGCGGGATTCCCTGAAGTCTCTACAGTTACTGCCTTTTCTTACCCCTGTTCAGTCCACTGTGGAGATGGATCTGGGGAGATGGGGTCAACCCAGAGAGGACAAGCCATGATAGCAGGTGCCATAGGGGCCTGACCTAGTCTTAGAAGAGGAAATCAGGGAAGGCTTCCCTAAGGAGGAGGCCTGAGCTGCAGTGAGGGGATGGGCAGGAGGTGCAGGTAAGGAATCTCTCAGCAGGGCCTGCGAAGGGTATCCAAACCTCTTTCCCTTCCCTCCCAGCCACCCAAGGCCTCAGATCTATGTCCACAGGGTCCTAGCTGGTCCATCCAGCCCCCTCTCTGGTCTCTAGTGCTCCATTTGGTCAAATGGAACCTCAGTGCCCCTATCTGTAAAGTGGGAAAGATAGTAGCTACTACTTGGAGTTGGTGCTAGAACTAAGTGCAATGGATCCAGCTGGAGCCTGCACCCAGTGGTTGTTAGGCAACTTCTCACTGCCTTTATTGTGGCAGTTGGTGGATACTCCTATATCCTGTGGGCTTCCTTTTCCAGGTCCCTGTCCAAGGGGCCAAATGTTCAGGAAAGTGCTTTGAAGCTGCCCTGCAGTATGAGCAGAGTGACTGGATCATTCGGGCAGTTCCTGGCCTTGTGTATCAGACCAGCTCCCAGCCATCCAGACCCAGGCTCGCTGAGCACTGCCTCACCCTTCCCGGAGCTGCTACCAAGCAGAAATCACTGGGCCATGGCAGAGCTTCTGCTAGGGCCCAGGAGGGCGGGGCTGGGGCTATGGTGGGCTGGGGGTGAGTGCCCCACCTCCCACTCCCCCGCCCCCAGAGGCTGTGGTTGTGGTTAGTCAGCTCGTGGGGTTCCACCTTACTCAGTGCCCGGATGGGGCTCCCCCACATTTGAGGCAGATGGGCAACCAAGCGTGCCCACCTGCTGCAGATGCCTCTGGGGACCAGGGGCTAAAAGCCGGGAAGCCCACAGGCTCAGCGCCCCTTCCTTCATCTCTTCACTTCTTTGGCAGTCATGTTGTTGTGTGACTTTTGGCAGGTTGCTCAGCCTTCCTGACCTTGGTTTGCTGACCTGCAAAGTGAAACTAATTACAGTACCGGGTGTATGAGGATGGCCTGTAATGACACGTGTGAAGTTCCTGGTCGCGGGGGCCTTTGCTCAGTAAACATGACCTCTCTCCTCTGGTGGGCCCAGGACAGTTGCTGAATAAAAATGCCCAATGCCTACTTTTTTGGAGCTCCCAGGCCAGATGAGAGACAGATGAGAGCACAGAGGATGATTGAGTCCAGAGGCCTTGAAGGCCAAGTCTAGGAGGCAGAGCTTGAGTCTGCAGGAGGAGGAGTGGGTGGAAACTGAGCAGACTCAGGCTTGCCTTGCAGCCATGTGGAGGGTCTTTTAAAGGCCACCAAGTCCAACTTCCCATCCAGTGTCACTTAGCTTCTGCTGGCACACCTCCAGAAATGGGGAGTTCTCCTGGGCAGCCCATCAGCAGACAGCTCAGTCTTCATGGTGTTGATATTTTTGTGGAAATGCTTCCATTCCTTCATGCATTGTCAGTGAAAATATAAGAGATGCATCTCTTCCTGTGTCCTCGGGACTACCATTCTGTAATGAAAAAACCCACTCGGGCACCAAGTCAGGCTCAAAGCTCCCTGGGAGGATTTCACCTCAGGCCAGATTGAAACCTGAGGGTCCTACGCAGGAGCAAGTGGCCCAGAAAGGTGATGATGTGCACATCCTGTGTGACCTTGGACAAGCTGCTAAAACTCTCTGAGCCTTGCTGTCCTGATCTAACTGTAGAGCCAGAGTGGAAAGGACCATGGCACCCTAGACTGACAATTTAGTCTCCACTGCTGTTTGCTGAACCCTCACTGTGGGTCAGTCCTTCATCTCATGTGGCAAATGAGAGTAAAGACAGCCATAGACAGCCTTCCAGTTAGGTGTCTTTATTCTCAATGACTGACCAGGAAACTCAGAGACCTTTATTCTCAATTACTGACCAGGCTCAGAGAGGTTAAGCAACTGCCTAAAGTCACACAGCACAGCTATGGAGCCAGTAATTGAACCGAGGTCTTCTGATTTTCAGGCCAGGTCTCAGTGCAGAGATGTGGCTGTCCTCACTCCCTGCTTCTGCCCAGCACCCACATGGGCCCCTGAGAGTCTGGGAGTTCCCTCACGAGCCCCTTCTGGGCCCTGCCTTCTAGGGCAGAACCCTGGGTTCCCCAGTTCTTCCCCTGACTCCCCTCCCTTTCTCCCTAGGGCAAATGGACTCAGGCCACACCAGCTCTAGGCCACCTCCTGGAGGGGCAGGAGGATGTTATGAATGGCCCAGTGGTGGGGAGTAGCTGGTCTCTTGAGTGGGAATATCAAGGGCTTGCAGGACCAGGCCTGGGGCCAGGTTCTTTACTTATCCCCTGCCCATAGCCATCTGACGAGGGGAGGCCTATCTCTGCCCCCCTTTTACAGAAGAGAGATGAAGCCTGCAGGGACTCTATGACTTGCTGGTGGTCACACAGCAGACACAGTGGGCATGCCCATCCAAGTCCTCAGGCTCCAAGTCCTCATTCGTGGCCAGAGAATGAGGACTTACTCTGCGGGTTTTCTGTTCTTGATGGAGGCACAAGGCACCCCCTCATGGCAGCACTTAGCGTTACCAAGGCAGGGGAAGCAGGTGCTGGTGAGACCCCATATACCCCGCAGCCACCACACGAAAGGCTCCTGGTTCAGAGTCCCGTCAGTGACTACTGTGACTGAAGGGACTGGAGGCTCCCAGAGGCCCCAAGGGAGTTGGGGGGATGGACCAGGCAGGGCAGGATCAGAAGTGTCTCCACAACCTGATGCTGTGCTGAGCTGTGGACCATGAAACCGCAGCTTTCTGCAGCACCAGGCTGCTGGGAACCCGAGGTCTTGTGCCTTTGAGCCATGCAACTTTTTCCTCTGTTTTAACTGCTTAAAGGTTAAACCTGATGTACCCTTTTCTTGATGATCCAGTGTTTATCACTTTGGGCTTTGGTTATGGTCTGTGAGGTCACAAAGTGTCATCTCCAAGGTACTAAAAACAGCAACGAGCCAAGGCCAGGATGAGGTGGCTGCAAACACATGAGCTCCTAAAAGCACCACTCACAGGAGCCGGGTGCTGGCATAGAGGAGGAGAGGTGGCCATAAATTTCAGAGAATCTTCCCAGCCTCCTCTAATCCCATGCCAAGAAATATGACAGATTCTAGGCCCAGAGAGGGTGAGGACGTGGCCCGAGGTCACACAGTGGGCCGAAGGTCTTATTCTCCTCCTCCACTTTCTTCCACAGGCCTCACGTGGGGTGCTCCTGGGTTCACACAGCAACCTCTTCAGAGGTCTAGCCCAGTTCTTCTCAAGCTTTGGCAAGCATCAGAATCCCTGAGGACTGGCTAAATAGATTGCCAGGCCCCATCCCAGAGAGTCTGGTTCAGTAGGTCAGAGGTGGGGCCCGGAATCTGCACCTCCAGCAAACCCTCAGTGGCGCTGATGCTGCCAGTCCTCAGACCACCCTTTGAGACGCACTGCTCCAGGGAAGTACCGTGATGATGAGGGGCAGGCAGGCTCTGCGGTGGGGCTCGGGGCAGGCCCTGGCCCCTGCTGTCATAGTTGCCCAGCTTTCACCTATGAAGTGGAGATAACGCCAGCCCCTCCCTCACTGCATCGCAGAAATGAAGGAATGAAATGTAAAGGTTATGGTTAACAGGATTATTAATCTTTCTTACTGTGAGTAATTTCAAGTCGGGAAGGGTATAGGCTGGGCCAGGCAGCTTTCTAATGCAGCTGTCATATTGCAAGCCATTCAATCCTTAACTACACCCAAGAAGGTAGATATTATTATTATTATTATTATTATTAGCAGCAGCTCCATTTTGCAGATGACACATGAGGAAATGCAGCAAGGATGAGTAATTAACTTAAGCTTGCACAGCCAGTACAGGTGAGTCCAGGCAGTGGGGCTCCAGCGCCTACCCACTGAATACTCGATCATTTCGTCACTTGAAGGAGCATTAATGAGCCCAAAGAGCAAATTATCTAAACATTCTGTGTGTAGTTGTGTTCCCCCTCCCATCTTAGGTGGGGTGAGGAGGGGACTGAGAAGGGCAGAACGGAGGAAGAGAAGCAACCTGGGTTTAGGAGAGAGACCCACCCGCATTCCCATCCTCGCTGCGCCACTCACTGCTGTGTAACTTTGGGCTGGTGGCCTCACCTCTGAACCCAGTAGAGTGAGGGCAGCCATGGACAATGGACCACTAGGGCAGTTTGAAGGGTGAGTGCGTTTGTATTAAGCTGTTCCTCACCAGTCAATGGCACAGCTTGCGGTGCTCCCTGCCCCGGTCAGCATTTGAGGGTTTTGGCAGCAGCTATGGTCTTTGTGCTGGTTTGTTTCAGGGAGAGAGAAGTGGTTTTCAAGCTTTCCCTGGCTGTGGTCAGGGGATGTAGGGAGGAAACCTGCCTAGAATGTAGCTGTGGCTGCCCCTCAGGGACAGTATGGGTAGGCAGCATGAGGGTACAGCGTTCCTCAGGGGGGCAGGTGGAAGCCCTCAAGGGGCAAGTGAGGGGGCGAAGGCCTGGGCACACCCAGTTGTCACTGGGACAGGGTCTTCTTAGGCACAGGTCACAGAGCCCCCATCTTGTCCTAGTCATGTTGCCAGCTTCCTCATGACCATAGGATCTTCCTAGAGTCCTTCAAGTATTATCCATTGAGGGGAAGCTGAGGCTCTACAGGGGCAAGGAGGAGGCAAGAGGGGGCTGCCCTCTCTGCTACATTGGATTTTCACCCCCTTCCCCTATGACATTTTTCCACCTGCTGATGAGAGCCACATGCACTCGCCCCACAGACATAGTGCACCTGCAACAACAGCCCAGCCACAGCCACACACACATCCTTCATATGCACCCTCAGAGGCAACATGAGATGCACAGGGCCACGACTCACGAAAGCAACAAGCATGCATCGACCTCATACACGAATTTCACGTAGGCACACACACGATTCACAAACATTCAGACATTTCAGAGACGCCCTCAAAAGTCACACAGTCACCACACATGGTTACATACATCCTGCACAAATCCAACTCTCAATTAAACACATGTGCAAAACACAACACAAACATGTACATTGAGCATACACCGTGTACACACACTATATCCATACATCCTACACGAACACCACACTCACAAACATACCAGACACATTGCACACAAACACAGCTCACATCCAGTATGTACAATAAAGACTTAAAATACCAAGGCTCCCCAAACCCAGTGCACACACAGCAGAGAGCACAGATAAGCCTCTCGTCTGTGTGCATGGACGTGCACACACGCACACACGTGAGCATGCCTGTACACACAGGCACAGGTGCACATGGTCATGGGAACTAGGCTGTCATCTCGCGTGGCTTGTGACTCTGATTTTTCTCAGAAGCAGACCACACATAAGTCAAGTGGCTTCCACTAGGGCTGGTTTCCTGAAGTGAAAAAGGAAAGGAGGGGAAAGGACATAGTTTGGGCTAAATTAGTCAGACAGACTCCTTTGGCCTCCCAGGAATCTCATAATTAATCCAGCTGGGATGCTGTGAGCTTCAGGCCCTGGGAGCTGGGCTGGGGCTTCAGAATGCAGAGTACTGCATCCTGTCTCCTGAGGGATGGATGCCAGGCCTTGTCCCCAAGCCAATCCCTCTGAAGGTCTGGAAGCTTAAAAAGGGGTTATGTGGCCTCAGGGCTGCCACTCCCTGACCTCTTCTAGGCTGTGTGACTTCAGCCTGCTTGCTGGTTTTTCTCTCCTGTGGTGCTGGGGTCAGGAGACCCGGATTTGAGGCCTGAACCTGACTCCCAAAACCAAACTTGCCTCTGCTGGCATCAGTGACCACCTGGCCTCCTGGTGGATGGGCTGTGCTTCCTGCTGGCAGAGGCAGCACCTGCCTCCTGGGGAACATTCTGGGCAAGCCCTCTTGTACACGCCCCTGTTTCACAAGCCCCTTCTGGGTCTTCCAGGTTCCCTTCAGCTGTGGCCCCCTCCTCTCATCTCCTCCTAGCCAGACCCACAAGGGAGCTACCTGCAAGAAAGCCACTCTTGCTGCCTCCATTGCCTCCACTCTCCACCTGTCTCCAGCCCCTCATTCCAGCAAGCACATCCATGGCAGAACTGCTGTGGCCGGACCGAGGGACAGTGTCCACGTCCCTTGGCTATGTTCTTCACAGCTTCCCCTCCTCCTTTAATGGCCTTCTTCCCGTGGCACCTTGGAACACCCCCTCCTGGCCCTCCTCTCTCCTCTCTTGCATCTCCTTCAGGATCCTGCTGCGGGCCCTTCTCTTCCTCCTCCACCTGATTTCTAAAGGTGGAAGCTCCCGGCTCTCACTCCCTCTTCGGCCTGGCGTTTTCTCCCCTGGCCCTTTCCCCAGGGCTGCTTCCTGGCCCAGGATCTCTTTTCCCGCTCATCCACTCAGGCCCCACATGGCAGCAAGATGGAGTCTCTCCAAAACACAGGTTTGACCAGGTCACCCTCCTGCTTAAAAGCCTTTGATGGCCCAGGGCGTCTGAGTCCACGTCACACTTCCCGTTTTCCTGTCTCTTTCACCACACATTGGGGCCAGGTTCTATATCACGAACCCACATACATCCTCCACCATCTCCTCTCCCCTTTCTTGCTCTCCCTAGCTGTGCCCAGTTAGCTCTATCAAAGTCCCTCTCCCTCTCTCTTTCTCCTGCCTCTCCCTCCCCCTCTCTCTCTTCCTTCCCATCTATCTCTCCCTCTTTCACCTGATTTAGAGTTACCAGAGGTGAGGGCTGCAGAAACTACCTTGTGGGGTTTCCATGCCATTAAAAGGAAAAAAAAAGCCGAGCCTCCAGTTCAAAAAGCTCTTCATTTCCCTGCTACATAAGTCCAAGAGGCCAAGTGAGAGGGCATGGTGGCTGTGGGAAGAAACAGCCCTCCAGTGGGCTTCCCCAGGCGGGTGGCCAGAGTTCATTAGTTTCTCCGCCTTTTCATTCTTCCGTGTCCCACCTACCCTGCAAGTTCTGACCTTGACCTGGGCCCATAGCACACTCTGGCATCTGCCCCCTCAACTCTTCCATCCACATCCAGAGACCTGGCTGCTGGCCTTGGCTTCACCTGGCCTCACCTGCCCCGTCCTCTGCACCCTACTCCAGCTCCATTCGCTGGGCCCTACCTTGCAGCTGGTGACCTTGTCTGAGTCACCTTTTTCCATATAGTATTTGGCTGGGGCCCATAAGGCCACCAGGGTGGTGCAGGTGGTGGGGGCTTTGGAGTTGAGGTCCAGTTCTGCCACTGGCTTGCTGGGTGACCTTGGACTGAGTCTCAGTAGCTGCATCGAAAATAGAGAATAATCTTTGCCTTGCATGATGGAAGTGAGAGGTACATTGCAGATATTCCATCCACATTAGTTCCTTCTTTCTAGTGAAATAAAGACCCTCCCATGGGCTGCCCACAGGGGAAGCCTTGGAGTCAGTGCCTGGGGAGACCTGAGCCACCCCTTTAAAGGGTTCCTGGACCTTGGACCAGTCTTGTAGTTGTTCTTTGGGTAACCACCAATGAATAAGGAAGCTGAGGCTGGGTGCTGGTGGGCTGGGGACAACACGGAGATTTGGGGATGAGGGGTGATGGGAAAAGGATGGAGAAAGGTGAAGCAGCTGCCAGGGAAGGGACTCCGGGAAGGAGAACTGAGGCTTTAAAAAGTTCATGAAGTTTGGCTGCGTGGTGAGCCATGATGCGTTGTCTTCTCTGGCTCCCAGGAATTCTTCACCAACTCTCCATTTCTCATAGTTGCACTGGGGAGTTGGATGTGGTTTTAGTTTCTGTCAAAGTGAAGAGTGTGGGCTCAAGGTGAACACATGGGAAGAACAGAGACTGCCCTCATGGCCAGCTCCCACCAGCCCATGTCTGTAATAACAATTCTGAAAATATGCTGAGACGATATTGTGATGTTCCTCAAGCTGGAAGGATTTTGTACCCGGACACAATAGTGATGGGGAAGGTTATCTCCAGGCCACTGGCTCCAGGCCTTAATGGGTAAATATAACTACTAAAAGGAATACTTTTTAGAATAAAAACTCTCTAGGTTGAAACTGGGGGTCAGAGGGATTTGGAAGGACAAGACGGGCCAGGGCATAGGGATAGAAAGGGGCTGGGCAGCCAGGGGAGAGAGCTGGCAGGGCCAGCTGGCAGGAGCTCCTCAGCAAAGGCCCTTGGTCATCAGTAGTGCACACTTGCTAAGTCGAAAAGTGACGTCGCAAGGTCTGCGTTGCAGGTAGATTAGGGGTGGGAATAGAGGCAAGAGAGCAGCATGAAGCCTGGTGCCCTTGTTGTGGACCGAAGTCGGAGACCATCGTGGCAGGCCGCACAGGACTTGATGACTGATTGTGGAGGTGGTGGAGAGCTGTCATGAGAAGGACAGGGAAGAGAGGGCCATCACCCATTTCTGCACCAGGAGACCAGGCAGAGCAGTCAGGGTAATTTGTGGCTCACGGGGAAATGTCCACAGATCAGAGATGCTTCTCCTGTCTGTAGATGGGGCAGTCACAACTGCCTCCCAGGAGAGAGTGTGATAGGCCACAGGAGCCAGCATCCAGGCAAGAATGGTATACGATGATCGCCTATGCGTTATGTCATAGAAAATGTTAGTGTCTGGAGGCTGGACACATCCTGGACACACGCCAACTTGGGCCAGGCCTTTCCGGTGGGGACAGGACCCTGAGATCTGCTGTTTCACGATGCACAGGGGCCAGGTTCCATATCCTGGAGCCCACACTCTGCACTTGACAGAGCCAAAAACCACATCCAGCTCCCCAGTGCGCCAGTGAGAAATGGAGAGTTGTTGAAGAACTCTCTTTGTGCTTCAGTCATTCAGGGAAGTTTCCCACGTGGGACTCCTCCGTGGGGTGCCCCATCACTCCATGTATCCCCCTCCTCCCTCTCCCTGCTGGGCAGCGGAGCCCCGGGAGCCTGCGGGCTGGGGAGGGGCCCACGAGTCTCCTGGGTTGCCAGAGGGGCTCCTGGTTCACTCTGGAACAACTTGCCTGCCCCCTAGTGGATTGCTCAAAGAGTCTCTCAGGCCGCGGAAACCTGCGCTGGTCCTGATGGAGAGACTGGGGCCTCCAGCAAGAGGGACTTGTGCAGGGAAGGCCAGGTCAGAGCCTACATGGGAGGTGGCATGGCCAGCCCTTGAGAAGGAGCCGGGCTTGGGTGTCCCACAGCCCCGGGGAACGCAGCAGCCCATTTGGTTTGTCAGTCTCCTCTCAGAGCCTCGTGTCCTCACCACTCAATGAAGATGCAGGGTCCTGAGACGGTGCACACAGCAGGTGCTCAGTACATGTGTGGCCTTTCCCTCCTTCTCTGTGTCACTTCACCTCCCATTCTATGAGAGTGTAGACTCCACTCTGTCTTTTGAGCAAATCTTGATTGTCATGCACGTGGATTTCCTTAAAGGGAGGCTCACCTGCCACCACAGTAGCCTCCTTCACCTCCCCTGATCTGTCATATTTCTTCCCCACTGAACTTTACTGGCCAGACCCTGGGGTCACACAAACAGGGTTCAGATCCACCTTTGCCCTCCAGAAGCCCCCTTCTGCAGGGAGAGGCTGACACAAGACCATACCTAGAGTGTAGTCAGTGATGGACAGGGTGGCCCAGGGCTGAGGGGCCAGAGGAGGTCCCCCTCCCACAGCACGTTGGGATGAAAGGGAGTGTGTCAGGGAAGGATTCCTGGAGGCAGTGGCAGAGGAACAGAGATTTGGAGAGGAAGGAGTTAGCCAGAAGGAGTGGGAAACAGGGAGCTGGGAAAGAGCCTCCAGGCCGGTGCAGGGGTTGGAGGTGAGGGCATCCACTGCAGCATAAGGGCAGTGGTGAGCAGAGGCAGGGCTGCGAGGGGAGCCATGAGCTGACATGCTGCCTGTGCCTGGTGTGCCGGGATCCCAGCTAAGCATCAGATCAACCAAGCTCAGATGCAGAGAACAGCAGAGGAGAAACCAAAAGGCGACCTCAGGAGCTGGCATTGCGGGAGGGGAGATTATTTATTCGATGCCTTTGGGCTAGTTAGTTCCTTAATTTGTTCATTCATCAATTCAGCTTTCTCGTACATGCCTCTTCCTGGGCATTGGACTAAAGGAAGGAACTAGATAAGGTCCCTCCTGTCAAGTGAGGATCAGGCATGGCAGCTACTAATTCCATACCGAGGAGGACTGGGAAAGGGTTTCAGGAGAAGGTGGCATTTTAGGTGGACTTTGAAGGATGTAGAGGCATTCACCAGGTGTTGAAAAAGGGACAAGTCATCTAGGTAGAGAAAATAACAAGAGCAAAGATGCCGCATCATGAGGGGTTTGCAGAAGTGTAAGGAGTGTGTCATAGCCAAACAGTTGGTTGTGTAGGGGGCAGATGAGGTGGGGCCAGCATGTGTAGGGCCTTGAATGCCAGGCTAAAGTATTTGGGCTTTTCTAAGGAGTCCATCTCAAAGTGTGCCCACCTGCAGAACCAGGGACCAAGCAATTCCAGATCACCCAGCCCTGCAAGGACCTTCTGGAAGCCCATAGCTCCATCTGCCATAGTGAGAACCCAACCTCTAGAAATGCCAGAATGTCCCCTTGCTGGGAATGTACTCCAAGGGACAGGTGAATGGTCACAGGCTGCTGGGGGGAAGGCAGGGGGCCTTCATTGGCACCAGCTGGCATTGACTCATCATGAAAGCCATGACTTGGGGCTCCATCTCTGGGGTCCCATCTGAGCATGTGCATGGAAGCCCATGCGAATGCCGTGCTGGCTCCTCCTGAGGGCTTCCTCAGACTCACCTGGAAGGTGCTGTCCTCACCCCTGTTCTGCAGAAGAGGAAGTTGTGTGCTCACTGAGGCTGCCTCCCCTGGGAACCCTCCAGGGACCATTGCTGTTTTTCTGGGCTTTTGTAGCCCTGCATCACCACCTCAGATCAGGAGACAGATGGGCTGACACATACAAGGCACTTCATCCTCCAAGCCTCCAGTTCCTCATCTGTAAAGTGAGCAAATAACTCTCATTTTAGAGAGTGGGCATGGTTGAGACAATATGCATGAAGCTCCTGGCACACACCTGGCCCACAGCAGGTAGCAGGTAAGTGGGGAAATAAATGAGACATAAAGCCTCCCAGGAGGAAACGGCCAGCCCCGGACTGGGGCATGATGCAGGATCCAGGTGGGCATGGGCCTTCTTCCTTTGTCCCTAGCTGATGGAGGAAGGTTAGAGAGAGGTGAGAACCCTGGTGTGTGTTGTGGGGGGGAAATATGGTTTGGCTGTGTCCCCACCCAAATCTCATCTCGAATTGTAATCTGAATGACGTGTCAAGGGAGGGATCTGGTGGGAGGTGATTGGATCATGGGGGTGGTTTCCCCAGGCTGGTCTCATGGTAGTGAGTGAGTTCTCATGAGATCTGGTTGTTTTGTAAGTGTCGGGCGCTTCCCCCTTCTCTCTCTCTCTCTCTCTCTCTCTCTCAACACCATATAAGAGTTGCCTTGCTTCCCTTTGCCTTCTGCCATGATTGTAAGTTTCCTGAGGCCTCCGCAACCATGCAGAACTGTGAATCAATTAAACCTCTTTTGTTTATGAATTACCCAGTCTCAGGTAGTATCTTTATAGCAGTGTGAAAACAGACCAATGTAGGGAGTCTAGTTACATGCAGTATGTCAGCTCTGGAGCCAGAGTTTCCTCCTAGAGTCCTTAGGAGCCTCTAAGAACAGAGCTGACTCAGCCCTTCTCAGCAAGGGCAGTTGAGGGAGTGAGCAGAGGGGCAAGAGCTGCTCCCACCATACAGCCTTCCAGAGGGCCCAAGAGCATGAAGACCCATGGCTGAATCTAGACACACCCTGACAAACAGCACACATGCACACAACAGGTACTTGGACACACATCACACATATGGATACACATGGTATGCACACAGATACATGTGTCACTGCCCCAGATTTTGGGACAGGAAGGGATGTACCACTGCCCCAGATTTTGGTGCTCAGACACGCTCAGACACATAACATACACAGTAAAGCCACATACATGTAGACACACCAAGGCCATAAATGCATGTACACAGAAACACACGGACACATAAATGCACATATACACAGACAACATGCACAGATGCCCACAGATGAGCACATACATGCAGACACAGACACAATGACAACCCACACATGTCCACAGGCATAGGCACAGGCTCACTGTCACTTGCCTGCAAAGGTCCCTTTCAGCTCTGGTGTCCACTTAAATATACAAGGTCACACAGATCTGTTCACCCACCCCACCCCCCAAGTCACATCTGCACCACACTTCTTAGCTGAGCGTGTGTTCACACGCACTGCCTCCTTGATCTAACAGCAGCCTCATAAGGCAGTTAGGGCAGGGGCCTGGACCCTCCTGTGCAGCGAGGAACAGAAGGCCTAGAGGCGCCAACAGACCAGCCTGGGCCACTTGGCTCCTGGCGGGTGTCTTAGTCAGCTTGGGCTGCTGTAACTGAATAACACAGATTGGAGGGCTTCAACAATAGATATTTGCTTCTCACCGTTTTGGAGCTTGGAAGTCCCAGATCAAGGTGCCGTCAGGGCCTGGCACTGGTGAGGCCTCTCTTACAGGTTCGCAGATGGCCCCTTGTTGCTGTGCTCTCCCTTGGTGGAAAGAGCTAGCTCACTGGCCTCTTCTCACAAGGGCACTAATCCCATTTGTGAGGGCTCCAGCCTTATAATCTGATCACCTCTCAAAGGTCCCACCTCCTAAGCCATCACATTGGGACTGGGGTTTCGACATAGGAATGTGGGCGGAGAACACAGGCCTTCAGTCCACAGTAGGAAAGGGGAGTCCTGGTTGAGCTCCAGTCTCCTCCTGCCCAGCTGTGGTGCCAGGGCACAAACCCATGCATATGCTCATGGATGCTCACGGCAGACACACAGCTATGCACCCAGAGGGGCTTCAGGAGTCACCTAGACCATGTACTCATTTTACAGATGAAGAAACTAGAGCCCTGAGAGAAAATCCATAGCCCTAAAGGGGGCCACCCAGAGGGCCTGTGGAGAAACCAGGGCCACATCTCTGTCCCTTTCCCCCACCCCACCCCACAGCTGTCCCACACACACAGACACAATCACACACAAGCCATGGGCACATTCCACAGATACACGCGTGCAGATCCTCCCTGTTCAACACTCCTGCAGGCTCGCAGGGTCAGATGTGGTGTTTCCACAGTCCTCTCATTTAACTCTCATGATGATATGGGATGTAAGAGTAACTGGCTCCGTTTTGCATTTCAGGAAACTGAGGCATAGAAAGGTTAGGCCCAAAGTTGCACAAGTAGGGACAGGCAGTGGCATCTCCCAAAGCCAATTCTACAATCACCATCACATCCTTACATACCTCTTGTCTCTTACACACACACGCACACACACACACACACACACACAGGGGCACCCTGGCGTCTGTGGGCACAGCAGCCCTCAGGCAGAACATTTTCCCAACAACCACCACTTCAAAGTTTTCGTACCAGCTCCCCGCTCCTAAGGGGTCTTTTGAGGAAAGGATAAGTTTGTTTGGGGCTTAACCTGCCCACTTGGCCCCGCCCCTCTCCCCTCAGTTGGGGAAATGAATTCCACGTGTGCCTGATCTTGCCTGCTCTGAAATCACCCGCGAGGATTTGGTGAGCACTCTTTGATGTTGGAAGCCAATTTAATAAGTTGGCTGTTGGGTTTTTTTTTTTTCTTTTTTTTTTTTCTGTAAGACAGAACTCTCATCTCAGTTTCCTGAAAACTGAGGAATTCTCACCTTCCCTCCTCCATCTTGAGTTTCTGAGTTCCTGTGTCCCAAGGCCTGGACTCCTGACACAGTGCTCACAGACACCCGAAGGTTTAGGCTGCCTTGGGGAGGAGAGGCAGGGAAGGAGGCAACGTGCTGGTTTGGGGAGGAGAGGCAGGGAAGGAGGCAGCGCACTTTGAGCATTTCCTATGGGCCAGGCCCTGTGTTAGAAGCTCTGAATCCTCTCAATGCCCCTTTCAGAGATGACAAAACAGATATGTTGCAAGTGGGAGGCCAGCTGAGCCTGGAGCCCTCGTCTGCCTGGCTTCTCTTCCTCGTCCTAGCCTTGCTTCTGCCCAAAGCAGCTGTGCCACCTGGGGCAAATGACCTCCTCCCCCTGGGCCTTGGGCCCTGCAGCCAGCAGTGGGCACAGGGCTCCTCAGGGTCGGCTCTCATGGTAATGAGCTCTCTGCATCAAAACCATTTGCCGAGGACAAAGCACCATGTGAAAGGAGGGGAGGGTTTCTATTTTTATTGTTTTGGTGTTGAGAGGCAAGTTCAGCTCTAGGATTCTTATGGGAATGCATCAATTACTATCACTCTGGGCACTTAGTAACAAGCACCAGGTTGGCCACCAGGGAGCTCAGCAAGGAAGTCTTTGAAGGAAGTGGAGCAGGGAGGGGGAAGGGGTATCCACAAGAGGCTCCGCGCTGGTGCAGGCACCTGCCCCACACCGTTCTACTCAGGGCCTGGCCAAGCTCTTCCCGGAGCTCTGGGTCCCTGCCGTGTCCTGATGGGCTTTGGCAAAGTCTGCCCTGATTTCTTGGTTTATGAAGTCTTACTAAGGGTCTCTGGAGAAAAAGGAGAAACAAGAATCACAAAGCGACCACTGAAAGCCACAGTCGTAGCTTTTACAGCCCCACCCTGCTGACGGGGAGCTCCTTTCACTTCCTTCGTGCTCCTGGGCCGCGAGCAGCCCGGCCATGGGCACACGCCACCTGCCCTGCCTTGAACTTTAGGGATCTGAGGCTGGGAAAGGTGAAGTGTCTTTTCCAAGGCCATGCCGTTGCTGATTCATCTGCAGGTGTGGCTTCAAGTACAGTGGCCTCCTAGGAGATGGGGAACTACCCCAGCTTCCACCCCTACTCAGGACATGACCTTGGGCGGCTGGGAGGCCATGGTGAGGGCTTCTGTGACTCCCAGGTAATATACAGATCCAGGGTAGGGACCATGGACTCCTACACACTTTCCTTTTCTCACTTGCTGCCCACAGGTGCCAGGAACAGGGTGGAGCTGGGTCACTGCCGTTACCCAGAGAAGAAAGCCAGGCTCTGAGGGACAGCCAGGGTCTCGCAGCAACCTGGCTGGCAGGGGAGGTTTTTGCGCCTGTTTTGCGGGGGCAGAGGAGAGAGGGGGCCACTGTGTGGAGTGTCTCTGTGATGTCTCACGAAAAGTGCTTCTGTGGGCACTGCTGCTTGAGTTTGTGGCTACCCCAAGACATGGTTGCGGGGGGTATGGGGGGGCCCTTTGTTCCCTCCCCCGATCTCCACCAGCCTCCTCAAAATCCCCAGATAGAAAGATAAATCACTTCTGCAGATATGGGAAATACATAAAGTGGGGATAAAAACATTTTTAGGAAACTTGGCTTCAAAAAAATAAAAATCAAATTATAACATACAGTGCAAGCAAAAATTTGGTAACTGCTTTGTAAATGCGGCTCCAAGACAAGTTCTTATCCAGCCTGTCCTGTCCTGAGCCCCTCCTGCAGAGATTCTGTGTGTGTGTGTGTGTGTGTGTGTGTGTGTGTGTGTGTGTGTCTGTCTGTCTGTCTGTCTGTCTGTGATCTCATCTCCAGACAAGTAGAGGGGCACGTGGTGTTCCACACCCATGACGAGTGTGTGCACCTGGTGAGCTTATGTGCAGGACTGGGGTGCGGAGACCCTCCCCTGCCTGCCTGGAGGTCTGGGAGGCTCCCACGTCAGGTGGTGCCCACTGCAACTAACCTCTGCTCTCCTCTCTCCCTCTAAGCCAAGAAGATGAAAACATTTCTGGCACTTTCTAAAGTTTCTGTCCAGAAAAGCCATCAGCTGAAGGGGCGCAGGATGACAAATGGCTGCCGGATCTGCAGGTTCCGGGTTCTGAGACAGGGTGGGCAGGGTGAGGGCTGGGAGCTGGGATTTTCAGTAGTGCCTGAAGGGACAGACTGGGGCAGGGGACTTGGTGGAAGGCGGCTGGTGCATAGGAGACTCAAGAGGTCACATTCCCTGGGTGCTGAGCACCGATGGACGGATGTGCCGATGTCTTGGCGGTCCGGGATCTCCTGAGTCTTACATGGGCAGGGCAAGCTCCGTCAACTGGCAAACAAGAAGTGTCAGTAGTTACAAGTGCTGTGGGGGCCACCACGCTGGGAAATGAGCTGCAGGGTGACAGCAGGGCCCATCTAGAGTGTGTGACCTGTGCCACCTCCTGACTGAAGCAGCATTTGACTGAGACCAGGATGACAGAAAGGGCATTCCAGGTAGAGGAACAGCAAGAGCAAGCGGCCGGAGGTAGGAAGAACATGGTGTGCTTTAGGGACAGCGAGGAGGCCTGTGAGCAGGTGGTGAGCAGCAGAAGGTGGCAGGAGAGGCCGGGCCAAGGGGCAGGCACTGGCTGGACAGCGCAGGGCCTTGGAGGCTGCACGAAAGGCTGCTTAGTCTTAGGGCAATGGGACAGCCCGGAAGGGTTAGAAGCAGCAACCTGTCCTATCCATCATGTCTGTCACTTTTGTTATTGTTGTTGTTTTGAGACAGAGTCTTGCTCTGTCACCCAGGCTGCAGTGCAGTGGCACGATCTCCGCTCACTGCAACCTCCGCCTCCTGGGTTCAAGCGATTCTCATGCCTCAGCCTCCCAAGTAGCTGAAATTACAGACACCTGCCGCACACCTGGCTAATTTTTGTGTTTTTAGTAAAGATGGGATTTCTCCGTGTTGGCCAGGCTGGTCTCCAACTCCTGACCTCAAGTGACCTGCCCACCCCGGCCTCCCAAAGTGCTGGGATTACAGGCGTGAGCCACCACGCCCGGCCCATGTTTGTATTTTTAAAAGATAATTCTGGCTGCCGGGTAGAGATGGATGGAAGGGAACTGGCTAGGAGCCCTGCGGCGGGCCACCTGAGAGACGTGGTGGCTTGGGCCAGGGTGGGTGCAGGGAGGTGGAGAAGCCAGCCGGAGGAGGGATGTGTGATGGAGTGGGGGCTGCTAGGCACACACACATCCTGTGTGCAGGATCTGAGCCTGAGGCCTGGGAGGGGGCAAGGACTCCCACCTGCCTCCCCAGAGGCTCTGGAGGCTCCAGACTTGCTAATGGATAGGGGTAGGTGCGGAGACGCCAGGAGCTTGGCATGGTGTTGGGCTGTCTGACTGGGGATGCTGGAGGACCAGGTTTCAAGGGTTGCTGGAGCTTTGCAATCCGTGGTGCTGTGAAGCCCCAGAAGGAACCATTGAGTGAGCAGCCAGAGCTACGGGAGCCTGGTGCCCAGTGGGGTGGGAGCCCGAGACGTGTACTGGGTGTCGTTAGTGTCTGGGTAGACAGGGAGGCCCCAAGAAGGGGAGGATGAGCTGGTGCCAGAGGAGGAGGCCAGGGAAGAAAGAGCTTTTAGGAAAAGGAGGGCAGCAGGGCGAACGCTGCTGAGCAGTCAGGTTGAGAACTGAAACTGCCCCCGGATCTGGTGACATGGACGGAGGTCACCGGAGACCTTCCGAAGAGCCCTCTGGCCCGAGGGGGTGGAAGTCAGACTGCGGGGGCCGAGGAGGGAGTGGGAGGTGAGGAAGTGAAGTCAGCGGCAGCCGCCAGCTCCTGAGAAGTTGAGCTCTGAGTGGAGATGAGCAGTGGGGTGGGCGCTGGTAGGGAGGCAAGGCCAGAGGAGGGCTCACTCCTCAGGACACAGGGAGGAGAACAGGAGGAGAGGCCCTCCACGTAAGGGAAGGGAGAAGAGGGCCACGGGGGAGCTGAGGACTGAGTCCAGCCACAGAGCCCAACGGGCCCAGACAGGAGCAAGATCTGCCACACAACAGTCAGGGCCAGGCCTGAGCCCTGCGTTCACATCACGCTGCCTGTCCCGCAGGCCATCCATCACTCTGCAAAGGAGAAGGGCCCCAGCCGTGTGAAGGCCTTTCTACCAGTGCAAGCTGGCTCTGCCTCTAAGAGGCTGGCGTGTCCCTGTGAAAAGGGTGTCCCTGTGTGTCTGCACCCCGGGAGGCTCGCCATCCTATGCTGGTTTCTGCCCACGCACTCACTCTCTTTCCCTCTCCCCCTTGCTGGGAGCCCCTCTGGACCCTGATGTGTGTGGCAAGGGGGAACTCAGATGAACGGCAGCAACTCCTGCCCTGAGGCACCGCTGTGCCCCAGGCTCCCTGGGGTCCCAAGGCCTTGGCCCCCCAACAGCAGGAGGGGAAAGGCTGCTGTGACCTGCCCTGTTCACATCAGTCCCGCCTGGTTGGAGGATGCTCAGCCTGGGCTGCTCCAACTGTGGTCCCTTCCCAGGAAGCCCATATTGCTTGTCTTTGAGGGATGGGAAGAGGTGGCCTTGGGTGGGGGGCTATCTTGGAAGAACTGAGCAGAGCCCGTTGGAAGTTTTGATGAAGGGTGCATTCTGGGCAGGGAGACAGCAAGCCTGAGCTCTGGCCCAGGCACTGATGTGGTGGCAATGTAGCACGCCAGGTGGGTCCCTGCCCTTCCCCACGCTCAGCCTCCCTACCAGTGCAATCAGCCAGTCAGCCTCTATGGTCTCTGGGACCTTCTTGGCAATTGGCGACACCTGTGCCCCTTGCCCTCCGACCCTCTGCAGACTGCCTGCCCACTGATGGGGTGGAAGTGGGTAGGGAAGAGCACTTTGAAGTAAAATGTTATTAACTTTTCTCCCTTCCCCAACCCCATCTATATTGCCCTCAGTGAGGGACATGGGTTCTAGGGGACAGAGGACAGAGGGAAGAGACAAACCACCAAACAGGCACAAGCTCTCTGAGAATCTGCTTCACATGGCCCCCAAAATGTGGGTGCTCTTTTTATCTAAAAATTTGTCATCTGCAGAAATAGTCTGAATAGCAATAAATGCATGATAATGTTTAGCAAATCATGACCTGTAGTCAGCTCAAAATGGAAAGATTCTGCATTCTCTGCAATAGAGATAGGCTTTGCAAATCCTGGAGTGTCCACATGTTGCAATCCTGGAGTGTCCACATGTTGCAATCCAGATGCAGTCACTGCGGGTATGTTTATGGTTTTTGTTTTTTGTTTTTTGTTTTTTGAGTCAGAGTTTTGTTCTTGTCACCCAGGCTGGAGTGCAATGGCGCAGTCTCCTCTCACTGCAACCTTGGCCTTCTGGGTTCAAGCGATTCTCCTGCCTCAGCCTCCTGAGTAGCTGGGACTATAGGCACCCGCCACCATGCCCAGCTACTTTTTGTATTTTTAGTAGAGACGGGGTTTCACCATGTTGGCCAGGTTGGTCTCGAACTCCTGACCTCAGGTGATCCACCTGCCTCGACCTCCCAAAGTGCTGGGATTACAGGCGTGAGCCACCGTGCCTGGCCTACTGTGGGTATGTTTATAAAGTACTCTGAACAATACAGGAAGGTGCTCAGGACAGTGAGCTGAGGGCACAGGTCAGGATGAGAAGTGATCTGGGCCACATGACCTCACGCACGCCAAGCACATGAGAAACAGGTGTGTAGGAGCCCTGCTGAAGTGCTAACAGCAGCTACCTCCCAGGAGTAGAAAGACGGGGATTATTGAATATTCGAAGAATTCTGTATTTTCCAAGTTTTCCACACTAGGCGGGAAATACTTTTATAATCAGAAAAACGTCCAAGCTTTTTGGGAAATCTCTCTTACTCACCCAGGTCTGATGTCCACAGGTGCGGGGAGGGGCCTGGGGAAGCCTGCCTTCCCCCCACCCAGTAGGTCTCTTCGATGCCCTTCCCCTGGAAGAGAGAGGGAAGGGGATGGGAAGGTCCCTCCCCAAGCAAACCTCCTCAAGCTGAAGAGCAAGGACAAAATGTGTGATTCAACAGCTCCATGGAGAGCAGCCTAGAGCCTGGAGATTGAAATCCTGGCTCTGCTGCCTCCTAGCTGTGTGACTTTGGCCAACTTACTTTACTTCTCTGTGCCTCCATTGCCTCAGTACCTCACAAAGTTGTAAAGACTAAATAAGTTAATATTTCTCTGTTAAAGAAATAACCCAGCTGGGTGCATGGTGGCTCACACCTATAGTCTTAGCCTTTTGGGAAGCTGAGGCAGGTGGATCACTTGAGGTCAGGAGTTCAAGACCAGCCTGGCCAACATGAAGAAACTCCATCTCTACTAAAAAATACAAAAATTAGCTAGGCACAGTGGCACATGCCTGTAATCACAGCTATTCGGGAGGCCGAGGCATGAGAATCACTTGAACCTGGGAGGTGGAGGTTGCAGTGAGCCAAGATCGCGCCACTGCTCTCCAGCCTGGGAAAGAAAGAAAGAAGAGAGAGAGAGAGAGAAAAGAATCATGAGCCCTGTGATCAGCGGATCTAGAGTGCTAAGATCCCACCATCTGTGATTCTCTCCAGCCTTCACAATGGAAGGACCTGGTATGGTGGCCTCCCCTGGGGTGGGAATGCAGCTCCTGAAGGTCAGGAGCGAGGGGGCTTGAGAACATGAGGGTCGGGGCTGGCTGGGCTGGAGGTTCCATGTCCCATCCTGGGCCAGGGCTCTATGGGATGAATATTGTCCTTGGAGCCCTTGGGCCAGCCTGAAGAGCCTAAGGTTGGCATGCTGCCCTCCCCATACCTCTCTGCCCTCCGCACACCTCTCTGCCCTCCACACACCTCTCTGCCCTCCCCACACCTCTCTGCCCTCCGCACACCTCTCTGCCCTCCGCACACCTCTCTGCCCTCCGCACACCTCTCTGCCCTCCCCACACCTCTCTGCCCTCCCCACACCTCTCTGCCCTCCGCACACCTCTCTGCCCTCCCCACACCTCTCTGCCCTCCGCACACCTCTCTGCCCTCTGCACACCTCTCTGCCCTCCCCATACCTCTCTGCCCTCCGCACATCTCTCTGCCCTCCCCACACCTCTCTGCCCTCCCCACACCTCTCTGCCCTCCACACACCTCTCTGCCCTCCACACACCTCTCTGCCCTCCACACGCCTCTCTGCCCTCCACACGCCTCTCTGCCCTCCCCACGCCTCTCTACCCTCTCCACGCCTCGCTGCCCTCCCCACAACTCTCTGTGTCCCTTTCTGGCATAAGTCATCCATTCCTCAGGACGCCCAGTGTTCACCCCCCTAAATAAGACACATCTGCCCTGACTTATTCCAGCTCACTCTCCCCTAACCCCAGCCATACAGAGCAAAGGATTCCACATTTGCTGGCCTTCACGGGCTGTGTGATCATGAACAAGTTGCTGCCCGTCTCTGTGCTGCACCCTCCTGCACCGACGTTCCACAGTGTAATGAAGTGAGTCCCATATGGCACCGAATTTCTGGGACCCAGTGCATCAGGCCTTTAAGCTAGATTGCTCCGGTCTCCCTGCTAGACCTGGCTTCAGCTTAGGAATTTGAGGAAGAGGAGGTGGGGTAGGAAGAAAAGTCACTGAAAGGAATGCTGTACCATTGCCTTTATAGAATGGTAATGTTGAGAGAGAATGCACAGGTTACAGACCTTTCTCTGCCTTTGAGGTAATCATGAGCATTAACAACCCAACATTACACTGTAACAGCAGAGAACTGGCCTTGGGACTGGTGGGTACACAGAGAAGGCATGGCAGTCACTGTTTGTGGGGAAGGAGGAGGAAGATGAGTGTTCCTGGGTCAGGGTAGGCTGCAGTGAGAGGTGATGTCTGATCTGGGATTCTGAGGGATGGGCAGGAGCCCAGCAGTGCTATGGAGAAGGCACAAGCTTTGGAGCCATGAGATCTGAATTACGAGCTATGTGACTTTGACAAGCCACTCTGCCTCTTTAATTGAATTTTTTCAACTGTAAAATGGGGACAACGATGCTCCTTTCATTATTACTATGAGTGATAAATATTTTGATGTGTGTTGTACACTGGCGTGCTACACAGACAGGTCATCAGGAGAAGTGACTTCTCTGTCCTGGCCTTTCCTCTCACAAGGAGCAAGATGGCTCCCAGGAAGCAATGTTTCTTTAGAATTTGGAGAGCATAGAGGGCATGTAAAGGTGACCAGCTACATCCCCAACTTGGGCAGCCACATCAGTCAGATAAGAATCTTTCCTGCTTCCCACAGAAACTGGATCCTTGGAGACTTTTCCCACAAAGACCACAAAATTCTCTCACCTTCAGCTCAGTCTGACCTCTGATATCAATTTGGTAGCTTTCATCAAGGCTGAGCAGTATCTGGACAGTGCTTTGGCTGACATGAATTCTGTATGCTGAGAAGAAAGGCAGTCATCAGATCATCACCTGGTGACAGCATACCTAGTATTTGGTAAAATCATTAAGAGGCTGCGACGACTGCAGTTCCAATCAATCATACACATAGTGATGATTTATGCAATACCCTTCTTCTGGGCCTCTTGTCCCTCTAAATTGTTGGAACACTAAAAGAGACCCAGAGGCAAAGCAAATTACATAGGTTGAGTGCTAAGGGGAACTCACGATGGAGTCAGAACCCCTAGGAACATAATTTCTACTTGTAAGCAAGTCTGTGAAGGCTGAGTCTGAGAAGATACACAGTTTTTAGTTTTCTTTTAAGAGCAGGACTTCCCAGTAGAGCCATAGCGTCCAGCTATGCGGGATGTATGTACTCTGAACATTAAGGAGCAACTACCTACACAGCCAGAGGCAGAGGACCTGGGGCTTCAACATCTTAGCTGCTCTAGCCAAGCCATCATGGTAGCTCCTGCTGCCAGTAAGGGCCAAAAACGCTGGGGATGTCTTCATGGTGGTGTCAGGACTGCCCCAGCATAAAAGGAGGTGGCACGTGACCAATTAAAAAAAAAACACTTTAAAGGGTCTCCTCTTTGTACAATGGGGAAACTAAGGCCTACAGGAAGAACATTTTGCCCAAGGACACTAAGCAAGCCAGTTGCAGAGCCAGGGCTAGGACCCAGATTTCCTGCCTTTTGAGTCATTGTTTTCTCTGCTAATGCCCTCATGAGATCACCACAAATATTGTGTGGAAAGTTAAAAGAGCCAATGACGTATATCATCTCCGTCTATTAGGTTGGTGCAAAAGTAATTGCAGCTTTAGCCATTAGCTGTTTTTTTTCTTTCTTTCTTTCTTTTTTTTTTTTTTTTTTGCGATCTCGGTTCACTGCTCTGCCTCCCGGGTTTGGTGGTTCACGCCTGTAATCCCAGCACTTTGGGAGGCCAAGGCAGGTGGATCACAAGGTCAGGAGATCAAGACCATCCTGGCTAACATGATGAAACCCTGTCTCTACTGAAAATACAAAATATTAGCCGGGTGTGGTGGCATGCGTCTGTAATCCCAGTTACTCGGGAGGCTGAGGCAGGAGAATGGCGTGGTCATTAGTTTTAACGCCAAAATGGCTATTACTTTTGCACCAACATAGTAGTTGCTTTCCTGAAAAGTAGGGTACGCCGCCACCAGGTGGTGATTTGGTTACCAAGAACTATATTAAACAGCCAGGCCGCACAGGTTATTGAAAGAGTCTCTCCCCGGGCAGGATAGAAGTGTGAGATACTCATGCAGCCCTGTGGACTCCATCTGGGAAGCCGTGTTGACAGTGTCCCCAGAGAGGCAATACCAAGGCATCGTGAGACCCACGACCCCTGCTGCACAGGGCCCTGAAACTCGAATGTACCCAGTGAGCTCCAGCAGGTCTTGGACCAGAGAGAGAGCCCAGTGACAGCCTCACCCTTCTCTACCCTCCGTGCCATTCCCCACTGCACTTCCTGGGCTCCAGTTGCGGGGTGAGGATAAAGCTAACTGGAGTCTCCAATGACATCCAGAGAGGAGCTGATGCTTGTGCCAGGCTCTGTGCTGGAGGTGAGGGGCCGTAGATAGATCAGAGCCCCTCCCTGCTCTTGCGCAGCTCCCAGCCTGGTGGGGAGAGATGTGTAACCTGCAATCAAGGCTGTGATGAAAGAAGCACCAGGACTGTGCCAGCACCAAAAAGGGCCTCTAACCCAGCCCAGGGGACTTGCTGGAGAAGAGGATACATGTGCTCTGTTTTGAAGGATGAGAGAATGAGTGGGCAGGGAACAGCAGGTGCAGAGGCACAGAGGCAGGGAACCCGTGTGTGTGAAACTGCACACAGCAGAGTGTGGATGGAGGGCCATGCAGGAAGTGGTGGGAGATGCGGTTGGAGAGGCTATGGCAGTGGCGGGGCGGTGGTGGCAGCGCCAATGGACTTTATCCTGCAGGCGAGGGGAACCATGGTGGAAGGAGTAGGGACATGGGAAGGGTATACTCATGACTCTGAGGGCTCTCCCAGATCCATCCCAGCAATCATTTGGTTGTTTGCATGACCACAGAAGGTTTCTGTCCTGCCTCTTCCATCAGACTATCAGCATCACATATTCTCTTTTTTTTTTTTTGGAGACAGAATCTTACTCTGTTGCCCAGGTTGGAGTGCAGTGGCTCCATCTTGGCTCACTGCAACCTCCGCCTCCCGGGTTCAAGCAATTCTTGTGCCTCAGCCTCCTGAGTAGCTGAGATTACAGTCATGCACCACCACGCCCAACTAATTTTTGTATTTTTAGTAGAGACAGGGTTTCTCCATGTTGGCCAGGCTGGTCTCAAACTCCTGACCTCCTGTGATCCCACTGCCTGGGCCTCCCAAAATGTTCAGACTACAGGCGTGAGCCACCGTGCCCGGCCAGACTCTCTTATTTATAACATAATTAGGACCCCAAAATAATGTAAGGAAAAAGAAACGTAAAATGTTTTTACTATAGAGTTTTGAATCTCAGACATCCAGAAGCATGCCACTGGAGGCGTCCCAGCCAGCGCCCCAGGGAAGATTGGGAGATGGATGTGGCCCCCTCACCCTGGAGGCCCCTAGCCCATACCTGAATGCAGGCCAGCCCTGATGCAAATGGGCACGTTGGGTGCATGCCTCTTCCGGAAGTCACCCACAGAGCCAAGGATATCCAGAGCCATGTTATTGATCTCGGCCGCATGCTGACTGCCATTGCACTGAGGCAGCCCCCACACCACCATGTAGGCGTCCCCAATGGTCTCCACCTAGAAACCACAGCCTTCACAATCCAGCGTGAGAACATATCCTCGCTGGCCCACCACACATTCTGCTACACATGGCTGCTTCTCGGGAGTCCCAACCCGCCCCGTGGGTCTCTGGCCCGCAGTGCCATCTTTGCCAGGCCTCCAGTGCCAAGCACTTTAGCAACGATTGGATCTGTACATTTCAGATCACCTTTGTCTGTATTCCAGGTGACAGTGGCTTTTTTTTTTTTTTGTCTCTGGCCTCAGTCCACAAGCTCCTTGGTGGCAGAGCTGGGTACCCCATCTGCTCAAGGCCATACTGGCACATCAGGGATTAATTTGGAGAGGACCGTATATATTTAGAGGACGCCTCCAATTTTCCAAACCCTGCTGGCCTTCCAAAGGTTTACTGGAAAGAATGTAGGTTTTGGAATGAGACAGATGTAGGTTCAAGCCCTGGCCCTGCCATTTACCTGGACGACTTCACCTGGGCGAGCCTCAGTTTCCTCTTACGTGGAATGAATGTTAGAGGTGAAGTATTTACAGAAGCAGGCATACCAGTGCTGAATACACAGAGGCTGCTGTCGTCCTCCTCCTCATCATCACGGTTTTGGAATCTCCTAACTGGAAGGGGCTTTGCTGGTCACCCACCCAATTTCCCCCACCCCAGTTGCTGTCCTTGCCCACTCACATCCCTCGATAGGAAAGTCTCTCCTTCTTCAGTAGCCACTTCTCTCTTTAGGCAACTCCGATTTTCTTTCTTTCCTCTTTCTTTCTTTCTTTCCTTCTTTCTTTCTTTCTTTCCTTCTTTCTTTCTTTCTTTCCTTCTTTCTTTCTTTCTTTCCTTCTTTCTTTCTTTCTTTCCTTCTTTCTTTCTTTCTTTCTTTTTACCAAGGTTGCCCAGGCTGGAGTGCAGTGGCGTGATCTCAGCTCACTGCAACCTCCGCCTCCTGGGTTCAAGTGACTCTCATGCCTCAGCCTCCTAAGTAGCTGGGACTACAGGCGTGAGCCACCACGCCTGGCTAATTTTTGTATTTTTTGTATAGATGGGGTTTCACAACGTTGGCCAGGCTGGTCTTGAACTCCTGACCTCAGGTGATCTGCCTGGCTCAGCCTCCCAAAGTCCTGGGATTACAGGTGTGAGCCACTGCCCCCAGCTGCAACTCTGATTTTCAAAACTTGAGTTGAGTTAAAACCTGCCTTTCACCGGCTGGTTCCAGCTCCACCCCCTGAACTGGACCCATATACCTTTCCTAAGCACCTTCCTCTGTTCCTAAGTCCCTGTTCTAGGTGCTTGGAACACAGATGTGAATGAAGCATAGCCTTCTCCCCTGCCACAGGCCAAGCCTGCCAGGGTGAAGACAGTGACTCTACCCTCTGAGTCTTTCCTGGCTCCTGCACTGTTCCTCCTACAGCAAGTACATGTTGGCTTCACTGGGCCTGGGCGGCAGAGCCTCCCTTGCCAGGCACTTCTGCACTTAGCGCCTGGTACACAAGAATCGTGATGCTCCACAGCCCTTAGGGGGCGCTGTAATTCAAAAAATTTCTCACGCAACATGCAAGTGTGGGCTGTGCCCCACTACCAACGCCCCCACGACCCTGTGATCTCTCCCTCACCCCGACTGTCCTCCACCTCACCACCAAAAAGTGATCTGCCCTAATCACATCACATTCCGCTCTGATATGCACTTCAATTTGCTCCCTATGGCCATGGCTTAAAATTCAGGCCCCCTGGCCTAGCTATCAAGGGCCTCCTTCATCTGCAGGATTTCCTGACGTTTTCTAACAGTTGCTTCTGGTTCCCCATGCTTCAGCCAGACAGAAACCCTTTCTACCATTTCAAGAGACACCTACTGCTTGCTCACGTCTGCCAGGTCCCTCTGCCTGAAAAGCTATCCCAGTCTCTAACTGCTGAAATCCCACCCCTCCATCGGTCCCGCTCACACGTGATCTAGGGCACAGAATCTTCCCAGTCCCCAGCTGTGAGAAAGATGTTTCCCTCCTCTGGGCTGTGGCCTGCTCTCTCGCCCTGCGGCCTGCCTGCTGCTGTCCACCCAGCATTCATTGGCTGGTGGTAAGAGTGGCGGGGGTGGTGGCAGGGCTGCCCCAAGCTGTGCACCTTTCCACAAAAGAGATTTTCCACTCCACTCCCCAGGAGGGAAAATTTTGAGAGACTCCTGGCTTTCCCTTCTCTCTCTTCTTCCTCACCGCAGGAGGTGGAATGCCTTACTTGATTGGCGAGACGGAAAAAGGACTCAGTGCCTCTTAAATACTCGTATAGTGCTCACTATGTGCCATACACAGTCCCAAACCCTTTACAATTATGAACGCATTAGATCGTCACAAGAATTCGGGGATGTGAGTACTATTACTAAGGCCATGTTATAGGTGAAAACTGGGTCAGAGGCATTAAGTCACTTGCCATGGTCACTTGTAGCCAGTGCGTGGGTTTGAACTTGGTCAGTCCAGCTCCAGAGTCTGTGCACTATGCTGCCTCTTGATGGACATGGCTTGGGCCCTTTCTCTCTCTCTTTTGAGGAGGTTCTGCTCCCACCCTGCCTGCTGGGTGTGCAGCTGTGATTCAGGGACGGTGCACCAGCTCTGGGGACCCAGCCCTGCCTCAGATGTGTGCCCCCACAGTCCAGACTAGAGGGGAGGAGTAGAAAGCCTCATAGTGGCCACACAACCAGACCACATTCTCTGATCTGCTAAAGCTGATCTCTAAGCTGCTGACCTGCCTGATGCCTGAGCTGGAAGGGAACATGCAGGGTGATTAACATTCACTCCTTACCCCTAGAGACAGAAAGATGACCAGGCACAGGCATGCTCTCCAGGGACTCGTAAAGGTGATGTATTCAAAGCTGCCTATCATAGTGGGCTCTCAGCTGTAAGTGAGGCAGTGGTTCCCTTCACAGATGGGAGAAACAGCCAGGGGAGAGGTGCAAGCAAAGGGTCCATACTATCAAACGCAGATGTGAATTCTAACCCCACCACTGACTTGCTGTGTGACCCTGGGTGAGTCATTTACCCTCCCTGTGCCTGCATCCTCATCTGTACAGTAGGGATAGTAATCCATACCCCTGACAGGCACTGAAAGGGTTAGATTAGATCACTTGTGAAATTTCCCCAGCCAACTTAGCCCTCTGTAGGTGATTAACTAATGCTGCCCTTTCCCTCTGTGCTTTCAGCATCTGGCATGTGGCAGGTGCTCAAGGTTAAGGTGGTGCCTAAATGACCAATGGTGCTTTCTCTCACATTCCTTAATCTGCAGAGCAATCCTAAACCAGAGACACTTTCATCCCTGTTTTATAAGTGGAGTACTGAGGCTCAGAGAGGTGACGTGCCCAGGGTGGCTTGGCAGTAGGGCCAGGGCAAGACTTACGCCTGGCTGAGCCACAGGTGGGGCTGAGGCCTTGCCTCCGTGACAGTCCCCAGCGGCTCCGCTCTGGAGTCATGTCCATGAAAGTGCACACTCAGCGAGCGTGGGAGGGAATTGCAGACCCCTGCAAAACCAGGAAATGATTGTCTGGCTGCCTCCCAACCCAGACCGGATTAAAGAGCAGTAACCAGATCCTGTTGGGGACGAAGGGGAAACCAAGGTGGATGGCGTGAGTGATGAGAGACACTTGCACACCATGAAGAAGGGGCCTCCTCTTTCCCCACATCTGGAGGGTTGTGTGGGCCTTGTTTGATTTCATTTCATTCTGCCAGAAAGATGCAGACCTCCTGGCCAGGGTTCAGAGCAGATGAGAAGGGATGATTCAGAGCCAGGGGACACATGTGTGAGGAAAGATTAGCAGTGGAGGAAGACATAAGGCCGGGGTGACTCAGGGCAGATCAAAGCTGTGGGGCTCAGCGAGATGAGATGAGGAATGTTTTCCTGGGGCTGTGGGGCCAGGGTGGCTCTGGAGGCAAGAGGGAAACTCAGGAACGCCTTGGAACCGCAGGCCAGGGCGGGGATCTAAGGTCCTGAGTGGGGAACAGGAGGGAAGCTGCACCCTTGGGTGTCAGTGGTGCAGGTCCCTGTGGGTGTGTGTCGGTCAGTATGGTGCAGTGGATGGAGCACCATGGTGGATGCCATAGGTTCCTGTCCTGGCTCTGCTGATGGCCAGCTGTGTGACCTTAGGTGGGTCACTTCCCTCTCTGTGCCTCAATGTCCTCCTCATTCCCTCAACACACATTTCCTGAGGATCTATGATGTGCTGAACACTGCCGGCCACTGGGGAGTAATTCAGTGTGGAAACATAAAGTGCAATGTAGGGGGAGTTATGCGAGCATCAAACAGGTGCCCCTAACTGTATCTAGGAGGGGGAGAAGGCTAACCCGAGACCAGACACACGGCCAGGAGGGAGCTAGGTGAAGAGGAGGGAGAGTGCTGCTCCAGGAGGAGAAACAGAGGTCCCAAGGCCTGGTGGCTAGAGACAGCGAGGCATGTGTGAGGATCCAGAGGCCTGCAGAGGTGGAGCGGCTAGAGACACAACTGGGGAGGTAGGTAGGGCAGCTCCTGGAGGGCTTGTGGGCCATTATGAACCCACAGCTTTATCCTGAGGATGTCTATGTCATGGGGATGGTGAGCCTCCCTGAAGAAGGGCCTTTGGACCAGCATAATCAGGTTCAAATCTTGGCCTCAGATCCCACTAGGATGATGTTAACAAATAAGCCACTTAGCCTCTGCTGCCTCATTTTCCTCATATATAAATTAGCAGTACCACTTCATACCTCATGAATTGTTTTGCTGAATAAATGGGCTGATACATATAAAGCATTTAATACTAGCATCCAGTATACACTAAACACTCAATAAGTGTTGGTGATTATTGTTGTTGGGGTACTATAAATAATGCTATCAGCAGATTGTCTGGCATCTCAAAGAGTTCATCGTGTCCTCGGAAAATTCCTCCCAAGGCATCCTTTTCAATCTGGCTTCAGCCCTCAGGGCCTGGCCCTCCCCTGCCTCTGCCTTTGTGGAGGGCCGTGGCTGGACAGGGCTGGTGAGTCACAAATTAGGGCTAAGGCCAATAGAGCCTTGGTGTGTTGTTTCCTGGGACCTTCCTCCGTACCTTCCCTACCATGTCTGAAGCTGCCCCTAGACCCCCTGGATCAGAACGAGGAGAAGGGTTGGGGTTGGAAGGTCCCCACAGCATGGGCAGAGTGGAGGAGTGGCAGGCAGGAGGTGACTACCTCTCACACTCCATGCTTGACACCCACTTGCGCATGGGGGACAGGATCCTCCCATCCTCCGTGAACACCCCCAGGACTGTGCTCACCATTCCTGTTCACTGTCAAAGAAACAGAGGCCCAGAGAGGGGAAGCTGTTAGCCCAAAGCCACACAGAAGCTGGTGGCCAGGCTGGGGCTCAAACCCAGGACTGAGAGGTGCACAGGGAGGGGTTTGAAGGCCCTGCTGAGGCCTCTGCTGTTCTCTCCAGTGCCCCCAACTCCCCACTCCTGGCCCATTCCTGTCCAGCCAGCCCAGCTTATTCAGCATTGCCACACTCACCAGGCCCTCTGAAGCCTCAGGCTTTAGCATATTTTTCCCCCATTGCCTGCTTAGGACTGCCACTCCCAGACGGGACAATGCTGGGAAGACAGCACCTCTTCCAGGAAGTCTTCCCTGCTCTTTACACATCTACCCCTAGCTGGGTTGGGGCCCTCTCAGCCTCCTCTGCCTCCCAGGATTATTACTTTCACTGCGGGTCATTATCTTTTACCTACAGGACTGAGAGCTCCTTGAGCATAGGATTGGGAGCTGAGTCATCTGTCTGCTCATGCCCAGCACAGGGTCAGGCACAGAAGAGCCTGCTGATAAGATTGTAAAGGGATGGATAGATGGACAATGGACAAGTAAACACTGTGGTCCATTAAATGCAAAATGGCCCATATCCTCCACCCCCTCTATGTTCACCCCATTGCAATGGGACTCTGAAGCTTCTTCCATCAAGAGGTGGACTTTGTTTCCTCAGCTCTTGAATCTGAGCTAGTCTTTCATTTTGACCAATAGAATACATCAGAAATTGTAATATGCCTGATCCCAGATTAGATCTCAAGAGCCTTGTGTACTTCTGTCCTCTCTCTCAGAACCCTGCCACATCATGTAAACAATCCCGGACTAGCCTGCTGGAGGAAGATAGACTGTGGAACAGAATTGAGTTCCACAAGGCTCCAGAGACATGAGAGAACCCAACTGAGATCAGCAGAGCAGCTACCTCACCCATGGCTGACCACAGATGTATGAGTGTGTCCAGAAGAACTTTCTGGTGGCCCCATAGGTTTGTGAACAATAATAAATGCTTATCATTTTACCCTATTGAGTTTGGGGGTATTTATTATACAGCAATAGCTAGCTGATATAAATACATAAATAAATGAATGGAAGTAATTGTACCATCAAGGCACAGTAGTAAAGGGAGGAATGGAATGCCAGCCTCCTGGTATTCTCACCTTATACAGGTCATGGCTGCCCAGAACAGCATCAAACAGCATGTAGAGATCGTTGAGCAAGCCCACCGCCTCAATGGGTTCACTCAGGGCTGAGATGATGGTGAAACCCACAATGTCACTGAAGTATATGGTAACCTGGTCAAAATACCCTGGTTCCACAGTTGCCCCCATTTTCCGAGCTTCAGCCACAGACCTGAAGGGATGGGAGGGGCCAGACACATAAGGTATGAGGGTCTATTTTTGACAGTTTGGAGGCTAGGAAGGGATATTTGAGAGGAAACTGTGTTGAGCATCAGCAGATCTGGTTCAAGTCTGCTGCAGTGCTGACTGCCCTGGAGTGAATACTTGCCCTCTCTGGACATGACTTCCTCTGAAGTGATATTGGGGTGGGGGAAGCATTGTGCCCAGCTCCTTGCTCCCAAGGATGTGAGAGAGCAGAAATTCTACTCACATGCCCAACAGAGTACCTGGCACATGGTGAGGGCTCTATAAAAATATGTTGTATAAGCCATGTGCAGTGGCTCACGCCTATAATCCCAGCACTTTGGGAGGCTGAGGAAGGAGAATCACTTAAGGCCAGGAGTTTGAGGCCAGCCTGGGCAACATAGTGAGACCCTGTATCTAAAATAATAGTAATAAACAAAACTAACTAAACTAACTAACTAAACAAAATAATGTGCTGCATAAGAAAAATGTTAGATACATAAACATGGATGAGTGAATTGAATAAATTCATGGAATCCAGATCTGCTGAGCACCCACTATATTCCAGGCCCTGTGCTTAGAGCTAAGGCTAGAGGCACACTCAAGTCCAGGGGCCACTCACGGGGGAATCATCTGACAGAGCAGCCTTTCTGTCTTCTCTCTCTTCAGCTCCAGTTCCTCAGTCTGCTCCTGAATCAGGTCCTCCAGGTTCTGGGAATATTTCTCCAGCAACCACAGCATGGAGTCAGCAACACTGGTCCTCTTGCCTTGGTTGATGCTTTTGAACTGAAAATGGAACAAAAATGCCAAGTCATCCATGAAGGTCAGCACACCTGGTCCTCAGCTGGGAGTCTGGGGCCACAGAAATGCACCAAACAGAATCCCCGCTTGAAGGAGCTGCATTGTTGTGGGGAATAGATATGTAAATTACAGGGGGATGGTGGCTCTGACAAGGGAAAAGTGCAGTCAGCTTTGTGCCAGATTAACGGGTTAATTCTGTGTGGGGTGGGCAGGCAGCAAGAGGACTTTGCAAAGGAGCCTGTACCCAGCACAGCATTATGGTTAACAAACACAATCCTATTGCACTGGGTCTCACAACAACGCTGTGAGATTCTTTGTTCTTCTCAAAGATAGACAGACAGACAGACAGATAGATAGATAGATAGATGATAGATAGATAGATAGATAGATAATAGACAAACAGATGGATGGTTGGACAGATGGACAGACAGATGGATGGATGGATGGATGGATGGATGAACAGATGGTTGGATGGATGGATGGATGGATGGACAGATGGAAGGGTAGGTGGATGATGGATGGATGGATAGATAGAAAGAATATATGTAGATTATTTATACGTATAATCTGTCTCTATTTCTACTTTGTTCCTCCGAAATTTTAATGATGAAGAAGAATAAAAGCAGTACCACACAATAAAATAATAAACGTGTGAGGATATTAGGACCAAAGGAGAGTAAAGCCTTTTTTTAAAAAAAGGTAAATCTAGGAGTGAAATCTGTATGCAAAATCCATGCTAGAATTTGGTCACCATTTTGGATATGAGCTTCCTAGCAACAAAGCAAAGAGGGAAATATAGATTACACAATCCATGGGGTCCATAAGACAATGAAACATTAAACTAATTGCTCAAAAGAAATACAACTACTCCTAGTGCCAAGCAAAGAGAAAAGCCTCTTAGTTCTTTGTATGAGAACCCTTATGTGTGATCATAAACTACATCTTCAACAACAACCTTACAGGACATCTGGCAGCAGTTTTCCTAGGAAGACTTACTAGAACCTTACCCAGTGTGGTTTGCACCTTCCCAGAGTGCAGTCAGTAAGAGAAGCAAATCAATGATGGTCAAAGTGAAGGGGTCCATGCTTGCCAAAATCCAGCATCTTGAACGTGTAAGAGTGTGTGCGTGTGTGCGTGTGCACGTGTGTGTGTGTGTTGTGTGTGTGTGTAGGTATGCACATCCAACCTCCATTAATGCCACATCTCTCAGCCAAATGTCTGCAAGGTAGGGAGTGGCAGCAGCCCCTGAAATGCACCTATTTTGTATTGTCCAACAAAAGCTTTACAGGGTGAGCATGACAGCTGCTGACCTTGAGACACCAACAAGGACATGAAGCCAACTCCAAGGTCACCTCTGCATGGAAGGTCACCATTTCATAAATGAAGAGACAAAGGATCTGAGAGGTGGAATAACTTGCCAAGGAGCACACAGTGGTGGATCTGAGTTTCAAACTAAAGTCTTTTATATTAATTTTATCACCAGGCACCCCACTGAATTATTTTATCATTTGGAATTATGTATATTTCTTCTTCCTTTCCAAAATTAATTTTCTCATCTAATTGCATTGGCTACTACTCCTAGAACAATGTGAAATGAATATAAACCCAGGCCTTTTTTTTTTTTTTTTCGAGGCAGAGTTTCGCTCTTGTTATCCAGGCTGGAGTGCAATGGCGCAATCTCGGCTCACCACAACTTCTGCCTCCCGAAACCCAGGCCTTTTGACTTTAATGTCAGTGTTCTTTCTCTTGTACCTTACTCACTCTCTCCTTCTCAAAGAGCTACATTTAAAAAAAATTAGTTATCTCACTGGATGGTCACACCTATCTGGAGAGTTAGGCCAGGGTTAGTTATCTTTCCAGGAAACATACAGGGAGGCTGAGGCCCAAGAGGACCATTAACTTGTCCAAGGTCAAACAGTGGGTAAGTGGGATGATTATCCACTGGATTCTCACATAGATGTGAATCCAGGCATCTGACCCCTCACCTCCCCACAGTGTGATGCCATTCCCCCCTTCTTCAGGTGGAATTCATGTGTGCCCATCTCAGCCTTCTTTGCCATGGGGCCTTGGCCAGGAATCTTGGGCAAGAATCCCACAGTCACCCCTCACTCAAGGCAAGAGCCCTTCCCCACCTCACTGGCCATGGCAACCTCCGATCCCCTGGAAAGATTCCAAGCTTGTGCTTTAGAAACTGGTTGCTCACCCTAGCTCTGCTACCCACCATTATGGTGACTGTTTAGAGGTCATTTACTCTGAGCTCTAGATTTCTCATCTGTGGAGGGGGGCACCACCCCTGATGCCAGAGCTAAGTGGGGAGGGGTTGTGGGAAGAGAGGGGATGGGCAGGGCTTCTCAAAGGACACCTGTGTGCGTCTCCTTGGACTGCCTTGCTGCCTCTCTCCCTCTCATCACCTGTCCTAACCCCTTTATTGTTCCCTGAACCACTCCTTGGCAACTCTCCACCATGGCTGGGGTGTGGAGGACGGGGAGGGGAGGCACTGTTCCCTTGGGTCTGATGGGTTGGCCCCGTGGAAGCCATCGGCCAGCTTCGTCATGTTCACATACTCCACTGCTGCCCTGCCAGCTTGCACAGACTTGCCTTGCCCCTCCCACTGAAATCCCCAAGGCAGTCCTGGGGGGCCCCAGGGCCCCTCACATTTTCCCCTCACTGACTCAGGAAGTAGTACTGTCTCCACAGCCACAGTGGCCTCTCTCCTCTAGTGCCAGAAGGCCTGGTACAAGGCAGGGTTCCTGGTACAGCTCTGCAGAAAGACAGACAGACCTGGGTTGGACTCCAGCCCCATCTTTCACTTGCTCAGTTACCTTGGGCAAGTCCCCCCACCTCTCCAGGCCTCATTTCTCTCCCACGAAGCCAAGAAACTAACACTGTTTCTTCAGAGGGCTGTGGCGAGGATGAAAGGAGGGGAGCATGGCCCTCAGCATGGGGCTTGACACTCAGGAAGGCATGGGACAAACGTCCCTGGAACCTGTGGTCCTAAGAAAGTTCTCCTTAAAAGGTGGACCTCAGGGGTGACAGTGCTGGGTGGTTGCCCCTTACTGCATGGCTTTCCAGGTCCCAGGGAACTCACAGGGCTTGCATTGAGCTAAGTGAGCTGAACGAATGGGCCATTTTTTGTGAGCACCTGCTCCTCTGGGGAGCACTCACCTGGCTGTAGATCTGGTCCATGCTAGGTCTGTCCTCTGGAGCCTCGTCCCAGCACTTCTTCATCAGCCAACGCACTCAGGCGGCCCGTGATCAGGGGTCACCAGCGGCCGGCACAGAGGAGGGGGAGATGCCACCCTCCTGATGATTTCGGCAACCAACACCATGGGGCGGGCCTGGGGTCCTGGGAAAGGTCATGAAAGGAGCCTGGCCTCGGATCCTGAGAGCGTGGGCAGAGTAGGCTTATGGCGGTGCCAGGTTCTGGGCCTGAGGATATTCCTCAGCTCCTGTTTCCAGGGTATGGCTGGCCAGTGGATGTGGCATTATTGTTCTCCTGGGTCTACCCTGGGTGTGGCCAAGGAAAGGGTCTCAAACTGGGGGCCAGGAGAGCCGCGAGCTGGTTTTGAATTCTGGATCTGCCACCACAATACTATGGGATGGTGGAGAAGACAATGACCTCTCTGAGCCTTAGTCTCCCGATCTGTGAAATGAGCATATAAACTGCCTTCTTTTTTCTTTTTTTTTTCTGTTCTTTTTTTTTTTTTAATGTCGCGATCCCAGCTCACCACAACCTCTGCCTCCCAGGTTCAAGCGATTCTCCTGCCTCAGCCTCCAGGCATGCACCACCACGCCCAAATAATTTTGTATTTTTCATAGAGATGGGGTTTCTCCATGTTAATCAGGCTGGTCTCAAATAAACTGCCTTCTTGAGAGGAGTGCTGAGGTGGAAGACGACGGATGTTAGCACCTGGCAGACTCTCCCCCACCCTCAGGCCCCGCAACAACTGCCGCTGCTCTGTTGCCAACAATGCCCACCAATGATCTTGAAACCTTGACAGCGCAGCTCTTTCCTCCAGCCTTGCCACGCAGACACTGGCGTGCCGGTTCCCCACAGGTGTGAACGACACTGCCTGCTTATCATTATCATCATCATTATGATTCTGTCCTCAAGAAAACCTGGCCACATGTCATCCTGTCTCCACACCAGGCTAAGTCAGTGCTCTAGTTCTGCTATGACTCTGAGCCTCAGTTTCCCCACCTAACAACTGATGGAAATAACCCCTGCCTCGGGGGGGCTGCTGGAGAGCCAGGGGGAGCCGAGCGATTCTAAAGTAGGCTGGGGGGAAGAGGGGCTGACACCGAGCTCAGGCTCTGGAGTCCACAGATCAGAGCGGGACTTTAGACGACCCATTTACAGTCCGCACAAGGCGCATCGCCTCTCTGAGCCTCAGCTTCCTCACCTGGAAGACGGGTATAACCATACTACATATTTGGAAGGGTTGTCATGAGGCAGAGTAGGTTAATCTCCTCTGAGGAGGGCCGGGATCCTCCTCTCATGAGTGAGGGAGGTGGGAGCCCTTGGAGCCAGGGAGGAGAAATTTCTTTCTGGGTTTCAGTCCCCTTCCCATCCCTTTTTGGCTTCTTGTTGGGGATAGTGCAGGAGTCACCATTCCATTTTACAGACAGGGAAACTGAGGCTCCTGGGAGTGAAATCAGGTACCCACATAGGGCCAGTCAAAAGCAGACACTAGAACGGGGCCTGGTTTGCACCCAGCCTGCACGATCTCCTCTGCCCAGAGGTTCCCAGCCTACAGGCGTTAGACCCTGAGGGCCCCCGAGTGTGGGATCTGGGAAGTCATATGTGCTTACAAAAGACTGTGTGCTGATGGAACCAGTCATACACCACATGCACACATGTACTACTGATTTTCAAAGGTATGCAGATGGCACTGTAACGAATACAAACAAATCCATTTCAAAGTGTTGCTGATTTCACAGCCGATTTTATCATTGGGTATGTTCTCAGTTAGTGGATATTAGAAGTCAAATAGTAGCATAAGAGGCTCTAACCATTTTTGACATTAAAATGGAGTCTTCATAAGTGAACATGCTGGGAACCCCTGCCCCAGGCCAGGCTAGGTCTCATGCTCCCCTCACTGCGCCAGGCATGCTGTCCACACCCCAGGCATAGCCATGATTTATGGACAGTGCTGAGGGCTGGGGGAGGAGGCTGAGCATCCAGCTCTGGTGGGATCTGGCTGGGCTCTAAGAGGATGCCCCACGGATGACACCAAGAGATTTTAGAACACTGAGCTTGGACCAGGGATGTCCACCCAATCCCAGGTCCACAGCTTCCCCTCTGAGAAGTCCCTTCCACTCTCTGAGCCTCACTGAACTCTAAAAGGGGGGCGATTAGCCACCTCCCAGGGTTGTCAAATGGAATCATGCACATGAAAGTGCCTTGGGAACTGCAAAGTGACCCCCCACCCACAGGATCCTAAAGAGATGTTAGAGTCAGGAGAGAGCCTGGGACCCCCCTTAGCACGCTCCTCACATCACCCTGCAGATATTTATTGAGGACCCACTGCATGCCAGGCCCTCTGTCTACAGCATTTCACTGAATCCTCACAGCTGCGCTGGAAGGCAGACATCATGGTTCCCATTTTACAGATGAGAACACTGAGGCTTGGAGCCTAAAAGGGATTTACTCAAAGTCACGAGGCATGTTGGTGTGGAGCTGGGCTTAGGATGGTGTTCCCTGGAGCCTGTGGCGTGAGCCCTGTACTCCCTGAGGCCTAGGAAAGCACACAGCAGGAAGCAGTGGGCCCTAGGCTGACAGCCTCCTCAAGGGTGGCCAGAGCATTCCAGACCTGGGTCCCTGCACCCAAAGCTGGATGGAGCCAGGCCTGGAGCGCCTTGCACTGGTGGCATGGCTTGCAGATCCCATCTGGCCAGTCCTTCCCTCCTCAGAGGCAGATGATGGGGAGGCAGCCGAGGAGTGTTGAACAAATGGTCTTATAAGGCCCCCCTTCTTCCCACTCCTCCACCTCATAAATTTGGGCCTGGAATGCTCATTATTCACAGGGCTGTGGTGGAGAAAGGCAGTGGGGCTGGGTCTCCTGTGAATTAAAGATTATCCACTGGGGTGGGAGCTGATGGTGAGCTCGGCACCGTCACTGCTCTGCACTGTGGGCCGAGGTGCCAGGTGTCTGTGGAGGGCCAGGTCCCTGGGACTGGGAAGAGGCAGCAGGAGGATGACAGAAAGAGAAGTCTGGGGTCCAGGGAGCCAGACAGAGAGCACAGAGGGGAGGAAACATTTTTGGAGTTGGGCCTTGGCACTGGGGCTGGAAGAGAGAAAGTGTGTACAGGCCAGGTGACGATGGGGAAGCTGCAAGTGATTATCCTGGGGAGCCAGAAGTGTGAGGACAGAGATGCTCTGAAGGAGCCTGCCTGGGCAGGTAACGAAGCCCCGTGGTATTGAGCAGCCTGGCCACGTTGGCCAAGGGGCTGGGGATCTGGCACATTGGTTACTGGATTCCCATTTATAGATGACAACACTGAGGCTCAGAGAGGGTAAGCGGTTTGTGTAAGGTCACAGAGTAAGACAGTGACACAGCTGGAGTAGGGCTGAGCTCTGTGTAGCCTGTGCTGGGCATGGAGGGCAGGTGCAGGCGGGGCATGAGCACCTACAGGCATGGCAGTGACACTGGGGAGGAAGGCAGGGGCGGGGATTTTCACCCAGAGCACAACGTCCTTAGCCCCTGGAGTGGGTCAGCTGCTATTCTGGCAGAGTTGCTGAAGGCTGTAGGGAAAAGAAAGAGAAATCAGACTGTTACTGTGTCTATGTAGAAAGGGAAGACATAAGAGACTCCATTTGGAAAAAGACCTGTACTTTAAATAATTTCTTTGCTGAGATGTTGTTAATTTGTAGCTTTGCCCCAGCCACTTTGACCCAACCACTTTGACCCAACCTGGAGCTCACAAAAACATGTGTTGTATGAAATCAAGGTTTAAGTGATCTAGGCCTGTGCAGGACGTGCCTTGTTAACAAAATGTTTACAAGCAGTATACTTGGTAAAAGTCATCGCCATTCTCTAGTCTCAATAAACCAGGGGCACAATGCACTGCGGAAAGCTGCAGGGACCTCTGCCCTGGAAAGCTGGGTACTGTCCAAGGTTTCTCCCCATGTGATAGTCTGAAATATGGCCTCATGGGATGAGAAAGACCTGACCGTCCCCCAGCCCGACATCCGTAAAGGGTCTGTGCTGAGGTGGATTAGTAAGAGGAAAGCCTCTTGCAGTTGAGATAGAGGAAGGCCACTGTCTCCTGCCTGCCTCTGGGAACTGAATGTCTTGGTATAAAACCCGATTGTACCTTTGTTCAATTCTGAGATGAGAGAAAAACCGCCCTATGGTGGGAGGTGAGACATGTTTGCAGTAATGCTGCCTTGTTATTCTTTACTCCACTGAGATGTTTGGGTGGAGAGAAACATAAATCTGGCTTACGTGCATGTCCAGTCATAGTACCTTCCCTTGAACTTCATTATGACATAGATTCCATTGCTCACATGTTTGTTGCTGACCTTCTCCTTATTATCACCCTGCCCTCCTACTACATTCCTTTTTGCTGAAATAATGAACATAATAATCAATAAAAACTGAGGGAACTCAGAGACCGGTGCCGGTGCAGGTCCTTGGTATGCTGATCGCCGGTCCCCTGGGCCCACTATTGTTTCTCTATACTTTGTCTCTGTGTTTTATCTCTTTCTCAGTCTCTCGTCCCACCCAACTAGAAATACCCACAGGTGTGGAGGGGCAGGCCACCCCTTAAAAGGCTGCCCGGTTTAAGTCAAGTTCTCATGGTCAGACTTTAGGTGTGTGTGTCTATGTGGTCTTCAGGCCCAGATTTCCTGATTGCCATAGAATTTCCCACTAGGCAGAGACTCTAGCCAGGGACAGCCAAGAAAGGGGAGGAGGATACCTACCTTCCACTGGAAGTCCCGAGGAGCAGTAGAGTGGGCCCGAGTCAGCACCTCCTGCAGGATGATGCCAGTGCTGAAGATGTCCCCTGTGAGGGTGCGCCGCCCAGGGCGCCCAGGCCCCGGCAGCAGCTCAGGAGCTGTCCATAGCAGCTCTGCAATCATAGGGCAGGGCCATGCCACCATTACCTGCTGACCACCCAAGCCAGGCTGGGTGCATGTATTCTCCCCAATTCACAGGTAAAGAGCCTACAGCTTGTTCAGAGAGGAGAAGCGATCAACTCAAGGTCACCAATACCAGAGGACTGGAGATCTCCCTCTCCCTGCACCTTACAAGCACCTGGTTAAACAGAGGCCCCCAAACCTACTGGCAGCCCCCTGCCTATCCCTGAGCTGACCTTCTGGGGCTGGCCAGGGTTGGGGATCCTGCTAAGTGTCCAGGGGCTCTGCATAACCATGGTCAGTGACCTTGAGCACAAAGCATCTGTCCACCACACAGTTTTGGAACTTGAGGCAGCCAGGAGGGAAATGGTGGTGGTGCAGATACCTCATGCCCTGAGATGGACATAATGGGGGTCCATTGGATCTGTAACGAATGAGAGGAAACCTGGTTCTCTCGGAATTCCCACAAGCCCCAGAAAGCCTTCCTGCCTCCCTGTACCCGTGGCCATGCAGTTTGGATATCCCTGGATTAGACAAAGCTGAAAGAGCCCAGCTGTGGGAAATCTGAGCATCTCCTGTCTCCCTGCCATCCCCACTTCCCTGCAGTGCCAGGCCCAGGGAGGGATCTCATGCAGATCAAATCCAGCAGCAGGGAGGCCTTGAAGGTCCAGTCTAGGTGCAGGACCTCTTTCCGAAGCAGGTTCCCCAGAGATCACGAAAATGCCCAGGCAGGTGGCGACGTTCTCACACCGCAGCTCCCGCATCTGTCAGGGAAATTGGCACCTTAGCAGCCCTCAGGGGCCGTTCGAGGGCTGGACCAGGTGCAATCCACATCTAGGCCACCTGCTCTTAGCACCAAGCACAAGGCTAAGCATGGAGAGGCATCAGAAATGTTGAATGAATGGATGGAAAAACAGACAGATGGATGAATGGGTGGGTGGTGAGGGATGGATGGAGGATGGATGGATGAATGTATGCATGGATAGATGGTGGTGGGTGGTAGATGGATAAATAGATGGATGGGTGGGTGGGGAGCTGGTGGGTAGGCAGGTAGATGGGTGGGTGAGTGGTTGATGGGTGGGAGGGTGGATGGATGATGGGTGAATGGGTGGGTGAGTGGGTACTTGGTGGGCTGGTGGGTAGATGGGTGGGTGGATGGATGGATGAGTGAATGGGTGGGTGGCTGGGTGGATGGATGGGTTGGTGGGCGATTGGTCAGTGGGTGGATGGGTGGTTGGTGGGTGGGTGAGTTGTTGGGTAGGTGGATGGGTGGTTGGTGGATGGGTGTTTGCATGGTTGGTGAGTGGGTGGGCAGATGGATGGGTGGATGGGTGGGTGGATGAACGGGTGGATGGGTGGGTGGATGAATGGGTGGATGGATGGATGGGTGAGTAGATGGGTGGTTGGTGGGTGGGTGGTGAATGGGTGAATGAGTCAATAGGTGGATAAATGGCAGATCACTTGAAGCCAGGAGTTCTAGATCAGCCTGGCCAACATGGTGAAACCCTGTCTCTACTAAAAATACAAAAATTAGCTGGGTGTGGTGGTGCACACCCGTAATCCCAGCTACTTGGGAGGCTGAGGTGGGAGGACCGCTTGAGCCCGGGAGCCGGAGGTTGTAGTGAGCTGAGATTCAGCCACTGCACTCCAGCCTGGGTGAAAGAGCGAGACCCTGTCTCAAAAAAAAAAAAAAAAAAAAATCTACTCACATAGTTGCAAGATGCCCACTGGGAAATGCCTAACTTAACTTCCAGTCACTTAATCCTTCTGAACTTTATTTCAGACTGTGGTGATATTGGAGATATCAATAAAATTCACCATGTATCAAAAGCACACCACTTGCCAGGAAGAGTTCTAAGTTATTTCATGCATTCTCTGCAATCATAATCCCCCAGAAGGTGGCTATCACTAGCTCCATTTTACAGGAAAGCTAAGAGTTCCATGGAGGCAAGATTTCACCCAGATCTTCCTGACTCAAGTCTCATGCTCTGTCTCCATCCCTCAGTGCCTCTCAGGATGGTAATGATCTTGGGGGTGAAAATGCTTATGTGGTTAGTGATAACAGGTGCTTAGGATCTCCCTGAGGGAGGGGACTTTTTCTCTCTTCTCCATTCTGTATCCCCAAAGCCCAGAACACTGCACATAAGTGCCTGGCACATAAGTGATGCTCAGTAAACAGTGAATAAAAGAAAGGATGGGTAAAGGGAGGGGGCTGCAGGATGAGGTCCCTTCATGATGAGTTGCCATGCGAGGGCATTGATGGAGGACACTGCGCCCTGGTGGTTATGGGGATTATGGGTTATGGGGTGGTGACGTGGCTTTAAGGATGCTGGCATGGGACAGTGACAGCAATAGTGAACCACTGTGATTGAGGCATTGGCAGTGGGCAGGATCATGATGGCAAGAATAATTTCCTCTTTGAGACCAACCTGGATCAGTAAGGGTGTCCTGAGCAGCCTCACTCCCCACCCACCTTCTGCGCCCTCTACAGCCCTGCCTTCCTCGGGAGGCTGAGGCAGCTTGGGCGCAGCTCAGGGTCTGAGCCCACTTCACACTTCTTCAGCCACACCCGGTCTCCCTGTTCAAGGAAGAGCAAGAGTTTAGCTGCTGCTGCTCCTCAGCTGTGGGACCTCAGGAAAACCCCTCTACCTCTCTCAGCTCAGTTTCTTCCCCATCAACGCATTCCTTCTGTGTGTTCTGAGCCAGGCACAGCCTGGTGAGCGGAAACATTTGCTATAAGCCGGGCAGAGCCAAGGGCCGGGCTTTGGCTGATGGACTCCAGTTCCAGTCCTGACACCACCACTTTCCAACTCTGTGACCTGGGGTGGGTGACTTCAGTTCTCTGAGCTGCAGGTTCCAAATCTGTAAAGTGAGGATGATAGCACCCACCCACATCTCAGGGGCTTAATGAGATGGTGGGTATCAAGTATGCTCGCCCCTGGTCTACAGCTTTGCCCTGCAGGCCTCAGGCCCTCATGACACCCCTAACCCTGTGAACTGCTTGGGTGGGGAGCTCTGTCACCTGGGGATTCATGGTGAGGAGAGAGGGGCGGGTGGGAGAGGAGGGGTCCCAGGTGGGGGCTCTGCCCTTGCCTTGGCCTGGCCCAGAGCTAGCTGTAACCTTGGCCTTCTCTCTTCCATCACTGATGGGTTTTGCCTCTCAGCCTCACCTACAGCCCGTCAGCCAACTCGGAGAAGCAGACAAAACACTCTTTGAACACCATTAAAGCCTCCTTGCAGCAGAAAAGAAAAAAAGATGGAATTCCCTCAGGGGACAGGTAGAAAAGAAGGAGCAAGCAGCTCATGTTGCCTCTGTAGAAACAACTAGCCCGGCTCATCTACCGTGAGAGTCTTGGTGTAGGTGAATCATAGCAACCATGAATTGTTGAACTTGAGAATGACAGCACCTGAGAAATGGCGGCATCCTCAGCGTCCTGAGATCTTGCTGAGCTCACCTCTGACCGCCCAGCCGCCCTGCCAGCTGGTGGCCCCGGCTCTGCCCGAGGCTATCCTGGGCTGGGTGCTGCCCCCACATGTCAGGGCCTGGGAGACCCAGGATCTCACCTTACCTAAGCAGGCAGGAGGGTGACCTAGGCTGGCCTTGGTCCCTAAGAAAGGCCCTGGGGTGAGCCGCACTGGCAGCATTGAGGGCCAAGGGCCTGGGAACTGGCTGTTCCTTCAGGTCAGATGATGAACCATGCTGGGCCAGGAGCTGGGGTTCTACTTTCCACTCCTAGCCCTGCTGCCAACTTGCCAAGGGACCCAGGAAAGGCACTGCTCCTATCTGGGCCTCAGTTTCTCAGTCTGTAACAGGAGTAGGCCATACAGAGGCCCAAGAGGTTATGGGCTCCCTCGGCTTCTCCCAAACGGACTGCAGCTGCCTAGGCCTGGGCATAGGGGTGGCAGAGGCCCTCGCTTGGTACAGGGCCACATTGGTGGGTTCCCGGGGGGCTGGCAGACTCTTTGCTGACCCCTGGGCCACTGACCTCAGGCTCCCACCATCCGCCACACTTCTCCATTCACCATCCACATGCAGCCTCTGGAGGGGGCAGCCGTGGTCAGGAGCGTAGACTGGGCCTCTGTCTGCTGTCCGCCCACTCAGCTTAGCCCCTGCCCTACCCACCTGTCTGTTCAGGGGTGGATGGATGAAGGTGAGCTCCTGGGCTGTCAGCAGGATCCGGTGGGGGCCCCACACCAGCTGCAGCTGGTGGATGCCCAAACTGGAGGCAAGAGAAGGGGCAGGGCAGTGGGAGTGATGCCAACGTCCCCTCCCAGCCTCAGTCTGGCCTCTGACTCAGAGCCGTCACCTTTCCTCTCCCCGTTTCCATTTCTGTCTCACTGTCAGTCCCAGCTGGGTCAGGAGGGCACTGAACACTGTCTTCACACAGGCCCTCTGCCTCGGGCTCGGGTCTGGAACCCCTGGGCCTGATGCATCTGCTGGTCCCCAGTCGCAACGTTCCCAAGTTGCCAAGAGTCCTCGTGGGGCAGCCCAGAGAGGGCTGGGATTGGAAGGCTGCCCGCTTCCAGATGCGCCTGAGACTCAGGGATGGTTTGGATTCAGGAACACACAGGAATTTAGACCCCAGGGAGAATTGTTTTCAAAGCTGGAGGGCCCCTGGGAGTCATTCTGGCCAACCCCATCACTATACAGATGGGGAGCCTGAAGCTCAGGGTGTGGAGCACGTCCAGGGTCATGGGCTTCTTCCTCAAGTCTCAAACGGACCTTCTCAGGAGGCAGCCAGGGCCTTGACAAGTCCTGGCTGGGGCTCTGGGACGGACAAGAGCACCGGGGGCCCTAGGGTCCTGGGAGACGGAGGCTGGGAAAGCCCCCTGTAGACTGCCGGGGCTGAGCACACAGAAGGGAGGCCCCGTGGGGTAGGAGCCCTCTGCAGGCCTCTCCCCATAAGGCCACCAAAGTGATTTTTAAAGGCTTAAATCAAATCATTTCTTACTCAAACCCCACTGATGGTTTCCCATTTTACTTACAATAAGTTCAGACTCCTCGTGGCCCACAAAGCCTCACATGCTCAGGCCCCAAGCTCATCTCAAATTCCTGTCTCATCACCCATGACAGCTCAGCCACTCCACACTCCTTCCTTCGTTTTCCTCCATCAATTGGAGCTCGTTCTGCCTCAGGCCCTTTGCACTTGCTGCTTCCCCTGACTGGTCACTCTTCATCCAGATGCTCATCTAGCTGCTTCCTTACTATTTGGAGCTCAGCTCAAGTGCCACCCCCCAAGTGGGCTTCCCTGCCCATCTAGCTCTTGTTGGCCACTACTCCATCCTGCTCCTCTATCATTGTATCCTGTTCTGTTTTCTCGGTGGCATTATCACTATGGGAATTTAGCTATCTGGTTATTTGGTTATCGCCTGTCTCGCCCTAACAGAATAGAAACTCCTTAAAGGCCAGGTCTGTCTTGTTCACCACTGTCTTCCTGACACCAGACGTAGTGGCGCATGAGAGGGACTCAGTCCACATCTGTCAGATAAATGACTGCCTGAATGGCCCACCATCAGCATCCACATCCGTCACCACCTCCAGGCACTGCTGTCTTCTTAACACCAAGAAACGGGCATCCCCAGGAGACCCAAGTTCACTGAGTCCTGTAAGCCAAGCCAGGCCAGCAGCTGCGTCCCCCACCACTAACTCTCTTCAGAATCACAGCAATGACTACAGAAAATCTTCCCCTCTCTCCCACTCTCCCATGCTCCCAACACTTTCCCCTTCTGATCTTTGTCATTTGCTAGAGAGATGCAGAGCCAGGAGAGGAGAAATGTGTATAAGAGAAAGAGCAGCTGGGCCAGAAATGAGAATTTCAGGGACTGAGAGAGCTGGAGATAGATAAATAGAAGCAGAAGAGACACAGAGGAACACTGACAAGGCAGGCCAAAAAGGTGAGTGATATGGGGAAGAACAGAGACATGCGGGAGTCCCCCCTTATCTGCAATTTCTCTTTCCATGGTTTCAGCTACCCACAGTCAATCAGGGTCTCAAAATATTAAGATAATTTGAAAGAGGCAGAAAGACCACATCCACTAATTCATATTACAATATATTGTTATAATTGTTCTATTTTATTATTTAGTTATTGTTGTTAATCTCTTACCGTGCCTAATTTATAAATTAGACTTTATTATAGGTATGTAGGTATAGGAAACGCAGCATATATAGAGTTTAGTACCATCCACGGCATCAGGCATCCGCTGGGGGTCTGGGAACATGTCCCCAGTGGATAAGGGGGACTACTGCAGACATACACATATACATACACATATACATATACATACACATATACATATACATATACACATACATATACATATACATACACATATACATATACATATACACATACATATACATATACATACACATACACATATACATATACATATACACATACATATACATATACATACACATATACATATACACATACATATACATATACATACACATATACATATACATATACACATACATACACATATACATACACATATACATATACATACACATATACATATACATATACACATACATATACATATACATACACATATACATATACATATACACATACATATACATATACATACACATATACATATACATATACACATACATATACATACACATACACATACACATATACATACACATACACATACACGTACACGTACACGTACACGTACACGTACACGTACACGTACACGTACACATATACATATACATATACATATACATATACATATACATACACACATACACATACAAGAAGGAGAAAGCGATTGACCACACCCAGGGACTAGGCAGAGAGATACTTTGTCAAAAAGAGGCCATGTGCCCATGGTGGAGATGGGCCTGAGCACGTGCACCCCTGCCCCGGACCCCCACTCAAGGCATTCGGGGTCTGCACGAGGAGCACACCTACCTGAGCGTGTGCACCCCTGCCCCGGACCCCCACTCAAGGCATTCGGGGTCTGCACGAGGAGCATACCTACCTGACCGCATGCACCCCTGCCCCGGACCCCCACTCAAGGCATTCGGGGTCTGCACGACGAGCATGCCTACCTGACCGCGTGCACCCCTGCCCCGGACCCCCACTCAAGGCATTCGGGGTCTGCACAAGGAGCACACCTACCTGCTCTGGCTCAAGGTGGGCAGCCGCCTCTCCATCAGGCCGGGCAGCAGCAAAGGCCTTGTCTATGGGGCCAGACTCCTGGCTGATGGTGAGCACTGCATCATAGGCCTCCTGCAGGGGTCCACCAGTGCCGAGAGACAGGTAGGAGCGGTTGCAGTAGGACAGGGAGAAGAGCAGCATGTCATAGGGCAGGAAGACTAATCTCCCATCCACCAGGCCCTCGGCCCAGGCACACGGCTCAGCAGGGTGGTCATCTCCAAGCCCCCCAGCACCGCCGAGTGCATCCACAGCACCACAACTGGGGCCAGAGGTGGCAGGGTCACCTTTGCAGGCCCAGTTCCACTGTGGCCTGCCCTGAAGCCCACAGTTCTCTAGCCCTGGAGAGCTGCTCGGAACTCCCGGGCACCCGCTCTGCTGCCACCCCACCCCCATCCCCACTGGCCTAGCAAAGGTAGAATTTCCCTTTAATCTGCCCCCCATAACAATAACAGCCAAGGCCACCAAATCTGAGTTTGATCTGATGAAAAACATCCCTTTAATGGAGGATAGATTTGTATTAATATGGCCCTCCCGGCCTGTCTGCCCAATCATTTTGACCAACGTCCTGCCCTACCCAACTCCACTGGCCCTGACAATTGTGAATATGTATTGATAGTTTTCTTCTTTCTTTCTTTTTCCGATACAGGGTCTTGCTCTGTTGCCCAGGCTGGAGTGCAGTGGTGCAATCATGGCTCACTGCAGACTCACATTCCTGGGTTCAAGCAATCCTCCCACTTCGGCCTCTGAGAGAGCTGGGATTACAGGTGTGAGCCACACACTTGGCTGTCGACAGCTTTCTCTGTGTTGTCCTAAAGAACTTTCTCAAACATTTTGTCATTCAATGTTGCAACAGCACTAAGAAGCATGTTGACCATTATCTCTATTTTTTTAGAGGAGCAGTTGGGGAGCTGCTCAGGACTCATAACCACCACAGTGGTACAGCTAGAATTTGAACCCAGGCAGGTTGGCTCCCAGCTTATAATCCTTTTTTTTCTTTTTTAAAGAATTTTTTTTAAATTGAGATACATATAAAATTCATTCTTTTAAAAAATGTACAATAAAGTGGTTTTAGTATATTCACCAAGTTATGTAACCATCACCACCATTGAATTATAGAACGCTTTTATCACCCCAGAAATAAACCCATTAGCAGTTGCTCCCCATTCCTCCCTCCCTCAACTCCAGTCAACCATGAATCTGCTTTTTGTCTCTATGGATTTGCCTATTCTGGACATGTCATACAAATGCACATAATACATGGTACTTTGTGTGTGGCTTCTTTTTTTTTTTCTTCTTCTTTTTTTTTGACAGGGTCTCACTCTGTCACCCAGGCTGGAGTGCAGTGACATGAACTCAGCTCACTGCAAACTCCACCCTCTGGGTTCAAGAGATTCTCCTGCCTCAGCCTCCTGAGTAGCTGGGATTACAGGCACCCGCCAGCACACCTGGCTAATTTTTGTATTCTGGTTAATTTTTGTATTTTTAGTAGAGATGGGGTTTTACCACGTTGGTCAGGTTAGTCTCGAACTCCTGACCTCGTGATCCACCCACCCACCCCGCCCCCACTCCGGTCCTCTCAAAATGCTGGGATTACAGGGGTGAGCCACCGTGCCTGGCCTGTGTCTGGCTTCTTTGACTTAGAGTAATGCTTTCCAGGTTCGTCCTTATTGCAGCATACGTCAGTACTTCATTCCTTTTCGTGGCTGCATAATACTCACTGTATGATAGACCGCATTTTGCTTATCATCATCGGCTTGTAATCTTAACCTTGGCCCTGGGTGGCATCCTTAAGGTCTAAGTAGACACAGATACATGCATCTCTACCTTAGTAAGAGAAGTAGCCCTGAATAATAAAGCTGCCAATTTCACCCCCAGGCCCCAGGACAGAAGGGAGCCCTTGCCAAGGTCGGGGTCCACACTTGATTTCCTTTGCATCTTTTCCGTCTTCCCCACTTGGGTCCTGACCAGCACGGCAATCGCAGCCACAAAAGGGCCACCACTTGTTTGGGATGTGGCCTGGGTTCTCACTGCACTCCCTTTTTGCAGAAAACTCAGGAAGGCTGAGGGTCTCCTTGCTGGAGCCTGAAGACCCCTCATCACATGGACTTCAGGGCCTGCAGCCCTGGCTTCCGCTGAGCCTCTGGGGACCCGTACTGTGGGGGCCACAAGCCCACCCCCTCCATGTCTTAGATAGTGCGGGAGGTCCTCAAAGAGAGGCCCACGAGGACTGAGTGGAAACAGAAGCTGGGCCTGTGTCCCATTTGCTCTGCTGGGCCGACTTCCCAAACGCCCTTTCTCTTGAGGGTTGGAAGCGCTGTTCTGTATTTGGCCACGCGGGGGAGCTGCTCCGCACAGCTCAGGACTAAGCCACCTCACGGGAAACGCCAGCGCGGGCTGCAAGCTGTGCCGCTGTGTGAAGGCACGGTCCTGAGCCTGCTATCTGCAGTGGATCAGCTTCATGCCATTAGTGAAGAAACCATAGCACAGAGAGGATTAGTGACTTGCCTGAGGTCACATGGGTGCGGGATGGGGTGGAGGGGGCGGCAGTGGGACTCCCTGCAGTCTGACTCCAGAGAGTGTGCCCCTCACCCCTCTGCCTCCTGGCTCCTGAGAGCCAGCACTGTGGCTGGAGCTCAGTCCCCCGCAGCACGGGTGGAGAAGGAGTCTGAGGGTCTCCCCACCCACTGCTGCCAGGCTCTGGCCATGCAGAGCCAAACTGTTGACGTTCTCCCGGTCCTGCTGGCATGCTACCTCCACGCCTTTGCACAAGCTGGAGTGCCCTCTGCCTGGAATGCCTTTCCCCGTCAGCTCCACTCCAAAATCAATTTCTCATCATCAGGCCCTGTCCAATGTCACCCCTTCTGTGAAGCCCTCCACATCTCCAAGCAGATCAGCAGCTCCAGCCTCTGGGCTCCCCTGTGCCCTGCATACACACCTGTCTCCCACCAGACTCAGGCTGCTCACGGCTGGGGCCCAGCCAGATCCTGCCTGTGTCCCCAGAGTACAGCCAAGGTCAGGCAGACTGTGCCCTGCAGTAAGAAATACATTTTACCTTGGTAGACTCACGAGACTGACTGTATAGAACTTGAGTACCCTAAAGGACATCTCTCAGAACCACTTACCCTTGCTACCTGCAATGCGGTCTCATAGTTACTACTGTTATTCCTATCTATTTTAGTTTATTCTGCTCAATTCTGTTCTTCTCTTTTTCTATTCCACTCTCTTTTTTTCTTTTTTTCCTTGAGACGGAGTTTCGCTCTTGTTGCCCAGGCTGGAGTGCAATGGCGCGATCTCAGCTTACCACAATCTCCACCTCCCGGGTAAGCAATTCTCTTGCCTCAGCCTCCTGAGTAGCTGGGACTAGAGGCACACACAGCCACGCCCAGAGGCCCTGACAAGGACTTTTTACCCCCTTTTACAGAGGAGGAAACTGTGGCTCTGGGTGGGACAGTGACTTGTCCAAGGTCTCATCAAATGTTAGGACTGAACTTGGACCAGAGCTTGGCTTCCTGCCTCCTAGCCAAAGGCAAAAATCACCTCTTTTTACTGACACCTGGAACATCAGAGCTGAAGGATCCTTGGAGATATAAACCTCTAAATCAATTCCTCTGTGTACAGATAAGGAGACAGGCACAGAAAGGAGCATGGGTAGCCCTCAGTCCCACAAAGCTGCAGCAGGCTCCCCTGGCCTGAGGTCTTGCTGGCCATGCTCAGTATCCGGAGAACTCTGCAGTGGATGGCCAGCAGGGGCTCACAGAGGGCTGAAGATCTTAGCAGGCCAGCACTGGGCCAAGGCAGGAGCTGCTTTTAATCCCAGTTCTGCCACTGATTTATGGGACAGAGTCTACAACCCGTTCTGTGCCTCAGTTTTCCCAGCTGTACAGGGAGAGCTTGGCTTAGACATTTAGGTTTCCAAAGATCATTCAGGTCTGATGTTCTACATGTTTACAAAAATCCAGAGACAGGTGGTTTTTGTCCCTTAGGCTGGCCACATCTCCTCTCCCAACCCTTCTCCCAAGAGTGTGTGAGCCTCTAGTGCCTCCACCTCTGGGCACAATAGACTAATGTGCCACCCTCCTGGGGAGAGACCATTTGTATTTTTAGACTCAGGGAGATGGGCCCCAAGGATTAGCCACAGACTGCTTGACTCATAGAGCCAAGCTCCTCGAATTAGTCAACTCCACAGCCCCATAATCTCCAAAAGTTGAAGATGCCTTTAGCTGCACTAACACATGAATGACCAAAATAGGGAAGGTGACAGGAACCTGGGGAAGGGGGATGGGGGATTCCTGTCATAGTCAGGGGCCCTGCAGCCCCTGCAGCCAAGGGTCATCCTTCTGTCCTTCAACCTGGTGCCTCTTACCTTCTTCCCGAGCAAGCTCCCCACAGACGGACCTGCAACTCTGCATTGTTGGAGCTGACTTGTTGCCTGTTGGTAGGCCCTAAGGTTCCTGCAACAGGGTCCTTAGATGTCAAGCTCTTAGAGTAGACTCTGGCCTGAGGGGGTCCTTTCCCCCAACAGCCTGTACGCTCACCACTCCTCTGCCTGTGACTTTCAGACCCTGCTCCCTGGGAAGAGCCTCCTACATGGCTCATTCCCTATCTGTCCCTCTCAGGAGCCTGAATAAGGCACTTGGAAAATTAGATCTGTTCAGACCCCAGTGCTCTGGGGAGCCACAAGCAGAAAGGAAGAAGGGAATAAAATAAAGAGAGACACATAGAGGGGGATGGAGAAAGAGAGGAGAGGTCTTCAGCACTCCGGACAGCTCCAGACCTGGTTGGGGGCAGCTCCCAGGAGGAAGGATGGGCAAGCACTAAAGAAACCCTTAGTTTATTTGAACCTCTGCTGTGTGCCAGTCCCTGTGCTAGGCACCATTCACACAACCCACGGAGACAGGCATTACTATTATCCTCACCTTATAAAGTATGGCCCAGAGAAGTTAGGTGATTTGACCAAGGGCACAGAGCTGGTAAGCGGCAGGGCTGACTGTAGGTCTGGGCTTTGCTCATGGATACAATGTGTAATGATCAAGTCAGGGTAACTGGAATATCCATCACCTCAAACATTTATCTTTTCTTTGTGTTGGGAACATTAAAATTCTTCTCTCTAGCTATTTTGAAATATATAATAAATTACTGTGAACTATAATTTCTCTGCTGCAGTATCGAACACTAGAACTTATTCCTTCTACATAGCTGTATTTGTGTACCCTTTAACCAATTTTTCTTCATTTCCCTTCTTCCCACTTCCATTCCCAGTCTCTGGTAACCATCATTCTACCTTCTACCTCCATGAGATCCACTTTTTAAGCTCCCACATATGAGTGAGAACACCCAATATTTGTCTTTCTGTGCTGGACTTACTTCACTTCACATAAGACCTAGAATAGAGGCCACTCCTTTCTGGGGTGAACACTTAAGTGGAGATAGAGACCTCAGTCCATGGGCTCCAGCCCCTCCCTCTTCCGCTTGCTTTCTCCTATCTAGGTAAAGTTAGCTTTTACTAGGTGCACTCAGCATCCACTCTATGCTAGGGTTATGCATACCCATCTCATTTAACCTTTATAGCAACCTAGTGAAGGGATTACTGTCTTTTGCTTTCTTCATGTCACTTTATTCATTCAACAAATGTTTACTGAGTGTCCTCATCATGGTTCTGCCAAGGGGCCAGGCTTCCATCCACCCCGACCTCCCACCCCTAATTCCTGTTTTCCCTCTTGCTCCCTTCCATGTTTCAGACACTGTTCTAAACACTTGAGCTAAATCAACCAACAAACAAATTTAAAAGAACAAAAAATAAGATTTTTGCCCCTCGCAGAGCTTACTTTCTAGCAGGGCAGGGAAAGATGTGTTAGTAAACAAAAAATAAACATAATAAGTAAGTAGACATATTTTTAGTGTTTGAAAGTGATAGGTGCTATTAAAAAAAGAAGGGTAATAATGCCATGTTATAACTCTGTGGAAGTGTTTTTCGTATTGCTACACAATTGTCATAATTTCAGTGGTCAAAGAACACACTGAATGGGTGTGTCATTAGTTAGTATGGATGGAAGGATCTGAAGCCTCTGTGTCTGGTCTTTATTGGGTTACCCCCTTTACCACTGACCAGGACTGAGCAAGGGAGTATTAAAGGGCTCCCCAGTTAGTATATGGGGCTCTGGTCGTGGTCCTCCCTGTCCCCATTGTAAGGCAACAACCATATTTCCTTGTGATAATTGGGATTGATTACTTGGGCTTACACAGTGATTCCCTTCTCTGTCCGTTGATTCAGAGTCCTGAGGAGCCCAAAATGGCCACACAATAGTTTCAGTTTTCAATTCATTGGAAAAATTACTGCATTCTCTGGAGGGAGTGTTTCTCCCCTGGGAGAAACTAGGTGCTCCAAACCACTGAATCCAAGACCACGGGCACAGGCAGGAAATATTCTTCTAGTGAGTTTGTGGGTGATAGTGAAAGAGGCCACTCCTATCTTTCTTCCTTGGTTCCCAGCCCATCCCTTCTGCTGTAGGAAGATGGCCCACTTGGCCCCTAGTATAAGGCATATACTGCATCCTGGAAGCACAGGATGCCATCTCCTAGCTCATTTGGCAACTGAGCTATTCTCCAATGGACCATTCCACATTTCTGTCAAGCCAGGTGCTTCTGGGCAATGGGAGATGAGCTCACTGCTTCAGTTCCTTTGCAGTAAAATGCTTCCCCTGGTTAGAGGCAATGTCGTGTAGGACAACATAGTAACATATAGGGCACTCTTAGACTATGAACGATGGTACTGGCAAAAGCACTGTAGGCAAGAAAAGCAACTCTACACACAGTTATATTTCTATCTCTACAAGCAGAAAGAAAGGCATTGTTGCTTCTATGAAGGGAGAGCTCTCATATAATCAAACTGTCACCAAGTAACTGGCTGACCCCCCAGGGAAGTGGTGCCGGTTTTTGAGCTTAGCAGTGGCCTCTGCTATCTGCAGGTTGGACACTCAGCTGTGGAAGCAGCTAGATGGGTCTTGATGAGTGCAAGCCGATGTTGTCAAGCCAATGCAAGTCTCCATTCTGAATGCCATGGCCACACGGCCATTGAGTAAGCACGGGGAGGGGGGTGGGCTATGGAAAGAAGCTGACTGATAGCCACAAGTCACCTTGTCCACCTAATCTTGAGGATTTCTGTCATAGATGCCCACTAGTGGGGCATTCATGTGGAGCACATGTGACTGCTCTGAGAGGCTTGCCCACACACCTCATTGACACCAATTTCCAATCTTGTTTATAGCAAGACTCTGGCCATCCAGACAGTCCATTGTCAACTGCCCATGAGTCAAAGTAAATAAGTACCACAGGCCCTCTCTCCTTCAGCACAAAATGGACAACTAGCTGTGCCCCTCTGAAATCCTGCCCAAGAGGAAAATTTCCTTTCACCACTTGTATGTCAGGACCAGCCTTGATTGGAGAGGTAATGCAGCTACCATCCCTTTCTGGCTGGTACCAGCATACCGTGATATCCACCCATGAACCAGACCTACACTTCTTCCTCCTCCACCAACTGCCAATGAGAAACTCCCCATGTATGGTTTTGGTATCAGGTATCAGTTGAAGGAGAAGTGGCAAAAAATAAGAGAAGGTACCATGGCAGTCTAGGCCATCTGCTTGGCCACATAGAATGCTTCTATGCATGGCCAATCTTCTGATCCGGGGAATCAGATAGCCCCTGGTTCAGTGGTCCATTCTGCTAGAACAGTCATTCAGTATTCATAGTCACATTTGGTCTCCACCAGGAGTAGGAGCAAGTCAGAACTGCTTTTCAAGTGGATGAAAGTTGTCCACAAAAAATAATATATATGGTTTTATGCCCAAAGCCTAGTGCTCTGTGCTGTGATTCTCCTGTTGGAAGTTGAAGAGGCTCTATACTGCATCTCTGTCTGCCACAGATACCATGGGGTCTGTTGGGTCATAAGTTTCAGTGGCAGGGCAAGTTGCACAAATCTGCTGTTCAGTCCCTTTATTGCCGTGGGACCTGCTGAAAACTGGCAGATTTCTGAGCTACCTGATAAATAGATCAACACTCCCAAATGTGGTATTATTAGGTGGGTGCAAAAGCAACTGTGGTTTTTGCCATACTTTTATGCCATGCTTTTATGGCAAAAACCGCAATTGCTTTTGCACCAACCTAAGACATTGCTTCTAGCATCCAAACAGGCTCACCAAGCACTATGTCCCCTTCTATGTGATGTTTGGTACAACATGCCACAACTTGCTTCTCGCATTAGAAAAGGTATTCCACGGACCCCTAGGAACTTCACCAATATGACAGCCCCCTGAATTTTTGCAAGGTGTACCTCCTTCTCTCCGGCGTGTATCACTAGGATATTTAAAATACCAGCTCCCTCCTAAACACCAGATCCAATTAGCAAAATGACATCAATATAATGAACCAGCATGATGTTCTGTGGAATACTGAGCGGATCCAAGGTCCCTTTGAGCTCTATTACGTTAGCAAACTAGAGAGGTAACATAGCTCTGGGGACAAAACAATAAATAAAGGCATCCTGTTGTTCTGCAAACCTCTTTTTCCTTACTGATAGGAATGGAAAAGAAAATATTTGCCAGTCTAATGGCTGCAAACCAGGTGTCAGGGGCTGTACTGACTTGATCCAAAAGATAGCTGGAATGGCAGCTTCGCCTGGCATCATTTACTAATTATTAATAAGTTTGTGATAATATACTATTATTCTGTAGGACCCAGCTGGTCTTTGCACCAGTCAGAGTGCAATTTAAATGGGGCTGTCATAGGAATTACCACCCCTGCTTCTCTGAAGTCTTTGATGCAGACACTAATTTCTGCAATTCCCTGAGGGGGATTGCTTTTGCTGTACTCACTGGGCAGGGGGGAGCTGGGTAGGGAGCTTTCCCCCATGGAACACTTTCCCCCATGGAACCCCCAATCCACAGGCCAGGAAACAAATATAGGGAACAAATATAGGGATTCTATTAGTGGTTATATATGTCTACTCCCATCATTCATTCTGAAACTGGGGAGACAACCACAGAATGCATGCATGATCCCACCAGACCCTCCATTAGAAGGTCTCAGGCCAAGATCGCATGTGTTCCCTGACCTTGTTACTCTTTCCCAGTGGCCCTCGGGCATTTTTGTTCTTTAGGAGAGAGGGATCCTTTGGCCTAGTCTCTAGTAACCTTCTGGATGGCCTGAGTCCCTCCCCAGAGAACAGTCACCTTGGTTCATACCACAGGTCCCCCTTGGAGGAAGAGTCATGATCAATAATTTCCTCAAAGAGACACAGAGTCCCCTCAGTCAAGGACTCTGAGTCTGTGGACGGCTCAGTCTGGGAACCTGGTAAAAGACAATACCTTCTACTATAATGACTCAGGATGAGTTTCCATGTAGCACAGTTTGAAGTTTTCTTTCCATATGTGTCAAGCATATATATGTGCCCCTCCTTTAGTGTAAGAGGCTGTGAGGAGGGAGGTGTTACAACTCTGCAGCCTTTAGCTGGATCCTGGATTTGGTGCCCTGTTATACCTTCCCTGCACCTACAGGACATGAGGTACTCCTTCAAGGTGTCATGGAAGCCTTCTGAAGGTCACATGTTCTCAGTTGTATGGTCATAATTTTAAATTTCATATTTCATATATACATGGCTGTAAGAAACAGCCAGGTTGCTTATCTTATCTGATTCTAAGAGTCAAAACAAAATAAAACAAAAGAAGTAGTCAGGAGCCTCCACCATGTTCACAAGCAGTCTCATTGCCACCAGGCTAAGTGCCAAAGCTGCCTCATAGCCCAAGGTCTGGCTTCTGACCTGCACTTCAGCCTTTGCTCCCACCAGTGATAACTTGCTTGCATCCTATTTCTCCCAGCAAGGAGATAATCCCTGTGTTGCACAAATACAGAACCAGCCCAACTCCAGAATCCTGTTTGAAGGGTCTGTTTCCTAGGGCCGCTTCTGGTATTAGTCAGGTCCAGCAGAAACTGAGGGCACACTCAAATTAGGACAATTCTAGAGAAACTGTTCACACAGGGCGATGATAAGGGTGGGGGTAGTGACACCATAGAGAATGTTGCAGTGACTCAAGGCTAATGTTGGCAGAACTGTTGCCTCCCCAGGCCCAAAGGTCTGAGGAGAGGGAGTTTTCAGGAGATGCGAAGAAAGCTGGCTCCCTTGACAGGAGCAATGACTTTGGTGAAAGGGCACAACTAGATTGCAGCGTCCGTACAGGGAGGGACTCAGGGAACTAGAAGCCCGATCCTGTGTCCTCCCTCCCTCTGATGTGCTGTTAGGGCTTCTCATTGGCCAAACTCAATTGAATCCAGGGACAAGAGACCCATTGCTGTTGTTCATACACGTCAGCTCCTGGCGCCCAGAAAGGGCGGGTGAGGGTGGAAAGTGGATCTGGACGGGCAAAGGGAAGACCTCAGCACAACCACTTTCCCTGGGAGAGTCAAGGGGCAGGGCCTCGGGAAGGGGAGGTTTTTCCCAGGAGCAGGTTCCTCCAAGCGCATCCGAGGAGAGAGGAGTGACACAGGCAAGTGTGCAGAGGCTAGAAGCTGCAAGGTACATGCAGGTGTGGGCTGTTTTCCTGCAAGGAACGTGGATATCAAGACACAAAGGTGACAGGCAGGCCTGGCCCCAGGTCTTTGTTAATCTGGAAGAGACCTTATTTCTGGAATCTGTTCATCTTCCTGGCTTGGCTCCTCCCCCACTGGAAACCCAGAGAACTCAGGAGAGACCCCCAACACAGTGGCCCACGCACGGCTGATACCACTGGCTAGGGCCACAACACCAACATTCTACCCTGCTGTCCACCCAGTTCCCAAGGCCTTTAGGGCTCTGATCTCACCAGGGCTCATTTGCCCAAACTTAACCCTTTAACCAATTTTTTCCTGAGTGCCTAGCCCTGCAAGTGAGACATGGTTTCCATGCCTGAAGGGGCCACTGTCTGGTGTCTGCCTCTATAAAATCCTGTGGCAATAACAGCTCAGCTAGAAGAAAATACAAGGTGTGCACGGAGCCCAGAAGAGGAGACTAAGTGCGTGGGGTAAAGACAAGGAAGCTGTCAAGAAGGAGGTGTCCTCTGACTGTGTCTCGAGTGTCCATAGCCACTCGTCAGGCACATAGGAGAGGAAGGCATATCAGGCAACAGGACCAGCATCAGCAAGTGTCTGGAGGCACAAGGGCATGGAGAATGCCAGGAAAAGCAAATGCTTGGTTTCCTGAGGCTGGGACATGGCAGGCGATGAGGCTGGAGGGGTTGGCAGGGGCCAAATAAAAGAGGGCCTTAAATACCAGCCTTGGGAGTTTAGATTTTACCCTAAAGACAAAGAGCAGGTAGCAGGGGGCTCTGGAGAGTTCATGGCTTCGTCTGCATTTTTGAGATGTTACTATTGTTGTCTCCATTTGACAGATGAGGAAACTGAGACTCAGGGTAGGTGAATAACTTACACAAGGTGACGTAGCTTGTGCAAGTCATGTGACGTACATCCTAGAAGCATCTTATCTCTTTGAATTCCTGGGGAGAGCAGCAGAGTATGGTGTTATGCTCTAGTTATCTGATGATGGGAAACTACCTCAAACTTAAAGGCTTAGCACATTGACTATTGTTGATTTCGCTCATGAATCTACAATTTGGGCAGGGATTGACAAGGAAGCTTTGTCTCTATGCCATACAGCATCAGCTGGGGCCACTTCTCCAAAGCAACTTGTAGAGTGCAGGGCCTGGCTAGGACCAGGAGGCAAGTCCCAGGAATTGGGGGGAAGGCCAGCCACCAGCTCCTAGGTCCTGGCAGAGACTGAGTCACAGACAGAGGGCCATTGCTCTGGTGAGTGTTACCAGGAGACAGGACTGTCCTGGCTGGTGGGGTATTAAAGGCCCATCAAGGGTGTTAAAGGCCACTCCGTCTGTTCCCCAGGAAAATGGAAGTCCTTCACCGTGGAAGGAGTTTTAAGTGGCCTCCATGCCACCACTGAGACAGGACAGCAGGTCCCTGTGGTATCTCCACTCAAGCTTGCACACGTCCACTGCTGAGCCATTCACTGCTCCCTGCTGTGGAGCGCTCAGCCTGCAGGCTTCTATCCTTGGAGTTGGGAAACCAGCCTCATTCCAACCTCCACACTCTGGTCGCTGTTCTGAGCTCTTTGCCCACAGGAAAAGCCTGCCCCGCTCCCGTTGTCAGCCCCAGGTAGTCAGGCAGCAGCAACAAACATACAACACAAGTAAATCACACCCACAGAGCCTTTGCAAACACCCAGTTCATGTCTCATTTAGGACTGTCCCAGGTGCTTTGCACTCATTCAGTTGCCACACTCCTATGAACGGGACAGGCCTTCCCTGTCTTGCTCATCACTGGGTCCCCAGGACCCTGCCTGGCATATATTAGATATACAATAAGTATATGTTGAATTATTAACCCCATTTGGTGGATGAGAGAACCAAGGCACAGAGGGGTTATTGCTTGCCGAAGATCACACAGCTCTGAAGTGGCAGAGCTGGGATTTAGAGCCAGGCACTCTAGCTCCAAAATTCATGCCTTCAACTCCAATATGTTCTGCTTTTTAATTAACATAATGTCAGTCAGGCGTGGTGGCTCATGCCTGTAATCCCAGCACTTTGGGAGGCCGAGGCGGGCGAATCACCTGAGGTCATAAGTTTGAGACCAGCCTGGCCAACGTGGTGAAACCCCGTCTCTACTAAAAATACAAAAATTAGCCAGGTGTGGTGGTGGGCACATGTAATCCCAGCTATTCAGGAGGCTGAGGCAGGAGAATTGCTTGAACCCAGGAGGCGGAGGTTGCAGTGAGCCAAGATCATGCCATTGCACTCCAGCCTGGGTGACAGAGCGAGACTCCATATCAAAAAATAGAAATAAAAAATAAAAATAGTGTCAACCATTTCCCCAACTTTTCTTTTTACTGGAAAGCATTTCCAAACTTTTTTCTTACATAGGTAATAACAATGACATGACATAAGTAGCACTTGTCTATGGCCCTGGAATATAGTCTCATCTCACTGGAGCCTCATTAGAACCTCTACAGCGTAAGGCTCAGACGAACAATGGCCTTTCCTGCCCTGTTCATTGCTGTACCCCCAAAGCCAAGCCTAGTGCATAGTATATACACAATAAATACATGCTGAATTAGTTAACTTTACAGATGAGGAACTGGGATTCAGAGAGCTGATTCTTGCTCAGGGTGACAGAATCAGTAAATGACAGAGCCCTGATTTGAAACTGGTCACTCTGTCCCCAAAGACTATTTCTACTGCATCATGCTCCTTGGCCTTTCTGGGTTTCAGTTCCTCACCAGTTAAATGGGAATCCCAAGGCTCCTTAGAGTGTCTGTCATGACAAAGGATATAATGGAAGTGAAGGTGCTCTGCCAAGAGGAAAGGGACACATGGGTTGGGGGAGGTCTTTCTTGTTTCTTTCACTGAGGCCTCTGCAGGGCCTAGTGCAGGGGAGGAGCTGGGGATGCTGCAGTGAGAGAGAGGATGATGCCTACAGGACATGAGTAAAATTGAGATGGATGGATGGACAGATGGATGGATGAGTGGATGTAGGGATGGCAGATGGATGGATGGGCAGGTGGGTGGATAGATGAAAGGACAAATGGGTGTATGGATGGATGGATAGATAGATGGGTAGATGGACAGATAGTGTCTTAGTTCATTTTGTGCTGCTATAGCAGAATATCACAGACTAGGTAATTTAGAATGAACAGAAATTTATTTGGTTCATGGTTCTGGAGGCTGAAAAGTGCAAGACTGAGGGGCCGGCATCTGGTGAGGGACTTCTTGCTGCAGCACAACATGGTGGAAGGCATCTCATGGCAAGAAAGAGCATGCAGGTGAGAGAGAGGCAAAAGGGGGCCAAACTCATTCTTTTATAAGGAACTCATAATAACAACCCATTCCCATGATAATGGCATTAATTCATTCATGAGGGCAGAGCCCCCATGAGCTAAGGCCTCATCTTGTTAAGGCCTCACCTCCCAATATCTCCACATTGAGGATCAAATTTCCAACATACAGACTTTGGGGGACACATTCGAACCATAGTAGATGGAAAACTAGATGGGTGGATGGAAGGCAGATGGATCGGTAGGTGGATAAGCGAATGCAAGGATGATGATGGATGGATGTGAAATAGACATTACTGTCCAGTGTGGTCTCAGGCTGGTATTTTTTATTTTTATTTTTATTATACTTTAAGTTTTAGGGTACATGTGCACAACGTGCAGGTTTGTTACATATGTATACATGTGCCATGTTGGTATGCTGCACCCATTAACTCATCATTTAACATTAGGTATATCTCCTAATGCTATCCCTCCCCCCTCCCCCCTCCCCCCACCCCACGACTGGCCCTGGTGTGTGATGTTCCCCTTCCTGTGTCCATGTGTTCTCAGTGTTCAATTCTCATCAGGCTGGTATTTTAGTCTTTATCCAGCAGAGGGCACCAAGGCTCCAATAATTGGCCTACGCTGGAGTTTCTTGGCAGTAGAAAGCTGCCTGCAGGAGAGCACACCTGGAGTCAGAACCAGGCCCAGCCTGCAGCTTGTGGGCAGCTCAGGCAGGTGATAGGCTCAGGACACAAAGGACCAAGTTAGGGTCCTGGGGTGCAGGGGCATAAAAAACACAGGCTTAGGGTGTGGTGGCTCACACCTGTAATCCCAGCACTTTGGGAAGCCGGGGCAGGCAGATCACTTGAGGCCAGGAGCTCAAGGCCAGCCTGGCCAACATGGTGAAACCCCATCTTTACTAAAAATACAAAAATTAGCCGGGTGTGGTGGCATGCACCTGCAATCCCAGCTACTCAGGAGGCTGAGGCAGGAGAATTGCTTGAACCCGGGAGGCAGAGTTTGCAGTGAGTGGAGAATGCAACACTGCATTCCAGCCTGGGCGACAGAGTGAGAATCCATCTAAAAAAAAAAAAAAAGCACGGGCTTAGGGACAGACCCTGGCATCTCCCTCCTGGAATGGGGCCTCAGGGGCCCCATTTTCCCCTTTGAGGAAATAGGTGCACCTTCTGGGCTTGTGGTGAGGATGAAATTAGATGCTCGAGAGGGAAAGTTTGGTATGCTGGGGGCCCCTGACACAGGTGAGGTATCTGAGGCTGAGAGGCCTGCATGACTTATTCTAGGCCACCCAGTAAGTGCGAGATAAGAGGTAAAGACAGCCTCTGAAGCTCCAAATGAGATTTCTATAAAAATAGAGAAAATTCTATTAGAGTAAAAGTGGTTCCTGGGGAATCAAGACAATTTGTGGGGTCAGGGGGGCTGCTCTGAGGCTGGAGACGATTGTTGGAGACCCTGGGAGGCTGAGTTACATCCTGAGCCTGTCCTGCCACCTGGGGTGGATACTAAATATGCACTTAGCACCCGACCAGGAGCCCCAGGTGCAAGCCGGTAGTGTGGGAAATTATCATTTTAACGTGAACTTGACTTGCACCTCCCACAGTGACTGGATGTGAATTTGCCATCTTAACAGAGTGTTTCAGGAGGCTGAGTTTTTCCTTTGGGGTTTATTTTATGTGTTGCTGTCACTCCTGGTCCCTGCCAGGGATTTATCACAGGGACCAAGCCTGTTTTGAATTGCTTCAGAATGAGCTTGTCGGCAGGCAGCATCCTGTAAAAGAAGCCAGGCCCAGTTCCAGACAGCTTCAAACAGAGAAAGAATAAGCAGAGAAAGCCAATCTCAGGTTTCCCAGAAGCAAGTGGCTGTGCTGAGCAGAGGGAGGGTCCAGCCCAGAGCACGAAACAGCGGACTAGCATTGGGTAGAGAGCTGGTCCCCTGGCTTGGTGAGGGCCAGCCTGGAGACTGGTAGAGGGACCCAAATTTGGGAGGGAGATAGTACTTTCAGTTTGCCCTTTTTGTTCTCATAAGGCAGCATTCAGAACTTGCCGCGGCACTGCAGGCCAGTATAGCCTTGAGCAGGACAGACCCACTGTGGTCTAAACCCACTCCTGGTGGGGCTGCCGCCTGAGACCACCTTTGTGTTTCAGCTGCCCCCAATGTAGTGCACCCAGAGTGAGTTAACACCCTCTGCCACCTGGAGGGTTTGCCTCCTCCACCTGAAGCACATGGCCCCAGCTCCCTGTCCTGGGCTCAAACGTGGTCTTTGCATTCATCCCTGATGAAGTTCCCCTGAGAGCATTCTGCTCATTAGTCCAACTTGTTGAGTCTCACACCTTCATGCATCTGTGGGCTCAACATTTTCTGATCTCCTGGTCTGTGCCAGCTCTGTTTTTGATACTGGTGAGACAAAAGAGACTGCTATAACCTGATGGGAAAGGCAGAGGTTTGCAACCTCGTGGAGGGTACGAGGCACAACAGGAGGTGCGAACAACCGGCTTTGGAAGGGGATCCTGTGGTCTGGCAATTCCTATCCTCACTATCCTCACGCATGGTGCAGGTTGATGAGCTCGCCCTCTGCGACCTTATCGCAATCTCCAGCTACGTGGTGGAGTGAGACAAAAGCAACAGACGGCAGGCTGGAGAGGACCTGCAACTGACAGAGAGCCAGCAGCAAAGAGCAAGGAGCAGATGGAAGAATCCAGAGACCTGTGAGCAGCAATGCGATGAGAAAGGGAGCTGCTTTTGTCAGCGGGGCTCCTGCCGGTGTCTGGAGGGCATGGGGCTGAGAGTTTGCAGTCTGATGCACTGTCAAATTATTCTCCATGGCCCCAGTGCTGTTCCACAGTGGACAGGCATGTGCAAGCCTACTTCCAAAGGCCCAGGAAGCTGAGAGGCCGAAGAAAGAGGCTGACATATCCCCTTCCTCAGAAGAAACATTTCAGAGGGACTCAAAGAGAAGCCACGTCCGAGAGACAAACTGGTGGATTCCTGAGCCATTCCCTTCCAGACCCAGGGCTTATCTACCATAGGGAAGGAATGTGTACGACAGTTATAGGGAAAGGCAGGAATGCTCTGTGAACCTGCCTAAGGAGAGGATTTAGGGTCAAGGTTTTTTTGGCCTAAAGGCAGGATTTACAGTACATAGTGCTCTTATACAAGGAATAGTAAATAAAGTAGAAATCTTAGAGGCCTTCCTTGACTGGGGTTCATCAGAAGTCATCATGGCAGATTAACATGTAAAATGGAGCGGCTTTAGCCCCCAACAAATGCCCAAACAAGGCAGACTTGGCACAATGTTTGCAGCCTTCACCACAGGCTGGCGGTGAGACCGAATGTGCAGAGCCGACACTAGGCTGTGGAGACCCGAGGGCCCGGCAGGCTCCCCTGTGCAGAGTTCCAGGGCAGTGGGATGGGGAAGGAGGCAGCTCCTCCTCCGTGCTGATAAACCACCAGTGTGGGGCACCCCACAGGCAGGCCTGTCACACCTCACTCTGACATCTGGGGCCACCCTCTGGGGGCTTCGTGCTTCCTTCATGGCTGTGCCACCTGTGATGTGCCTGCCCCCTAGACCTGGCTCTAAAGGCTCAGCCCTGCCACACCTCCCACCCTGAAAATGCCAGGCCCAGAGCCTTTGGTCAGAATCCGACTCTGACGTGACCCCTGGTGAGATGGCAGATCTCACTTACTTTATTTCTGTTGTGTCTTTTCCAGGACTGGGACCCACTGTCAAAGGTCGGCTTCTGCAGGCTCCTTCAGCTCCTCCTCCCACTGGCAAATCTTCAACATGGGTAGTCACAGTAGGCAGAGGACATATGGGCAGGCCAGACTTGTGCTGGGCTGAAAATTCTGCCTCTAACTGACTTGTGGTCTCCTCACTTGTGAATGGAAGACAATTGCACAATTGCACCTGCCTCTTAGGGCAGCTGTGAGGTTTGCTTGGGGTGACAGGTGCATCGGGCACTGGTGGATGCCCAGTAAATGTCTATTAGATCCAGATTCTGGGATGCTTAGGGGCCAGATCGCAATCTGCAGGCTTGATGGGAATTACACCAGCTCCTAACTTGGGGCTGGGTCAGAATTCTTTCTCCCTATTGGGTCTTTGGGTTTTGTTTTGTTTTGTTTTGAGACGGGTTCTCACTCTCATTGCTCAGGCTGAAGTGCAGTGGCACCATGGTGGCTTACTGCAACCTCAACTTCCTGGGCTCAGGCAATCCTCCCACCTCATCCTCTTGAGTAGCTGGGACTACAACTCCTGGGCTCAAGCAGTTTTCCCATCTCAGTCTCTCAAAGTGCTAGGGTTACAGGTGTGAGCCACCTGCCCTGCCTCCTACTGGGTCTTGATCCATATCTACATAGAGAACGTTCCAAGGGCCAGACTGGGGCCGGAAGTTTGCAATTAAGGCTGGAGTAGACTCCAAAGAGAGGAAGCAACCTTTAGGTGGCCCTGAGTGCCAGCAGAAACTCCCGATGAGAGCTGAGTGCCAGAACTTGTGTCCCAGCTGCATGCACGTGTATGCAGGGGCGCGCATTACATGTGCATGTGCACCCCACACATTGGGTGGAGGGTGCTTGTGGAGCCGATGGCCACTCTCTGGGTTTGGGCTGTGGCAGGACTTCCACCCTCTGAGTGGTGCGTCTAACTTTCTGAGCCTTCCTTGAGACAGAGGTGGCCAGCTGGGCCCAACATGCTTCCTGGAGCCATCCTCACAGCTGCTATTCCCACTCCAGGGAGGAGCCTGGCTCTGGTAGGGGCAGCATGGCACCAGCTCCCTGCTCCCAGTCCTAGGTCAGGGCAGGAATGGGAAGGGGGACTCTGAACAGGGATAGGGAAGTGGGTGGGGACCCAGGAACATTGGCATCAGGAACAGACTGAAAAAGCAGTGTCAGGAAGGGAGTTGGCAGGCAGTGACCAAGTAGCAATGGGATGAGAAGGAGAAACAGAATCACATCAAAGTGATCACAGATGGGAAAGAAGTAGAAAGTCAGAAAGAGGGGCAGAGAGAGACAGAAATTATAGAGTCAGAGGCAATGGAGACACAGAAAGGGAGACAGGGAGAAAGATAAAGAGACTCCAAGAAGAAAAATTATGACAGAAGCAGATGTGCAGGAAGAGAAACAAAGTCACAGAGGAAGGAGATGGAGAGAGACGCCAAAAGAATCAGAGGCAGAGAGGAAATGATACATGATCCACAAACAAGAAGCAGAAAGAGAGGGGCAAATACAAGGATGTGTGCCAGGGATGGGACGTAGGAGAGAGCAGAGCCAGGAGGGGCCTCAGAATCCACCATGTTCAACCCTCTCCCCATTTTGCAGGTGAGAAAACTGAGGCCCAGCAAATCATGGCAGGATCAGGCTCAGAATACAGGTGACAAAGAGAGCGAAAGAAGAAAGGGCCCTGGAGGAAAGATGAGAGCTGGACAGAGAGTTCCAAGGGGTGAGAAGCAGGAGGAGAGACGAATGGGAGCGGAAAGGGCGCAGCGGGCTATGGTAGGGGAAGGCCTCTCCCTAAACCGGGGAATGGCAGTGGCCAGACTCCAGAGCCTCTGGCTTGGCCCAGGTCCCAGTTGCAGGCAGGGAAAGAGAAGGTGGGAAAGAAGAACAGAGCACTTGGCTAGGGTGTAGGGCAAGGCTGAACAAACACTGCCATGAGATTTCCATTTAAATCCCCACATTCCTACTGGGGCCAGCGATTTGTTCCTCAGACCTCTTCAGACTAGAAACAGTAAGTCAGAAAGAAGCACCCTGGAGGGGCATGCTGGCAGGCCTAAGATATGTCAGCCATGGAAATCTACAACCGTGAGCCACGGATACCAGGAGTTACCGTGGTTCTCCGTCTGGACCAGGCAGTGCAGGGCATGAGCACTGGGGCTGTGAGTGGGCTTAATAACGATTCACAGACATCAAGAATGCTTAAGCAGCCGGACGCGGTGGTGCACGCCTGTAACCCCAGCACTTTGGGAGGCCGAGGCAGGCAGATGGCTTGAATCCAGGAGTTCGAGACCAGTCTGGGCAAATGACAAAACCCCGTCTCTACAAAAAATACAAAAATTAGCCAGGCATAGTGGCACACACCTGTAGTTACAGCTACTTGGGAGGCTGAGGTGGGAGGATCGCTTGAGCCCAGGAGTTTGAGGTTGCAGTGAGCCATGATCGTGCCACTGCACTCCAGCCTAGGTGACAGAGGGAGACCCTGTCTGAAAAATAAATAAGTAAATAAAAGAACGCTCAAGCACCCTGAGGCGACTCTGCTCACACAGGTATGAACACATAACATTCATTTTAGGAAAAGGGTCTCCAATCAGGAATCTAATGATGTATTCTTGGGGTTCCAGGATTTCAATGAGGCTTCTAAATTGAGTGTTTTCTTTGAGTTGGCATTATTTTTTAAGAGCTCGTCCCAGCTATGAAGGCAAATGGTTTCCTTTTCCGTGACCATTCAAAATTAAAAGGCATTTTCCTAGAATAAAACTTGAATTTCTGAAGTTAGGGTTGCGCAAGACTGAGCATCAAGCAGGTCAGTTCAATTAACGTCAGCCTTTACTCCCCTGGCCAGGTCCTGGGACCACGTGGGGGTGGTTGTTTGGCATGGGTGTCGAGCACAGGCAGGGTGAGGAGGATATCCACTCAGAGTGGGGAGGGGTAGTGATGGAAGAATGGTTATATATGATCAAAAAAGTAAATGTATTTTAGGTAATCAAAGCCAGGTTTCTCCCTGCTAGAGAAGGGAGTTACAGGTATGGAAAGAGAAAAATAAAATTAACCCAATGGTGTTGGATTGGATTTGGAGGTATCAGTGTGAACTCATGGTTTTCCAGATAGATATGCTTTCTAGCTCTCTCCATTGAGATGGCCTGGAAGCCACATCCCAATAGCAATGAACACTCCAGTCTTGGCTTCTTCAAGCCAGGGCCCCTTGTAGCAATAGCTGATTCCAGGCCTGGGACAAGGAACTTACAAGATGAGCCTGGAACAGCTTGCTGTGCCAGAAAGTAAATCAGTGCTCAAAGAGTTATGGGGACATGTCAAAAAGATATAGAAGTTATCCCATAGGGGCTCCCATGGGTCATGTCTGGATCACTCTGTGCATCAAAGTAAGTAACAGTAATGACAGATTATAACTCACTGAATAAAATAAGAAACGATGAGTCCAAACCGTTAGGGAGGGAACGAGCAAGGAAGGGAGAATTTGATGAGGAACAGTATAGTTATATAGTCTCAAAATACCTCCCCACAAAATACATGTTCACTACACATGGAAAAGGAATCATTTTCTGCAGTAATTTTCCTATGGGGAAGCCTGGCAAGCACCATCAAAGTGATCAAAGCAAAGATCACCAGTAATGGGACAAACTGAAGTCACATGCCACCTGACAGGATGCAATGAGAAAAACACAGTGTCACCCCGGTAGTACTCCTGCTAAAGATTTCAATCCTGAATCTAATCATAAGGAGACATCAGACAGACCAAAAGTGAAGGCCATTCTACAGAATAACTGGCCTATAATCTTCAAAGGTATCAAGCTCATGAAAGTGAAAGGACTGAGGAACTGTTTAGTCTGAAAAAGACGAAAAGACATGACAACGCAAGATTTTGGAGGAGACTAGAGTCATGTATCCACGGGCGTTTCCTGATTTTGTTGGTTGTGTTGTGGTTATGTAAGGGAATGTCCTTGTTTGTAGGAAACACTAAAATATTCACTCAGGAAAAAATAGAGTATGTGTATTCTACTTGCAAGTGTCTGTAAATTTAAAATTGTTTTTAGAAACAATAAACAATAAACAAAATGCCCACAATAAAACTCCCAAGATAAAAACTTTTTCAAATAAGCAATGCTAAGCCTTCAAGGAATGAATAACCCCTAATTCATACAGCTCCTCCATAGCAAAATCAAAGTCAACGTAGTAAAGGAAAATTGCAAGTTTATAGAACCTACGAACATGTGTGTAAATATCTCAAATGAAATATAAGCAAAATCTAGGGCGCAAGGCTCTGGGAGCCTTTCTTGAGTGCCACCTGGCCAGCCCTGTGCCCCTGCCTGGCCCTCTCTGCGTGCCCTGTGGCATGAGGCTGTGCTGGCAGCAGTGCCATCTTGGATCAATGGGGTGAGGCCCCTGGAGAGGTAGCAGAGCACAAAACAGGAGGGACCTGGGGCCTGGGGTACTTCCTGGAGCAGAGTTGCCAAAATACCCCTGAATTCCCTCCTCCAGACCTGTGTCTGAGAAAGATGTAAACTCTTCTTATGTTTAAGATACTAGTATGTTGGGTTTTCTGTCTTTTATAGCCAACCCTAATCTTAATATTGGACAATAACATATTAAAGGAGAAAAGCCATATTTTCATATCATAGATGAAAAAGTGCTTAATAAAACTCAGTTAATTCACAATTGAAAAAGAAAACAAAAAACCTCTTAGCAAACTTGCAAGAATAAAAACTTCCTTAATTTCATAAAGAATACCTGCAAAACCCCTAAAGCAAACATCATATTCAACAGTGAGTTGTTTTTTATTAAATCCTCTTTAAAATCAGGAACAAAAAAAGGATTCCTTCTGTCAAAAACTGCTATTGAATTCTCTTCTGGAGCCCCTAGCTAGCACAATAAAATATGAAGAAATGAAAGAATAGAGATATGAAAGGAAAATAACAAAACTCTGTTTGTACATAATATTATTGTCCACATAGAATCTACAAATAATCTGTAAATAATTAAAATGACAGAGTTTAGCAAAACACGTGAACATGAGATATATACCTAAAAAGTAGTTGCATTTTTGTATACTGGCAACATAAAGTTCAAAACTGGGGCCAGGTGCAGTGCTCATGCCTGTAATCCCAGCACTTTGGGAGGCCAAGGCAGAAGGACCACTTGAGCCCAGGAGCTCAAGACCATCCTGGGCAACGTAGTGAGACCCCATCTCCACACACAAAAAAAATTAGCTGGACGTGGTGGTGTACACCTGTAGTCCCAGCTACTCAGGAGGCTGAGGCAGGAGGATCGCTTGAGTCCAGGAGGTAGAGGCTGCAATGAGCCATGATCATGCCACTGCACTCCAGCCTGGGTGACAGAGTGAGACCCTGTCTCTAAAATTTAAAAAAAAAAAAGTTCAAAAATGTATTTTTAAAAAAGATGCATTTATAGTAACAACAAAAATTAAAATATGCCTTGAGACAAATTTAACAAAAGACATGCAAGCCCTTTTATGAAGAAAGATTGTAAGCTTTACTGAAAAAAATTTAAAAAGACCTTTTAAAGTGGGTAGATATTTTAGATTTGTGGATTAAAATGATCAATGTCAAATAATTGATTTATAGATTCCATTATTATTTCAATCAAAATTCCAGGAGCTCTCTTGGAGAATTTTGCAAGTCGATTCTAACTTTTTTTTTTAAATAGATGAGCAAAGGGCAAGATACTCCCAAAAAAGAAAAATAAGGCGAGGAGTCCTGCCGTGCCAGCTATGGAGATTTATCAGAAAACCATAGAAATTAAGAAAGCGTGGCTGCCGGCAGAGGTGGCAAATTAATAGATTTATGGAACAGAATGGAGACCCCAGAAATAGGCCCCTGCACATATGGAAACTTGATATATGACAGCTGCATTGCAGATGAAGAAAGAACTAGTCACTGAATGGTGCTGACACTTCTGGAAAAAATGAAATGTGATCTGCACCTTACACCACACACAAAAATCAATTCCAGATGGATTAAGGGCTTAACATGTGAGAACCAACTTTTTTTGTTAATATTAAGAGAAAATATAGGAACATTCCTTTATGAATTTAAGCCATGGAAGAACTTCTTTAAAAAGACATAAGAAAATGCAAACATAAAGGAAGAAGTGCAATAAATTTGACTACTGTAGAGTTTAGAACTTCTGTTCATCAAAATATATCACGAAGAAAGTGAAAATACAAGCCACAAAGTGGGTGTCAAAAATTGCCTTTTCCAGAGATGGCTGCAACGAGAGCTCCCATCTCACATGCGCTTTTAGAACCCTGCCACTCCCCAACAAGAGGTAGAGTTTATGTCCTTTGCCCTTGAACCTGGGCAGGTGCTTATGATGGCCCTGAGCAGTAGGGTATGGTAAAAGTGATGATGCTATGTGACTTCTGAAGCTAACTCATACAAATGCAGTACCCTTCAGCCTCCATCCCCTGCCTCTGGCCTTGTTCTTGCCCGACCCCACCTGAACTATGCAGGTGACACAGAGCTGCATTCCGGCTCAGACCCTGATCCAATACCACACCCGATGTACTAATGTTTGCTTGGGTTTGGCCTCCTCTGGCTCTCTCAGCAAAACCTATCCCTGAGCCCACCTATCCTAGAGAACTGCCTCGGCCCTACCTGGGGGCAGACACTTTCACAGTCCCCAACCTGAGGGGTGGAGAGAGACAACACAGAAATTAAGGCTTATCTGAGCAGGACGCAGTGGCTCACGCCTATAATCCCAGCACTTTAGGAGGCCGAGGCAGGTGGATCACATGAGGTCGGGTGTTTGAGACCAGCCTGGCTAACATGGTGAAACCCCGTCTCTGCTAAAAATACAAAAATTAATCAGGCGTGGTGACGGGCACCTGTAATCCCAGCTACTCAGGAGGCTGAGGCAGAAGAATCACTTGAACCCAGGAGGTGGAGATTGCAGTGAGCCAAGATCGTACCACTGCACTCCAGCCTGGGTGACAGAGTGAGACTTCTCTCAAACAAAAACAACAAACAAACAAGAAATTAAGACATATCCAACATCTATTTCTGCTAATGAGTCAGAGATAGAGGGGTGGGCTCAGCAAACCCACGTGGGTACTGTGTCCTCACCAGCTGCCCAGTGCTGTCCTCCAGGGTCATGCCCAGTAAGGGTGGGAAAAGGTTTGGACTTGGAGAGTTCGAGTCCTTGCTCTGCCCCTGATGTGCTGTGTGACTCTGGGCATGTCACTTTGCCTCTCTGGGCCTCAGCTTCCTCAGAACCAGGATTCTTGTGTTTATCATTTTTATGCACATTATACCTGACGGGGGCCTGACATGTGGAGCAGTCGCTTCATAAATGGAGTTAAAAGAATGCTTTGTTCTCCCCATCTATGCCCCCATTATGCCCACCCAGCAGACTTCTACTCGTACTCGTACCCAACTCATATGTCACCTCCTCTAGGAAGTCTCCCTTGACTCATCAAGTCACCTGGGGGCGCCCATCACAGCACAGAACTCTGCTCCCACCTCAGCCAGCCTGGACTCTGATCCCTCTGAGAGGAGAAATCATGTCTGAACCATCTCTGGGTCCCACGTCCCAGCCCAGGACCTGGCACCAGGGAATGGCTGTTGGACTAATTATCTAATCAGCACATAAGAAAACTTGCTCCTTCAAGAGGATCCCGAAGGGATTCTCGCTGAAGGCCACACAGCCTGTTCCCAGTCAGCAGGGAACCCCAGCAGCCCGGCTCCTCTGAGAGGCCCATGAGTGAGGTGAGCCACGAGGCTGTTAGGGAAGTCACTGGCATCCAGACGCTGCTTCCTCAGCCGAACCCATGACACACATGAGACTCTCATTTACTCACTTATTTTCCAACACTGGCAATACTCCAATAGTGACATTTTTTTTTCTGTTAAGATCTGCAGACATAGATGAGGATAGTAATTGGCATCAATGCCGACTTAAATACATCCTCATGACTTTCATATCTTAGCCGAACGGCACAGGGAAACTCACTGCTCCACCTGTGGACTGCCCATGGCAGTGAGGACTCCCAGGTGGCTTCCCTGGGCCTCCTGGGCCTCCTGGGCCACCTCCCTCTCTCATCCGAAGCTAAGGTTAGCCTTAGCTAACCTTAAAATAAAGGTTTTTAAAAAACTTAAAAACCATACTTTATTTTAAAATAAAACAAAATCTGATGTCCTGAGATTTGATCCTGGTGTTTGATCACAGACCCTTGGCCTGTTTCAACCCAGTCCAGCTCAGCTAGGGGTGAACTCAGACACGAGGCATCCCATGGACCATGCTCCAGTCCCTCTGTGAGACCCTTGTAGAAGCCAGTCTGTCCCTCTGCCTCTCTGCCTGCTTCCCCATTTTCATACCAGTGCAGCCTGAGACACTGTCTCAGAAACACCCTCCAGCTGCTGGGCAGAGACAGGCAAGAGAGGGGAGACTGAGGCAGGAGACCAGTGCTGCAGATGCTCTGATGCCCTGCCCTACATCCCCCAAGGTCACCCCAGCTGCAATAATGTCATGCTGTGACAGCGGCCCACCCCATGTGCCACCCTCTCTCTGCTTCTCCGCCCAAGAAGATAAGGGCTTTCACATGAGCCTGTTCCGCCCTACAGATACCTCAGCGTGCCCAGTGAGACCAAGTTTGTTTCTCACACACACTTCATTGTTTTTTCTCCTCATTTTCCTCACTGCCTGCTTTGCTTCTAGGAGGATCACCCCCACACTGCCCCTGATAAACTACATAACCCAAGTCCTTATATCAGGGTCTGCTTTTGGGGGAACCCTAATGAAGACACCATGGAGGAGGCTGAGGCAATGGTGCAGAGGAGAGATAACGAACTGAACCTGGAGAGGGACTGTGAGGGCGGAGAGAACTGACTGAACAAGCAGAATGGGTGGGACCTGGCAACTGATTAGATATCGGGGGTGGGGTGAGAAAGAGGGTGGAGGCAAGAGTTATATCCAGGTTTCTCATTAAAGCAGCACCTTTCCTGTGAAAGTATAGGGAGGTATGGTGGCTCACGCCTGTAATCCCAGCCCTTTGGGAGGCCAAGGAGGGTGGATTGTTTGAGCTCAGGAGTTCGAGACCAGCCTGGGCAACATGGTGAAAACTTGTCTCTACAAAAAAATACAAAAATTAGCTGGGTGTGGTGGCTTGCACCTGTAGTCCCAGCTACTTGGGAGGCTGAGGTGGGAGGATCACTTGCACCCGAGAGGCAGTTTGCAGTGAGATTGTGCCACTGTACTTCAGCCTGGGCTATATGTACTTATGAATATATTGCATATACTTATTAATATCCTTGTGAGATATTCATAAGTATATTGATCATGTAAAAAAAAAGATTTAAGGTGGCTTATGAAAATTCATAAAATTACAAGATGGTGTGTGTACAGGATTGTACATTTAACCAATAGGATGTTAAAGGCAATTATCAAAACAATGATGTAGGAGAAAGTTGGCCGGGTGCGGTGGCTCACGCCTGTAATCCCAGCACTTTGGGAGGCCGAGGCAGGCAGATCACCTGAGATCGGGAGTTTGAGACCAGCCTGAACAACATGAAGAAACCCCATCTCTACTAAAAATACAAAATTAGCCGGGCATGGTGGCACATGCCTGTAATCCCAGCTACTCTGGAGGCTGAGGCAGGAGAATCGCTTGAACCTGGGAGGCGGAGTTTGCAGTGAGACGAGGTCTCACCATTGCACTCCAGCCTGGCCAACAAGAGTGAAACTCCGTCTCAAAAAGAAAAAAAAAAAGAAATGTTATTAAGTTAAAAAAATTAGCTTGGAAAATAATATTCATAGGCTAGGCACAGTGGCTCACACCTGTAATCCCAGCACTTTGGGAGGCCAGGGAGGGAGGATTGCTTGAGCTCAGGAGTTCGAGACTAGTCTGAGCAAAATGGTGAAACCTTGTCTCTACAAAATACAAAAAAATTAGCTGGTCATGGTGGTGTATGCCTGGAGTCCCAGGTACTCAGGAGGCTGAGGTGGGAGGGTGGCTTAAGCCTGGGGAGGCTGAGGTTGCAGTGAGCCGTGATCACTCCACTGCACTCCAGCAACAGAGTGAGATCTCTTTTTTTTTCCTCAAAAAAAAAAAAAAGAAAAGAAAATAGCATTTATAAAGGAGAGCTCATTTTGGGAGTATGTATGTACATGCGTATGTGTAACAGATTCCAACCACAGAGTACTCAAATGTGCAAAAGAAGTGGCAATTTTATTTTTCTAACTAAATTTAGTTTCTATTATGAGCCACCATTCTGTGAAGTGGAAACTTAATCTCAGTCACTTCTGGATCCCCCCCTCACCTCATTTTCCCTATTCCTACAGGTTGGTCCTCCAATATATCCGTCTACAGTGGTGTGCCCTGAGACACTCCGTCAGCTTGTCTGAGCTCTGGCTATCAGTTCTCACTGGTCATTGCCATGTGGTTCCCACCCACATGGCCCTTCCGTTCCAGGCAGCTTTCTTGGCTGCTACAGGGTCCTTGCGGTAGGCAGACAAAATGTCCCCCTTCCCCAAGATATATTCACTTCCTAATCCCCAGAACCTGTTAGTGCTGTTATTACCTTATATGGCAAAAGATGAATATTGCCTTATAGGGCAAAATATGCGATTAAGATGAAGATCTTGACAACAAGGGCTTATCGTGTGTTATCTGGATGGGTCCTAAATGCAGTTGCATGTGCCCTTACAAGAGGCAGAGGAGATCAGACAGACTCACAGGGAAGGCCACATGCAGATGGAACCGAGAAAGATGCAGGGAAGATTCTCTCCTGGAACCCCCGGAGGTAGTGTGTCTCTGCTGACACCTTCGCTTCAGCTCCCTGAACTGATTTCAGACTCCGGAACCAAGAGAAAACACATTTCTGTTGTTTTAAGCCACTCAGTTTGGTGTCATTTGTTACCGCAGGAAACTGATACAGCTGCACGTCAGTATACTGTGATTGCTTCCAGGTGTGTGTAAACAAAGGGGCACCTGGGATGGGGGCTCCCCAAGGCTCTCCATCACTCCCCACAACCCCCTGGGGCCCAGGACTCCCTCTCTTGCCCCAGTCCCTTTCCAGGGGTGTGGGACATTTTGTGAAGCTCTCTCCGGCCCATCTGCCTGACTTCTCTCAGGCATCTGTGCTCTGCTAGCCAGGACCACAGCGGGCTGTCAGGAACTCGAGTGCCCTGGCGCCTCCCAGGTTCTGGTGAGAGGGAGGGCACAAGTCCTCCCTGCTCTGGGAGTCCCAGCACCCCTCAGTCTCCATCTCGGTGTGGCCGGGTCTCACACACTCTCTTCCTGGGACAAAACTGGGGAAGGCGGGTGGTGCAGGACCCCTCCTTAGCACCCACAGCTCCTTGAAACTCTCCCTTCCCTCCATCAGAATATTTTCTGGCTGGTCTGGAAGCTGGGTTGCTTGACTCTTCACCACTTCTTCCAAATGTGTTTCTTACACTCAAACCCCCAAAGCCAAAGGCCTTTATTGTCAGTGTTCCACCATAGCATGAAGGTGTGGTCCCCAACAGCCAGGGTGAGAGCAAAGGTCATGAGTTAAAGAAACTCTGGAGGAAGGGGAACAACGTTTAATAGTTCAATTTTTTTTCTAGCTATGCACACACACACACACACACACACACAAACATACATATACACACATACCTATGTATATGATTGGAGAGAAATACTACAAAAAAGATTAAAATTGCTTAGCTTTGGTTCACAAATATTTTCTTCATGGTCCCTTTCCTGTACCTTTCCCCAAATACCTAACATTAACATGTATTATTTTTGTAATTGAGGAAAAATCGTTATTTTAAAGGAATTGTTTAAAGGGCATAACATTTCAAACAAAATTTTTAAGTAGGCATGAAAGAAAACAGTGCAAGAATAAAGCTGGAATTGCCTAAAGAGCAATGGATTTGCCATGGGGAGCGCACATGCTTTGCTTCCCACTTCCCAGCAGCCCGTAAGCATGAGAAACGCAGCCACAGTGTTCATGAGATTGAAACAGACCAACTGCTCAGAAGGACTGCTATTCTTAGGCCCAAAAGCAGACAGAAATTTCTGCCAAGGATCTGTTAGACACATAGTATTAATCTACTTTTTAAAGAGGAAAGTGAAGCTGAGTGCTGAGATTATTTGCCCAGAGATGCAGCTACCGAGAAGGGCAGCTGGGATTTGAACCCACAGAATAGCCATAAGGAGTGATCCTTTTAGAACATGTCACATCATGTCTCTTCCCTGCTCAAAACCTCCAATGGGCCAGGCGTGGTGGCTCACACCTGTAATCTCAGCACTTTGGGAGGCCAAGGCGGGTGGATTACAAGGTCAGGAGATGGAGACTATCCTGGCCAGCATGGTGAAACCCCGTCTCTACTAAAATACAAAAAATTCGCTGGGCATGGTGGCGTGTGCCTGTAATCCCAGCTACTCAGGAGGCTGAGGCAGGGGAATTGCTTGAACCTGGGAGGTGGAGGTTGCAGTGAGCTGAGATGGCACTACTGCACTCCAGCCTGGGCAACAGAGTGAGACTCTGTCTCAGAAACAAAACAAAACAAAACAAAACAAAAAAACCCTCCAATGGCTCAAGTCACTTAGGGCAAAACCAAAGCCCTTACCGTGGCCTGTAAAGCCCTGGTGAACCCTCAGTAACAAACGGCCTGACCTCCTGCCCTAATGCTGTCCTGTTCCCTGCCTCCCACAAGAAGCCGGGTGGCCCCACCTTAGAGCCTTTACCATGGCTGTTCCTTGGCCAGAAACATACTCCCTACAGACATTTGGATGATGAACTCCCAAACTCTTCAAGCCCTGGCCCAACTGTCCTTCTAAGGAGGCCTGCACTGACCACCCAATTTAAAATTGTAACCTACCCCCTTCCCCCCAACACTCCCCCTCGCACTGCTCTATTTTTATCCATAGTGCTGTCATTTTCTAACATTCACTGTGTTTGCTCTTTGTCATCTGTTCCCTCTGCTAGAAAACAAGCCCCACAAGGACAGGATTTAGGGCTTTTGTTCACTGATGTCACCTAAGTGCCATAGACAGAACCTGACACATAGTAGATGCTCACTAAGTTTTTGTTGAGTGATTGAGTGATGCACAGAGAATGCTCCCCACATTGCTTCACACATGGGGAGGCTCAGAGAATGTGGCCCTATTTAGCTTGTGCAGGTCAAGGTCAGGGCCACGCCCTTCTGCATGTGTTATGATGGATGGGTCAGGTCCTGTGTTAGGCACTAGAGGTCAAAATAACCCAGTGCTCAAGTACTTCCCATTCTGATGCGGAATACATGCCAACTAACATAACACAGAAAGCAAGACAAATTTTTTATTGGAGGAAAAAAGTATCACCATAAGGAGATAATTTATATGCTAAAATCATGCTGGGCACTTTTGTATAAGTTTTCTCACCAAATGCTCATAGGACCCACAGGTAGGTACAAACAGCACCATATGCAAGCAAGTAAACGGAGACTCATTGAGTCAGGTAACGTGCCCAAGGTCTGGTTGGTGTGGGAGTCATTCTGACCCAGGGGGATCTTGGGAAGTTGCAGTAGAGCTGAAGGGTAGGTAAGATGTTAACAGAAAGAGAAGGCAGACTGCACATCCCAGGTGGCAGGGACAGCGGAACCAAGGCACAGACGCAGTAGCCTGTGAGATGTACTTAACAGCAGCCGGAATCAGGAAAGGGCAGGTCTGTCTGCTATGCCACCTGGACCCATGCTGAAGTGGGACAAAAGTCTGGTGCCCAGCCTGGGGATAGGGTGTGCCCAGGCTCACTGCTGAGATAGGGAGTGAAGCCTGTAGTCCTGAAGACGGCCTCACCCCTCCATCTAGGCCCTCATTGGCAGGACTGGCCCTCTGACCCTGGCCTCCTCGGGCCTGCTTCAGGCTGCAGCATCCCCGGGTTTGCATCTCTGGCTCCTCAGCAGTCACCCTGGCCACTTGGTCAAGAACCTGCAATAATAAGTTGGGCATGCTGGTTCACACCTGTAATCTCAGTGATTTGAGAGGCCGAGGCAGGAAGATCAGTTAAGCCCAGGAGTTCAAGACCAGCCCAGGCAACAAAGCAAGATGCCCATCTCTACAAAAAAAAAAAAAAAAAAAAGTGATTTGCTGAGTGTGGTGGTGTGTACTTGTAATCCTTGAGCTAAGGAGGCTGAGGCTTCAGTGAGCTATGATTGTACCACTGCACTCCAGCCTGGGTGACAGAGGAGACCCTGTCTCTTAAAACAAACAAACAAACAAACAAACAAACAACCTGCAAAAAGTCTCCAGGCACCTTCACTCAATCTGCTGTGGGCTTGAGGGCCACTAAAAAGCAAGCCAGGCCCTTTTTCCACGCTCCTTAACAGTTTGGGCTTAAGTAGGGCAACTGCCCCAGCATTTTGTGACTCTTAATTTTTTATTTTAAGTCTTGCACTAGGATTATCATAATTTATATAAGGGCAAATGTGTATGAGCACTGACTGTGCACTTTCACATTCCTTATTCAATTTCATTCTCTTCGCAAGTTTGCAAGGTAAGTTTTACGTCTCCATTTTCCTGAGAATCTGATATATGCAAAGCCACAGGTGATCAGCGATTGAGATTCAGTCATTCATCATCTCCTTTTCCCTTCATTTGTTTACTATTCAATTCTTTTTGAGCATCCCCCCTGGCCAGCCACAGAAGGCATAGATGGGATTTGAACACAGATCTCCTGACTCCTGGCTTATTCCTTTGTCAGGCATTCAGATTCCCTCTCGAGTAACATTTATCAAGAGCCTTCAGTGTTGGAGGTTTTATCCATGTCTTAACATGTAATTCCCATAACAGTGTACCAGGAGGGAATCTGCTGTACCACTTTACAAGTTAAAAACAGAGGCTCAGAAAAAAGAAATCGTTTGTCTGAAGCCTCCCATTGGCAGAGCCTAGGATCCCACAGGGCTGAATCTAACCTGTAGATTCCCACCTCAGGGTTCACATTCCATCCCATTTTTCCTTTCTCTGCCTTGCCCTCTCGTGCCTGGGTTCTCTTATATCCCTCGGGCTGGGTTCTGGGGTGAAAACTGAAGCAGCGAGCTATCTAACAGCCCAGCTCCCAGCGGGCTCTGCGGGGGAAAGGCAGCAGAGGAAAGCATTCCCCGGTGTGTGTATGTTTGGGGGTGGGGGCATAAGTGCAGCCCCGGTTCTGAGGGCTGCTCCCTCGCCAGGCACTGGAGCAGTCAGGGCCTGGAAGGGACCAGGCTACTTCATGCAGGGTAGGGGTGGGGCATCTCTAGGCCAGCTAAGCTCAGATGACCTTGGCCATGGGTCACAGTCAGTCCCTTCTCCCCCTTGGGAAGGCAGCGCTGGGATGTTGTGGGTCCAGTACACTCCCCCGACTGTCCTGGGGCACACACCCGACAGAGGTGTGTGGAGGAGGTGGGGTGGGAGAGGGGACTCAGGCTGGTCAGGGCAGGTTCGGAGGCGGGCCTGGTTTGGAGAAACAACCACCCATCAGCCAGGCTTGGGGAGGGGAAGGCCAGAGGAGAGGAAGGAGGAGTCTGGAGAGGGGAGAGAAAGACGTAGAAAAACAGACAAGGAGAGAGGGCAGGAGTGGGGGACACAGGTACTGGGAGAGAGTAGAGACACAGAGACAAGAGAGAAAAGGCAACAAAGACAAAGCCAGAGACGCCCAGCCCGAGAGACAGAGCCACACGGAGAGAATGGAGAGGGGAGCAGGGTCAGAGGGCCCGGACGACGCAGAGAAGGACGCGAAAGGACGTGAGAGGGACTTCCCCCAGGGGCAGGGAGAGGCCTTGGGCAGCTCCTCCGCTGGGCCGGGCTGCCTGCCTGCTGGACTCCGGGAAGGAGGCAGTGACCGCACCCATCTGGAAGCTGTCAGGTCCCTCAAGGATGAGGGCGTTGGGAGGAAGCCAGACATGAGCCACGTCTAGAGAGAGGAAGCGGCGGGATTTGAAAAAGATGTGAGTGGGCAGAGGGGGCAGGGAGGTTGCAGTAGACTGGGCTCTCCTGTCTGGAATTTTTCAGTGGGGAAAAGAGAGAGTCTGGCAGTTTGGGGCTCTTCTGGAGAAGGCCTGGACTGGGCAGGTTGATCAGAGAAGGCCAGCTCCCCAACCCCACCTCTAGGAAAACAGAGCCCTAGAGAAGGGAAGTGAAGACCCAAGGTCACAGTTTTCAGGTCATGTCATCATTCATTCATTTATGCACTCATTGATTCAGCAAACATTAACTGAGTCCAGTACTGTGCTAGGTTCTAAGGGAACATAGATGAGCATTAGATAGTCTCTGCCCCAGAGCCCACAGTCTGTGGGGAAGATGGATGTGACTACACAGTGTGCCAAATGCCACCATGCAGAGAAGCCCAGGGGTGTGAAGGTCATTCTGGGGGATTCAAAGGCAACTCCCTGAGGAGGGATACCAGGGCTAAACCGAACCGACCAGGAGGAGCAGGGAGGGAGGGCATGCCAAGCTGGGAAGGCCAAATGACCAAAGTGTGTCACACTGGTGGGGGGAGTCATCAAATTCAGCTCACTTTACTCTCCAGTGCACAGGGAAGCTGTGATTTTATGTGTTACTAATCTGACTTTCCTCCCAAACTCCTCCCTCCCTGCCCTAACCCCAGGTTGGCGGGAAAAAGTTACAGAATGCCATCTAATTTGGTTGAAAGTTTGGTCTGATCTGATCATTGAAGCTGTCTAGGTAATATCAGTCTGTCTTGTATAAAAACGTCCTGTCCCTCAGGTCGCTTCCCCTTTCACCTGCCTCTCAGCTGTGTGGGAGCATCAGGAGTGGTGGGGGAAAGGGTTTTTAGTGGGAGCAGCCAGGCAGGCCGATCGTCCTGAACCGGCAGATGCAGTCAGTGCCACTGCCTCTCCAGGGCCATCCTGCGCCTGTCCAGTTGCTGGTTTCTCCCATGGGGTCTCCAGCTCAGGAGCTCAGGGCCTTCCTTTAGCCCAGGCCGTTCCTCCAGTGGTGGCCCTGGCCAATCTGACTGCGCTTGGGCTCCTGGTGCTTGCAGACCCACAGTCTCTGCCCTGGTCCCCATCAATCCCCCTGCCCAGTGGGCTCTCATCGGCCTCTGCCGCCCGGGCCCTTTACCCTTTCAGGCCTATTGGTTCACTGGCCCTCAATTCAGCCTCCTGGTGCCCTTGGGACAGGCCAGCCCAGGGAAGCTGACGCTCAGGCCTCCCTCTCTTGGGCCACATTGTAAGTCTAAGTTTACAGGGCTGCATTGCCTTGTTGCTCAGTGGCATTCCATAGTATAAATATATTGGAGTTTTTTGTTTTTCTTTTTTGAGCCAGGGCCTGGCTCTGTTGCCCAGGCTGGAGTGCAGTGGCACAATCTCAGCTCACCATGACCTCCACCTCCCTGGCTGAAGCCATCCTCCCCCAATCAGTCCCCCTAGTAGTTGGGACTAGAGGTGCACGCCACCATGCCTGACTAATTTGTGTTGGAATTTTTAACCACTTCTTATTCTTGTACATTTTCCTCCTATTTTTCACTATTATAAACAGTACTACAATAAATATCCTGTACTTTCCTCTTTGTGCACATATGCAGGTGTTTTTCTGGGGTAGATATCATGAGGTGAATTGCTGGGTCAAATACATAAAGATATGTGTATTTAAATTCTAATAGAGCAGGAGTGTCTAATCTTTTGGCTTCCCAGGGCCACACTGGAAGAAGAGTTGTCTTAGGCCACACATAAAATACACTAACACTGGCCAGGCGTGGTGGCTTACGCCTGTAATCCCAGCACTTTGGGAGGCCAAGGTGGGTGGATCACCTGAGGCCAGGATTTCCAGACCAGGCTGGCCAACATGGTCTCTACTAAAAATACAAAAACGTCTCTACTAAAAATACAAAATACTAAAAAAAATACTATATATATATATATATATATATATATATATATATATATATATACACATATATCTGGGCATGGTGGGGGGCGCCTGTAATCCCAGCACTTTGGGAGGCCAAGGTGGGTGGATCACCTGAGGCCAGGAGTTCGAGACCAGCCTGGCCAACATGGTCTCTACTAAAAATACAAAAACGTCTCTACTAAAAATACAAAATACTAAAAAAAATACAAAAAAAATTATATATATATATATATCTGGGCATGGTGGCGGGCGCCTGTAATCCCAGCTACTTAGGAGGCTGAGGCAGGAGAATTGCTTGAACCTGGGAGGCAGAGGTTGCAGTGAGCCGTGAGCCGAGATCCCGCCACTGCACTCAAGCCTTGGCGACAGAGCAAGACTCTGCCTCAAAAAAAAAAAAAAAAAAAATACACTAATACGATAACTGATGAGGTAAAAAAAAATTCACAAAAATGTTTTAAGAAAGTTTATGAATTTGTGTTGGGCTTCATTCAAAGCCGTCCTGGGCCACATGCGGCCCGTGGGCCACAGGGTGGACAAACTTGTAATAGAGTCTATCAGATGGCCTCCAAAAAGGCTACGCCAATTTACATGGCCAGCAACTCTTATCAACATTTACTATCATCAATATTTTTCAAAATGTGTCAATGTTATAGGCAAAAACGAATTTCTGATTTATGTTCCTTTTATTTATTCATTTATTTATTTATCTATTTATTTGTTTGATAGAGATGAAGTCTCCCTATGTTGCTCAGGCTGATCTCAAACTCTTGGGCTCAAGCAATCCTCCCACCTTGGCCTTCCAAAATGCTGGGATTACAGGCATGAGCCACCACGCCCTGCTCATGTTCCTTTTAAACTTCCATTTCCCTGATGACCAGTAAGGAGGGCATCTTTGCATGTATACATCCTTTTTATTTCCTTTTCGACTTTCCTATTCAAACACTTTGCCCAGTTTTCTATTTTGTCTGTCTTTTCTTATTGATTTACAGGAGCTGTTTCTATTGCCCAGACATTGATCTCTTCTTATACACGGGGCAAATATTTCTCTTGATTTGTCATTTACGTCTTAACACTATTCTGTCTCTTATTACAAAAAAAGTTCTTAATTGATATGTGGTCAAATGTAGCTGACTTAATTCTTTAGGGCCATTGTGCTTTATTTTTTTTTTCTAAATTAAAATTAAAATTTGCTCAGATCTCCAATCTTATCTCTCTTGGGGAGAGACCCCCTGAATTGTCCCCCACACAGTGGGAAAGGGACTTAGTTCAACCTTCCCAGCCAGTGAGCCAGCACCTGTGTCCAAGGAACCCTTGCGGCCATCACTCCTCCCAGCCACCAGCAGCACCGCATGGAAACTTGGTCCTGCCAGCTGCAGCAGGGCCCTCTGCCAGGCCATCGTGGTCCCCTGAGGGATCATCCCACTACCTCCATGCCAAGCTCAGATAAGGGTGCACCTGGTCTCTTTGCCTGGCAGCTCTGCCTGCGTGGCCCCTGGCCGTGGGTGGTCCTGGCTGGGTGGAGGCTGGCGCCACCATTCTCTCAATGATAAGACTTCTGTTCCCTCTTCTCCTCTGGGTTGGCTCAGGGGCCTGGCAGCTTTTCCTTTTCAGCCCACAAAATACTTTAATTACACTCTAATTACACTCCCATTCCCTGCCCACACTGCTGTCCCCACCCAGGCATGGCTTTTCTCCATGCTTCCCTGCCCACCCCGTTCAAAGGGTGGCTGTGTTTCCCACGAGCTGAGAAGAATACAAATCCTCCAGCAGCAACCTCACCCCTTACCAACCCCTTGTACCCTGACAGCCTAAGCATATGGTGTTGCAGCTATTAGGGGGACCCCATTCTCGTTTTTCATTCCCAGGCAACCCCAGAGTCCAAGATGCAGGTTGCTTCTGGGGTCTGCTTTCTCGAGAACCCTGACCCACCCCTGTTCCTCCAGTGACCCCTCACTCTCCTAGGACTGTGGGGGCCTGCCCTGCAGCAACGTTGTAAGGAAGGCCACATTCAGGAAATCCAAGGTCATTTTCTGCCTATTACGCTTCTTGTTAAATAAAATACAACTTAATTCCTTACAGGGCCCTCCTTCTGGGAGAGCACCCACTGCTCATCTGAATTCTAGAGAACCACTCAAGTGCATATAGACGGCATCCATCCTAAGAAGGAAAGTGCTCTCTAAGAAGCCACTATGCCTGAAATGCCACCATATGTATACACCATTCCACTATGGAAAACATTGCCTTTTCGGGGCTCTTCCTGTGAAATGCAGGTATATTTAGCTCTTCATGCTATAGTATGAATTAGCCTATCACTGGGTTCCCTTGTGACAAGAAAGCCCACGGCAACCAGACTGCCCAGGTTTCCCAGGGACATCCTGATTCTAAATATTAAAACATTGCATTAACCGGAATCTATATAACAAAAGTGTGTACTCCCTACACATCATTCTGTTCTTTTCAAGGAAATGGTTTGTTGAGTGTGTGACTGCATATGGTTTCATTTTTATGCCTTATTGACACTTAACCCTGTCCCAGGCCATGAGCTCTTGCTGGACATACCAGAACAAAGACATAGTCTCTTCAAGATGGCATTCACAGCCATAGGGCAGGACGACAGGTGGGCGACAACCATAGCCAGCAGAAGAGCAGACACTGGAACAGAGGTTCAAACCAACAACTATGGAGCGAGCTGAGGTGGTAACTCATGGTCCGGGGAGCTGAGAAAGTCCTGAGGGATCTCTGGGTGTAGCCAGATGGAATAGACTGGCAAGGGCATTCCAGACGGAAGGAACAGCCGTGCTAAAGCCCAGAAGCTGAAAATAGCATCTCGCTTTCAGGGAGTGGCAATCACCTCGCTACTGTGAGGGCTGGAGAAGGGGCGGGTGGAGTGAGAGGAGGGCAGCAAGGCAGGGGCCAGGTCATGAAGGGCCTTGCATTTACCAGTCTAGAAGGGAGTCTGCAGGTTTTATCTTGAATGCAATCAAGACTCATGGAAGATTTTATTTATTTCTTTATTTTAGCCTTTTATTGAAGCGTAATACATATACAGAAAAATTCACCTATCATAAGTATGCATCTTGGTAAATTTTCACAAGGAATATACCCATGGAACCAACATCCAGATCAAAATCTGTCAGGCGTCTAGCACCCAGAAGCCCCTGCGGGTCCCTGCCAGTTACTATGTGCCCCCAAGGCTGACCACTGTCCTGTCTTCTGGTACCACAGGTTTGTTTTGCCTGTTTTTTGAACTTTATAAATGCAAGTGTACAGTATGAACTGTGTCGTGTTCTGTTGTTCAACAGGACGTCTGTGAGATTTCTCAATATTGCAGCTATCTCCGTAGCTTGTAGCACTCCATTGTGTGAATCCGCCACTGTCTGTTGATGGGCACTGGGTGGTCTCCAGTTCTTGGCTATTATGCATAGTGCTCTGAATATCCTTGCATGCGTCTTTGGTACACATGCCTGTTGGGTATATTCCCAGGAGTAGACTTGGTGGGTTGGAGAGCATGCGCATGTTCAACTTGAATATGTGACGCCAAATCATTTTCTCAAGTGTTTGTAGATGGAGGGTTTTGAGCAAGGAGGTGGCAGGAGCAGGCCTGGGTCTCGGCCGTCCCTCTCTGCACAGGCTGAGTGTGAAGGGCATAGGGACATCCCAGTGGAGCTGTCCTAAGGCTAGAGAGCAGTGGGTCTGGAGCTGGGGAGCTGGGGAGCTAGGCAGCAAGGCTCTGGGCTGAAGAAGGTGGAGAGGGTGTGGAGTGAGGAAGGTAGGGACCAGGGCCAGGCCATGGATACAGCCATAATGAGGATGCCACGGAGACAGAGGAGCCCTCAGAGGCAACTGAGGAGGTGCAGCCTAGAGAAGAGGGAAGACCCGGCAAGAGGAAAGGAAGCAAATCACATGGGTGCCAAGGGGAGCATCTGAGGCAGAGGCAGGCATAGAGCACCAGAGGCACTAAGAGGGCCAGTTAGTCAAGACTGAGCAGGATGTGTCCACCAGACTTGATAAGGGAGCTGTGGGGACCTTAAGGAAGTCATGGTCAATGGGGTTGGTGTGTGTGCCAGACTGCAACAGGACAAAGTAGGGAAGAGATGAGGGATGAGCTTTAAGAATTCAGCACTGCCCCTGGAAGCATGGTATTGGTGCTACTGAAGTCAGCCCACCTGGAGGCCCCAGCATCCTCCCAGATGCAGTGGAAGCCATTCTGCCATTCCAACTAACAAAGGCCTCCCATGGCCAGTGCATTGTGGAGGAGAGTGGGGTGGAGATTCAAGGAGATTAAAAGGGCCAGGCAGTTCTCTCTACTCTTCTGTTGTTTATCTGAAGCTTAAAGGTGATTAGAGAGTGTAGAAATGGAGTAGCTCTGTGGGATAAGAATGAAAACAAAGAACTCCCCACAGACTGTTTGCAACACAAGGCAACTTTGGTCACTGTCCAGGTCTTTTCCTCCCTGGGGACACCTTGCCATTTACTCTCCCTGAGTGTGGCTCTCTCATACCAAAGAGACCTATATCCTAACCCTAGAGATGACAACCACAGCAGAGTATTCTGCCAGGCCTCGTGTTAAATGCTTCCCACACAGCATCTCATGTAATTCTCATTACAATCTGATGAAGATAGAATAGCGTATCATTACCCCTATTTTATAGATGAGAAAACTGAGACTCAGGGAAGTAAAATGACTTGCTCAAGATTACCCCAACCAGAAGGCTGCAGACACTGACTCCAAAGCCTGTGTGCTTCTGCCAGCAAGTCAGCTTCCCCAACACCCAGGTTCTTAGACTCTTGGAGTCATTATGTGGACACCTGCTCTATCCTTTGGGAAAATACAAATCTACCCCTTTTCTCTCCACTTCCTTGAAGTAGGACTCTGTTTTGTATTAGGAAACAATGGTGCCACCACAAGAGGGTAGAATTTTCTACTAGCTGCACAACCATGAGCAAGTCATTCCTCCTCTCCCAGCTTGTTTTCTCCCCTGTAAAATGGGGATAATAATTTAACCTCTCAGGGCAAAGGTGAAGATTAACTGAGCTGTACATTAAGGCCCAAGCGCGGGTGTCTTAGAGCCAATGGTCTACCCCTGTGAGTTCTGTTCTTTCCCCCTCCAGTTTCCATGCTTGATCCTCCCCTCTGCCTTTCTCACCAGAGACCTGGGCCTCTGCATGGACAGATCCAGGGGTGGTCTTTGCTGTGAGATCTGAGTAAGGGCTCATGTTTGCTTTGGGTGACCCAGATCTCCCCAGCTTCTGACAGCCTCCGCTCACCTTTCAGCCTGAAGAGCCTCTTACCCCAAGACACCAACAAACCCTGCAAAAGAAAAAAAACCCAAAAGACAAAAAACAAAAACAAGGCTGAGAGCCTTTTGGCTCACAGCCACTGAACCGGCCTACCAACAGGCTAACTGTTGGGATCCTCATTTGAACACACACCCTGACTCAGAGGCTGATAGGCATGTAGCACTTGCTGGGTCTTCATTCGAGCTTATCTGACTTAATCTCATGAAATTCCTTGCATGGGCACACACATGCACACGTCCTCACACAAAAGCCCTGCTCACAGTTGCACTCACAGCCAAGGCCACAGTCACACATACTCATAGCCAATAATATATGCCCCAACTCAATCTGCTAGCAAGTGAGTTTGGGGGTGCAGGGGCAGCAGGTGAGCAGGATATAGAGCTCTGTTATGTGGGAAATTTCATGGTCCTGAACAAACGGGGGTCTGTTTTTAGACCCCACTCCAAAAGAAGAGTGAAGCTTCCAGCCAGAAGGGGCTTTGCTGTGATGTGTGTGCCCATCACTGCAGAATGGCAGGTGCTCACTGCAGAGAACTGACAAAGGCTCCGTGTGGAGCAAGGGCTGAGCTCCGTCAAGCAACCAAGCTTGTGGACGCAGAAGCGTCACCTTAATGCTTAACTCTGGTGCTGATGGGCATGATGCTGGTCAGTTCAGCGTTCCCTCAGACAATTCAGGGCTTTTCCCCACTCGTATTTGGAGTGTATTTCTGTTCTGGAGGTGGGAGAGGTACAGAGGGCCAGGGCATTGGCCTAGGTCACCTTCAGTCTATAAGGGCATCCCCTGCTGCCCCTCATTCCCACTGGTAGCTCGAGCACCAGCGTCTCCCCTCTGGCATCTGTGGAAGGCTCACATTTCCACCTGCTCAGACCCATAAGGGGCCTGGGCTTTGAGATTTAGAGGTCCATGCATATCACAAAAACTGAGATACAAACATATAGAGTCTTGTAATAAGTCATTTTGAAAGCCCACTAACCAACTGAGCTAACAAAAATGACCAGAGATGGAAGTAGGAGGCAAATTTCCTCCTCTCCCTGCCAGGCTGGAGGATCTGGGCTGAGATGCGGCACCAATTGAGAACGGAGCAGTCCTGTGTCTCAGGCTTGCTGAGGTGTCAGGAGGGGAAAGCACATTGCAGAGGCGGCCCTCATCCCCTCACATATCCATGTGGGCTCTCAGCTGCCCCCACTATGCCTGGACCCCTCAGATCAGTGCTACCAGCACCATTAACCTCACAGCAAGTCTGAGCACCGGGAGGTCATAAGCTCAGACAGGCTTTGGGGCAGTCATTAAATCAGGCCAAGGGCAGTGGGTGGTAACTGAGTGCAGGAAAATAAGGAAGCATCTTTAAGGTTCTGAAGGAAAATAGAAGCACAGAGGCATTCCCATGGGGCTTGGCTAAAGCTCTGGACCCAGGTAAGGTGGGACTCAGGTGGCACAGGGCAGGGGGTAGAGGACAGGAGTTCCCAGCTGTGACTCTGCCCAGATTCACCAAACCTTAGAGCTGGAGGTTACAGTGGTCTCTGTGTAGCTGAGGAAGCGAGGCCCAGGGTGGGCAGGGCTCACAGCTGAACCAGGATTGAAACCAGATCTTTTGATAAATGGCTCTGCCTACCTCCCCATGCACCTCAGGAGCCCTGGAAGTTCCAGGCTATGACTTGTCCCCATGTGACTGGGGCTTTGTTTCTTCATCATAAGATAATTATATTAATAAGACCAAGTCCCTGAATCCCACCTTGACCCCAAGCAGGGCCCTGCATCTCCATGATGACAGCTTCCATCCCCCAAAGACAAATATAACCTTAAGAAGAGCTGGTCAAATTAGCAAACTCAGCACATAGATTTTCAGCTGTTGCACTGCTTTGGAAACTGACCTGAGTTCAAGGACCGGTCCCACTACTGACTTGCTAGGAGCAACTGGATAGTCACCTGATCTGTCTTAGCCTCAGTTTCCTCAGCTTTTCAAATCAAAATAACACATTCCTTGCACAGTTCTTGTGAGAATTACAGAGAACATCTTGCATTGTGCAGGCACGTAGCAGGCCCGAATGACATGTAGTAGGTCAAACCATGAGGAATTGTCAGTTTTTTGAATAATGGATCCACCTAATAATTATCTATTTTATTCGTATTAGCATAATCATTACCAACTATGTGCATATTACTTTATCTCTCAGTCTCCTCATGCAAAAAAATGGAGATGATATGCAAAGCACTCTGCATAAGGCCTGGCTCCCTGCAGAAGGTGCTCACGAAAGCTTCACCTCCTCCCTCCCCATCCCCTCCTCATGCAGTCACTTCTTCTTCCATGGGTGGCCAGAGGGAACTTGTCCTCTTTCCTAATTACCACAGCCCTGTTGGCATGAAGCTGAAACTGTGACCGAGAGATGGGAGAGGAGTAAGAAAATGGCTTGTAAAATAATCTTCTCAGAGAAGTTTAAAAGTTAAAAGAAAAGGAAAACATGTTGTGTTTTCAAAAACCTGACACTGCCACACTTTCGGGTCATGCCCAAGACTTCCGGTGGGTTCTGGAGCAGGAGACCAGAGCACTGCAGATGGGCCTCTCCCTCCCCATCCACCCCCTGCTAACACTCTCCTAGACTCCCTGAACAAGGTTCCACAAGGAAGTTATTCTGCATGTTCTGAGTCACAGCCGACCAAACAATCAGAGTATCTTTTTGGCATCCAGATGCCACCTGGAGCCATAATGGAGCAGAAGATTCCAGGTCCAGGAAGGCCCCAGCATCTCTGAGTCCAGCCCTCTGCCTCCAGGTGGAGTAGCTGTCACACCCTGCAGGGCAGAGGCTGGTGCTCTCCAGGGATGGAGATGCCGCCCCATCCCTGATGCCCCCTTCAGGGTTCTCTCTCATGCCAGTCATGGAGCCCTTTCTTTTGTCCAATCTCAGCCCTTCCTTCCTTCATCCATTCATCAGATAGCCCCTGACAGCATCGCTGTGCTGGCACAGGAGTAATGCAGGGATGACGGAACAGCCCCTGTAGGTTCCCCAGTCTGTTTCACTTTGATGGCATTACCTGTTAAGCACCCAACTTCTCCACCAGCCCGGACCCAGGTGAGGCTGGAACCAGGTGAAACAGGACCCAGGTAAGGCTGGACCCAGGTAAGGTGGGACTCAGGTGGCACAGGGCATGGGAGGTACTCTCTAAATAGTTGTTCAATGTTAAAGGAATGGATGAACAAATGAATGAATAGCCAGGTCCACAGGAATACTTTGGTAACAAGATGCTTACTGCTTCAAAGGAAGCCCATTTTCCTAAAGGTTGGAGGTGACAGACCCAGGCTGAGGCAGGCATAGCTGGCCCAAGATCTCCTTCTGACATGGGAGGTGGAATCCACTGGAGAAGCCGCTGCTACCCAGAACCTTCCCATACGTGCCTGGGCTCCAAACTGGGAGCTGGCGGATTCCCCAGGCCTGGAAACCCCCAGTAGGGTTGTCTGACTCCACCCACACCCCACAAGGCTGGTCATTCTCAACCCTGTTTCTTGGAAGGAGAAACTGGCTCATGATCAGACGTTCTGGAATTCACTACAGGAAGTGGCCATTGAGTGAGAGGAAAGGCCCCTGGTTAAATGAGCCAAGAATTCTGCATTTTGATTCCCACTCCAACATTTAAAGCCATGGGATGCAGGCTCAGACGGACCTGGGTTCAACTCCAGTTCTGCTGTTTAAGAGCTGCCTGGTTTCTGGAAAGTTACTTACTTCACTGAGCCCTGGTTTCCTCTTTTGGGAAAGGGATTATAGTATCTGCCTCAACAGGTTCTTGTGAGGATTCTAAGAGGAACCTGTAGGGCTGATACTCAGCTGGCATGCAGATTCTAACTTACTGCTTGGTAAACAGCCATGACTCAGAGCCCCTTGAGTGCCTCTGCCATGCAACCCAGCATCCCCCAACCTTCCCACCATGATTCAGCAACCAAGGGGTTAATATCTAGCCCCTCAGAAGGTCCTCAAGATCCTGGCAACCCTTCTGATTGGTTGCTGCCCATACTGAACTAAATGGGTGCCAATAAATGCTCTGTAAACTACAAAGTGCTGGCTAACCCCAGATCCACACTTCCAGCTCCAATTTATCTCCTGGAGGCTCTTCACCCACCTCCCGGCCCTTCCACCTTCATACTTCATGCAAATGGCACTCTCACAACTCCCAAATTGAACTGAGTTTCTCCAGTTAAACTCATCCCAGGGACTGCCTCCACCTCTGCCTGGCAGACTCCTTCATTACCCAGTCTCTATCTGGCAGTGCTGTTTCCTCTATGTCCCCTAGCTCTGTCCCTCCTTCCTGCCCCCACCCACCTGGTGCCTTCATCATTTCTCTGCTAAATCACAACTACCTTCCCACTGGCCTCTGGACTCCAGTGTGTCCTTCCACATCATTCTCACACTGTAGACAGAATCACCTTCCAAAAGCGGGGTCTCTCATTGAGCCCTCAGTGAAACGTCAGCCACCATTGACATCCCTCAGTAATGATCATTGGAGGTTTGGTTCCTGGGGAAGGAGACTCTGAGATGAAGGTTTGCTTGCAGGAGGTTTATTGGGGGAGTACATTCAAGGTCAACACCTGGCAGGGAGTGATTGAAGCAGAATTGGCCAGAGGGATAAATTGGGTTGTGAGGCAAACCCCACAAAGGCCTCGGCCAGCCCCTCAGGGAGCTGTGGAGCTGGAAACTCTTCATAGTTGTCCCAAGTTGGGGCAAGGGGCCTGGGCTTTTATACCCCCATGTGAACCAGTCTCTGGATGCAGGCTGGCCCTGGAGGGACCATGGCATTAGGTGAGGAGGCAATGACGGTGGTGGGAGGAGTCTCACCTGCAAGCTGCCTGCCATCAGCACTCTCAGCAGCGGAGGTGTGGGGGTAGGAGGCACAGGCATTGGCAGCACATCGCAGTGCCCGCTACAAAGATGTCTTGGGTCAAGTAGGTCCTCAGGAATGTTTGTCGCATGATGAAAAGAATAACTCCCCATCACCTTCAAGGCACATTTTGAGTATCTGGTGTAGCACACAGGCTCTTCGTGATCCACCCCAAACATCCTCCCCATTCCGTCTTCCTCTCTCCCTCTCCCCACTCGCACCATATTGTGCTTCTTGCAGTTTCCCAAGCTCAACATGCTATTTCACACCTCTATGCTTTTGCACGTGTTATTTCATCTGCCTGGACTGCTTTAAATGGAAAAAAAGAAATCCTATTCTCTTCTTCCAGCCAATTCCTACTCCTTCATCAAGACTCCAGCTAAGCTCTGCCTCCCCTGGGAAACCTTCTATTAATTCCTCCAAGTCTGGTGCTCCCACCTCATGCAGAGCACAGCCATTGGGTTCTAATCTGCCCCCGGGCTCCTCCAGGCTCAGATCCACAGGGCCTGGTTACTCCATTACTTAGGATGCATTTGTGCTGGAAGAAGTCTTGGGGGATGGCAAGGGAGAAGAAATGGCAAGTGTGAAGCCTGGAAGCATGGAAGTACCCAGTATGTCGGAGAAGGCTGAGCAGCGTCTCATACTGTTCAACGCAACGGTTGTCGCCATCCTTTCCCCACTCATTCCCATCTTCACCATCATCATTGTTGTCATCAAGGCCACACTTTCTGAGTGCTGACTACATACCAGGCTCTGCGCCAAGTGTTTTAGACACACTTCCCTTTAATCCTTATTTTATCCTCACTATTAATAACCTTCAAAAGTAGGTACTATTATTATCACTGTTTTACAGATACAGAAACCGAAGTTCAAGCAGGTTAAGAGCTCTGCTCAAGGTCACACAGCTGGTTAATGATCTGTGTGACCCAAGGACACTCTCTGTTCACCACTCCAGCAGGGAGCTGGGCCACACTGATCTCATCCCTTTCCAAGCCTCCCACCCCATCACTGTCTGCCTGTCTAAGGAAACTCCTTTCCTAAATGAAAGGACATGCCACTGCGAAGATGTGGGGTGGGCCCAGCCAGGGCAGCCAAGAGACCTGGGAGGGGTGAGGGAGAACATTCTGACCACATTCGCCCTTCTAGATCCGACCAACACAGGGTTTGATTCAGCTCCAGCCACTGCATGTTGCTGGGAGATCTTGTCCCCTCTTCACGTCTGCAAATAGGGAATCTGAAGTCCCAAAAGGGAAGGGCCCCATCCAAGGTCAAGGTCACACTGACCATCAGGGGGTCAACTGAAACTACAGCTTAGACTCTGGGCTCCCAGACCAGGGCCTCGCCCACTGCCAGCCTAACTGCAGCCAAGGCTAATTTTAAGGGATAATTTGAGGGTGCTGGGAAGAGTTCCTCCTCCCCACACAAGGGTGTACCTCCCCAGGCTGCTGGTGATACCTGGAATCCCTCCAGAGGGCACAGGTCATGAGCCCTGGGTTCAGGCCCACCGTCTCCTCTCCATCCTCCCTGGGACCCTCCTGCCCGGGCTTCCTCGCCTTAGGAAATGCACAAGCAGCCAGGGGCTGGCTCTGAGGAGGCTGTGGAAGGAGGCTGCCCCCAAACCTGGGCACGCCAGGAACAGAGAGACAAACAAGAGGCAGCAGAGCCCAGTGAGAGGCTAGTAGCCACATTGGTTTTAATCAGGCTCCACGCATACCAACTGTGTGACCTTTGGGAAGATATCTAATTGCTGTGGGCCTCAGTTTTCTCAGCTATAACATGGGGATGAGAGTTACTATCTGGCAGGGTTGTTGTGGGGATTCAGTGAGGTAGATATTGCTGGTATTTGATGAGGCAGCAGGGCTGGGCACCCAGAAGGGGCTATCGGTGGCAGCTGGGATTATTATTGAGTCTGGAGTCAGACAGAGCTACAGGACTTTATGCCTGTCCAGTCCTTGCTGGACAACACTGGTTCCTCCATGATCCTGGAGTCTGGCATGAGGCCTGGCCAGGGTGCCCAGTACCTAAGGTCTATTGAATTGTTTGGAGTTCTGTGGCGGCAGAACTGACCCCAGCGGTTGGGTGATGTAGGAAGAAAGGTACAGTGTGAGGGAGAACTTCCTGCTACCTGAAGGTAGAAGGAAGCCGTGGAGATGTGGGGAGTTCTCTGGAAGTTTTCAAGCAGAAGCTGGGTGGATATTAGGCAATGATGCCATCACTGAGAGTCACGTAGATTCACTGAATTTATGCTCCTGGGGAGAAAGTCTAAGTTGGAAGGCCTCTCACAGGCCCTGAAGTCCAACCCCTCAACATATACATGGGGAGACAGGCCCAAAAAGGGAACAGACTTGCCTAAGGTGAGCCAATGCCAGATCCGGGACGAGGAGCAGGGCTCCTGTCTCTGCAGAGAGGGGACTGGTGCTATTATAACCATTTTATAAAAGGGAAGACTGAGGTCTGGGGAGAGGTAGAAACTTGCTGAGGTCACCAAGAGAGTGTGTGAGAGACCAGAATCTATGTGTCTGGCTTCAGGGTTCCCCCATGGCCACCTGGCTAGAGTAGGACCAGAAACCTGATCCCACCCCCAGCAAGGCTGGAATGAATCCTTCCTGGGCCCCTCCTGGGGCCATTGAGCAGTGTCTCCTGGCTGGAAGATACCAAAGCACGCATTAGCTCTGAAGTCTGTTTCGTCTGTGAAAACACCAGGTCCTGGAGGAGAGGCCTTCCAGGCGCTAACGACCCACCCACTGTGCATCTGAGGAGGAACCTGGGCTCAGAAAGGGGAGTGGTGGCTGCTCCAAGATCCCACGGCCACCCTGGCCAGGCCAGGCCTGGACCCCAAGGCTAGACTCTCTCAGGAGAGGGACAGAAACAGAGAGAGACAGAGATACCAGCTCAGACAGGAGAATGTGCTCACCTGGCAAAGTCAGAGCAGTAGGGAGGAAACATCTGCAACCACTTGGCAAGCACAGGCAGCTCCTGGCAGCTTTAGCTCTCCACAGTCAGGAGCCTTTGAGCACTGGGAGAGAAACAGCCTGGATTTGCTGCGTTCCGTGAGATCCCTACCGTTCTCTCAGGGGACCCTCCCACCACCAACCTCTACCTTCCCAGTCACTGCACTCAGTGACAGCAGCAGGTGCCTCTAACTCCACACAGCCTTCCTGCCTTCCTGCCTTTGCACACTCGGCTCTCTCTGCCTGGAATGCTGCCCCTCCCTTGTCCCCCTGACTCTTCCTTGCCTTGTCTTCTCAGCTGATGCTTCTCTGAGGCTTCCCAGCCCCCCACCCAACCCCCCTGCCCCCAGCCAGCCCGGCCTACTCCTTGAAGCAGATCAGATGCCATCTGCCCTGGCTTCCCCAGCCAGAGTGCCTCCTTCCCTCTGTCGCAGTGCTGGTCACACCCACAGTCACTGTCTGTGTCTGTGTCTGCCTCTGGCACTGGAGGGGAAGCCTCTGTCAGCAGGGTTGGGCTCTAACCTAAGGCAACATCCCCAATTGCAGCAAAGGGCTGACCACAGAGGACCCACAATTTCCACCCTCTCTCCCTCCCTCTGTCCCTTCCTTCCTTCCTGCCGCAAATACTGACTGAACTCCTGCTGTGTGCCAGGCACTGCTCTAGGTGCAGGAGCTACAGCAGTCAACAACACAAAGCAGTGAACAAAGTCCCTGCTCCATGACTGCCACTCTAGGAGGGGATGAGGAAGCAGACAATAGTGACAATACAATCAATAATCCAGAGAAGTTTGGGTGGCGACAGGTGCTATAAAGAAAGTAAAACCACGTTTACTGAACTCAGAACTGCAGACAGGGAAACCAGGGGTGCAGACAGGTACAGTGGGCAGGAAGCAGGGGCATGGTAAGTTCCAGACCCTCTGGGCCCCTCTGTTACCTTCCCTCTCAAGGGCTGCCAGGCGCTGGGGGAGGCAGGCATGTGGGAAGGAAGCCTTGGGGCCCCCCTGGAAGTGCCAGACGTCTCTCCCACCCACAGACATACTTCCTGGCTCTCCAGGAATTTGATTCAGCAACAGCAACTTAGCAGTTACTTGTGAAAGTCACAAGAACTCCCTTGAGAGTTCCAGGGGTGGAGATGGCCTCCGCCGCCTCTCACTGAGCCTCCCAACAGCCTGGCGAGGTGGGCATGATTAACCTCCCATCGAAGGAGGACCCAAGGTCACACTGTTGGTCCCTGGCCCGGCTGAGATTTGAGCCCAGGTCAGGTGACTGCTGGGCCCACAGGCCTCCCGCCACCCCCTATAGCCTCCCAAAGCCTTGGAGGGCAAGCAAGTGGTCCAGCCATGGCTGCAGCCTGGACACCAAGGACCTAAGCCCAGCACAGGTGAACTGAATGGGAGTCCCTCAACTCCTCTGGGCCTCAGGTTCTCTCTGAGGGTAGCTGTGAGCATCAGATAAAATGCAGCATGCATGCACTGTGGAAAATGCCCCAACTCACCTGTCACCCCCTGCACCCCGAGGCCCCTCCCCTCCTGCCCTCTGTGCCTGGCCAAGTTGGTCAGTCACTCACGGCAGGTGTGCTACTCAGCACGAGCAGAGGCAAAGCAGCTATGGACTCTGCTCACCTCACAGCCTGGCACACAGAAAGCTGTGAACTCTGCTCACCTCCAAGGATGGGGGTGGAGCTGAGGGCAGGATTGCCCGTCTGGGGAAAGAGGAGGGCCCGATCGAGGGTCAGGTGCCCTGGGTCCATGCTGAGGCAGGATGACTCAGTAATATTGCCACTCGCCTCCCCTGAGACAGCCAGCTGCTGTTCCCAGGCCTGGAGAGAAGGCAAAGCCAGCATTTGCTGAGGGCCTACTATGTGCCCATGCTTCGTAGGGTGTTATTGAGTCTACTATGTGACACACAGAGAGTTAAGTCACTGGCTCCATGTTGCATGAGTGTATTAGTTTGCTAGGGCTGCCATAACAAAGTACCAGAGATTGAGTGGCTTAAACACCAGACACGTTTCCTCGCAGTTCCAGAGGCTGGAAGTCGGAGATGGAGGTGTCAGCAGGGCTGGCTTCTGGAGGCCTCTGTCCTTGGCTATAGATGACCATCTCCATGCTCACAGGGCATTCTCCCTCTATGTGTGCCTGCGTCCAGATTTCTTCTCCTTATCAGGACAATGGTCATACTGGATTAGAGCCCATCCTGCTGACCTCATCTTCACTAAATTACCTTCTCCCTGAGCCTCTATGTAAGTGAAGCAATTCAGAGCACAGGCTGTGAAACTAGAGGGCCTGGATTCGAGTGTCAGCTCCACCACTTACTAGCTCTGTGAACTGAGAAATTTGCTGAATCTCTCCATGCCTCAGTTTCCCTCTCTGTAAAATGGGGATAACAGTAGTGTCTTCCACATAGAATTGTGAGGATTAAAGGAGTTAAGATAAGAACCCTATCTTGCCCATTGTGAGCTTCAGCTAAGTTGTTAACTTAAGTTTTATTTACTGGGGCCACTCCCACACATGCCAACAGCACAAAAACTGTGTGTCACAGCTCTGCCTCTCTCTCAGTGTGTGGCCTCGAACAACCAATTTCCCTCTCTGAGCTTCAGTCTGTAAAACGGGGGTAGGAGTCTCACCTCCCAGGGTCACTTTGAGCGTCAGACGTGACCACAGCATAAACACTGGTAAATTCTCTAAGAATGTTTCATCCCTGTAATGACACCAGAAATGAAAATGAAATCATGCCGACAAAGTCTCCTTTTTCCTTTCTGCTACAGGGCCTGTCCTGCAGCTCCAAAACGAGGACTTAGAGCTGGCTAGGGTGGGAGGGAGGATCTCAGCTCAGCCATGAATGGTTCACTGACCCTGGCTGCTCACCAGGGGCTTAAGCATCCCTCCTTTGCAAAATCTTTCTGGAATGTCTGCTCTGAGAGCACAAAGCTGGTAAACTTTCTTCACCCCTGGCAGGACACCTGGCTCTGGTCATGTGGTAGCCTTAGGCACACACACTTACACAACTGTGCACAGCCTGGCCCTGCCCTTTTACCCCCTCTTCTCTCTCCTGCTCTCACCTCCCTCCTCCTGCCCCTTCCACCCTCTGCTTTCTGTCTGTCCAAACTAGACCACCCCACTTACTCCCTTCATGGCCTGGTTTTGAGGATAGACCCAGCTCCCAGGTCTGTCACTGGAGACATCTAGGATTTCAGCCTTTTGGGGGAAGGGGAGGGGCATTCTGAGTGGTGGAGACAGCCAAAGCTACAGCTTACAGGATGGAAAGCACTGCCATGTTTGGGGCCTGTCACCTAGTAGGGGTGACCATTGGCTGTGCCTGGGAGGGGGCAGATGTGTGGTGGGCAGTGAGGCTGGATGGGCAGATGGGACCTCACCTTGTGGTCCACAAGGACGTGGAGAGGTGGAGGCTGGAAGGGGCTGGGTCACAAAGCCCTTTTGGTCAGCATTCTTCGTGGAACCAGGGCTCACTCGAAGGGTACAGCATGGCACAACACAGTATGGCACAGAGGACGTCCCAGCAGAGGCAGGGGACAGACAGGTGAGAGTGTGGACGGTGCTCAGGGACTCTCAGGCCCAAGAGCCTGAGGTGCAACTCTGTCTTGCCACTCACAAGCCATACAACCTTAGTCAAAGCATTCTCCCTCTCTGAACCTCAGTTTCCCCATCTATAAAATCAGACTAGTAATTGTACCCACCTTGTTGTAAGCACTCACCAAGGTGGCGGTTGTGACATTTTGCACAGTTCCTGGCCCATAGCAGGAGCTTTGTAAACGTTAACCCCTTCCCCATCACCCTCCAGTCTCAGCCCTGAGGGCAGCTATGTGAACTGATTCACCCCTGCTATTCACCAAGGTTTACTGAACACCTGTCTCCATAATTCTTGTTATAAGAGATCGTTATAAATAAACACTTACTAAGCAACTACTATGCACCCAGAATCACATGAACCACTTCACATAAATGATTTCATTAAATCCTTTCCACTACCTTGCAAGGTAACAATTTTCTTCATTTTACAGAAAAGGAAATAGTCTTTAAGGGACTCGCCAGGAAGTGGCAAAGCCAAGATTTAAACCCTGTGAGAGGTCACAGCTGGAGATACAGATTTGCAGTTTTTCTGCATCAGGAAACAACTGAATGTGGGGGAGGAGGGAGTGGTCCCAGAAAACTTCCCATTGTAAACTGTTAGTGGGATGTGAAATCTATTTACAGAGACATGACCACCATTGCTATTCCTAATGGAATAGAATGGAGTAGAAAGGAAAATACCAGTCCATATTACACACAGCAAGGGTAAGTACTATCTGCCAAGCTTGTATATATATCCCCAGTTGTGTGATAACATGTGTATCTTACTATGGACTAACTTTTTAAAAAAATCTGAAAATCTCTTAATGGAACTTGTTTGCTTAGGGCCAGGACTGATTCTAATGTGCTCTGAAGTAACCTTCTGTGGGGTAACATTCTGAAGTTCTGTTTGTCTTGGGACAGAAGGTAATAAATTGAGCACAGAGCCCTTTGCACACAATAACGTAATCACGCAACAACCCAAGCATGATAACAAAGTTCCCCGGAGTTTACTTGCCCTCAGAACGCTCGACCTAGTCAAGAGGCTTCTGGGTCACGGTGACATCTTCCCCTACAGGGGGTCAGAGGACTTTGTCAGCTGAAATCATCCTGCAAATACGTTGTTATTAATAAGATATTCTTGCTCGGGTCAGTTGGTGGCAAAAATAGGACTGGAATCATGTGTCCTGCCCTGACCTCCAGTCGGGGGCTCTGTGCCTGCCGTGGTGCTAAGACACAGGGAGATGATGAGCAAGGGAGAAACGGCAGGGTCTGCATGATTGGCAAGGGCCAACAGGCCAAAGGGAGGGAGAGAGACCAACAGAGGACAGACAGAGCAGGGAGGGGATGTGTCCACAGGCCTGTGTGGGGACAGAGGGGAAGGCAAGAGAGAATTGCCAGGCCTCTTGGAGGAGACCAACAGGCTAACAGAAGGACACAAGGGCCCCCAATGCTTGCCCTCCCTCCCTGGGTCCCCTCCACCGGGACTCCCTCAGATGAGCACCTGACAATGGAGAGACCATCTGTGGCTCCAATGCATGTGGCACCAAGGCCTGTCACCTCAGCCTACCCACAAGACTCCACGTCCCGAGAATTGCTCCCCTTCTTTCAGACCTATCCCTCCCTGGGCTCCTTATCCCCTGTACCCAGCCACGCTGAACCACTTATAGCTCCACACCCTCTAGTCTGGTCTTTGATCATGCTTCTCCTTCTGCCTAGAAGGCCCTTAACTTCTTCACTAAGCCCACACTCCCAGCCCTCTGTGCCCAGAAGGACTTTCTCAGCCAGGCCCTCCCTCAGGACACTTTGCCTGATGGCTGTGGCCGGCACTGGGTCTTTCTCTGCTCCAAATGCTCTGCACAGATTTCTAGTGGGCATCCAAAACTCTTCAGGACTAAGGTATGTCTGTGTCAGTGTGCCCACCCCAACTGTAGGCTCCTGGAGCCCAGTGCAAGATTCAATATGTGTCAGAGGTTCAGCAGGTAAACATTTGTTGGATGGATGGATGGACAGATAGAGAGTAAAGACAGGAGGACACATGGATGGAAGGATAGGACAGGCGAGAGGGAATACACAGTGATGTGTGCCATGTAGAGAAGTAAACAGAGCTCTTGACTGGGAGTCTAGAAGCTTTCCTGCTCATTAGCTCTGTGACCTTGGACAAGTCACTCTCTCTCTCTGCACCTCAGTCTCCCACCTGTAAAATGAGAAAGGTGTTGAGGTTAAATGCCTGATATCTGATCCCCAAGGCCTTCCAGCTCCCATGCTGATTTCATGGTGCCTGGAGCATCACATCCTGTCAGAACTTGCAAGTCAGCTTAGCTCCCGGATGTAGGGATAGGGGAAGAGGTTTCAGGGTCAGAGGAAACCTGGAAGCAAAGCTGGGTAAGGGCAGTGCCTCTAGTGCAAACCTGGCCTTCTGGAAGGAGACCAGCTCTGGCAGCTGCTCAGGAGACAATTTGTTCCTGGCCTCCTCCCACCACCACCAAACTGGGAAATTTGGAAGGAGGGCTTGGCAGATTTAACCTAACAGCCTACTGCCTCTTTACAGGCCACAGTCTCCTGCCCACAGAGCGGACCAGAGATCCACACATGGCTCCAAATGAGGGAGCCTCCTTCTCTATTGTGTCCCCTCCCCCAACCAAGGGCCAAAGCCACCTTCCATTTTTTTCCTCTTTGTGCCTTCCAAGCCTCCCACATCTCACACTGTGCTCTCCTGGGCCCTACAAACTGGCTCCTGCCTCAGTTTCCCTGTCCAGTTTCTTTTGTTGTTGTTTAGTTTTTTTTTCTGTGGTAACATGTAACGTAAAATTTGCTGTCTTAACTATTTTAAGTGTATAGTTCAGTGGTATTAAATACATTCATAATGTTATGCTACCACCAACACTGTCCAGCTCCAAAATTCTTTTCATATTGTAAAACTGAAACACTTTACTCATTAAGTGTACGTCTATTAGATCTGGTTGGTTTATTCCTTACTTATCTTCTGTCTGGTTGTTCTATCCATTATTGAGAGTGGGGTATTGAAATCTCCAACTATTATTATAGAACTGTTCATTTTCCCCTTCAATTCTGTCAGTTTTTTGCTTACATTTTGATGGTCTGTTACTAGGTGCATAAATGCTGATAATGTCTTCTTGCGATATTGAAACTTTTGTTTTTTTCCTGAGAGAGGGTCTCACTCTGTCACCCAGGCTGGAGTGCGGTGGTGTGATCTCGGTTCACTGCAACCTCCATTTCCTGGGCTTGAGCGATCTTCCGGCCTCAGCCTCTGGAGTAGCTGGGACTACAGGCGTGAGCCACCATGCCCAGCTAATTTTTGCATTTTTTGTAGAGACAGGATTTTGCCATGTTGCCCAGGCTGGTCTCAAATTCCTGAGCTCAAAGCAATCCATCTGCCTTGGCCTCCCAAAGTGTTGGGATTACAGGCATCAGCCACTGCACTCAGCTGAACCTCTTATATAAAGTCCTTCTTTGTCTCTTATAAACTTTGTGTAAAGACTATTTTGTCTGATTAATATAGCCACCTCTGCTCTCTTTTGGTTACTATTTAGTTGAAATATAGTTTTCCATCCTTTCACTTTCAATCTATTTATGTTTTTACAAGTATCTAAAGTGAGTCTGTTGTAGAGAACAGATAGTTGAATCATGCATTTTTATCCATTCTGCCAATCTCTGTCTTGACTGGAAAGTTTAGTTCATTTACAATTAAAGTAATTACTGATAAGAGGGATTTGCTTCTATTATTTGCAATTTGTCTTCTATATTCCTTATAAAGGATTTTTGTTTGTTTTTTGTTTCTGGTTTTTTTTTTGTTTGTTTTTTTGAGATGGAGTTTTGCTCCTATTGTCCAGGCTAGAGTGCAATGGCGCGATCATAGCTCACTGTATCCTCCACCTCTTGGGTTTAAGTGATTCTCCCGCCTCAGCCTCCCTAGTAGCTGGGATTACAGGTGCCTGCCACCATGCCTGGCTAATTTCTGTATTTTTAGTAGAGAGAGAGTTTCACCATGTTGGCCAGGCTGGTCTTGAACTCCTGACCTTAGGTTCACCTAAGGTCACCTTAGGTCACCGAGCACCACCTGCTCGGCCTCCCAAAGTGCTGGGATTACAGGCATGAGCCACTGTGCCCGGTCAACAGAGGTTTTGTACATTTCCTACAACACCGTCCTCTTATGTTTAGCTTTTTTTTTTTGTAATAAGACATTTCAATTCTTTTCTCATTTCCTTCTGTATATATTCTATAGCTTTTTTCTTGTTGTTAACATGGGGATTATATTTAACATCCGAAAGTTATAACACTATAATTTAAATCTGTACCAATTGAACTTCAATAACATACACAAACTCTGTTTATTTTATTTTATTTTTTAGAGACAGGATCTCACTATGTTGACCAGGCTGGTGTTTAAATCCTGGCCTCAAGTGATCCTCCCATCTCGGCCTCCCAAAATGCTGGGATTAGAGGCATGAGCCACCATGCCCAGCCCACAAATTCTGTTTCTTTAACATATTCCATCCCCAGGCCTTTTTGTTGTTGTTGTCACAGAATTATATCTTTATTCATTGTGTGCCCCAAACCACAAACTAATAATTCTTTTAAATAATTAGCCTCTTAAGTTATGTAGAAAACAAAAAGTGGAGTTACAAACCATTTTTGTAATTGCCTACATATTTATCTTTTTTGAGACCTTCATTTCTTCAAATGTCTTTGTGTCCCTGTCTAGTGTCCTTTTATTTCACCTGCAGGACTCCCTTGAGTATTTATTGTAGAGCAGGTCTAATGGTAAACTCTTTCAGCTTTTGTTTATCTGGGAATGTCTTAATTTCTTCCTCACTTTTAAAGGATGGTTTTGCCAAATATAGGATTCTTGATTGACAGTTTTTTTCTTTTTCTTTTAACACTTTATCATCCCACTGCCTTCTGGCCTCCAAAGTTTCTGATGAGAAATCTGCTGACAGTCTTATTGAGGATCCCTTGTATACGATAAGTCACTTCTCTCTTGCTGCTTTCGAGATTCTGTGTCTTTGGCTTTTGACAGTTTGATTATAATGAGTCTCAGTGTGGGTCTGAGTTTATCTGACTTGGAGTTGGCTGAGCTTCTTGGATGTTTACGTATTTCATCTAATTTCAGATGTTTTCAGCCATTATTTCTTCAAATATTCTCTCCGCTCCTTTCTTTCTCTTCTTCTAAGACTCTCACAAAGCATATGTTGGTCCATTTGATGGTATCCCATAGGTCGCTTAGGTGCTGTTCATGTTTCTTCAATCTTTTTTCTTTATGTTCCTTAAACTCGACCATTTTTATTGTCCTATCTTCAAATTTGTGGATTCCTTCTTTTGCCCCCTCAAATCTGTCTGAATCCCTCTGGTAAATTCTTCATTTCAGTTATTGTACTTTATGGCTCCAGAATTTCTTTTTGGCTTATTTTTAGGTTTTCTCTTTTTTGATCCTCTATTTTGTTCACACATCATTTTCTTGACTTTATCTACATCTTCCTTTAGTTCTTTCAGTATCTTTAAAAGAGTTGTTTTAAAGTCTTTGTCTGGTAGCTCTGCCATCAGGTCTTTTTCAGGGACAGTTTCTGTTTGTTTTCCTTTTAATGGGCCATAATTTCCTGTTTCTTTGTATGCTTTGTGTTGAAAACTGAACATTTAACTAATGATGTGGTAGCTCTGGAAATCCAATTCTCTTCTTTCCCTAGGGTTTGCTGGTTTCTGTTATTGTTTTTCTGTAGATGTTGTAGGCTGTCTCTGTGCCCAGGATCAGCCTGAGGTATAAACTGTTGCTGTTTTTCTGTTGATCTTGTGGACTGTCTCTGTGCCAAACATTAGCTTGCAATGTAAACTTAAGGTCTTCTGGAGTCTTTTCTGAGTGTGAACCTTTCCCTGAACACACATGGTCACTTTCTAACTTTTCCTGTATATACAGTTGCTTTTAAATGTTCTAGTTTTTAATGTCTGGCTCTTAAATGGGAAAAAGAGAAAAATAAAGGAGAAGGAAGGGCACTAGCCCTTTAAATCCTTTGGAAGTCACTTCAGCTGGAGGGGGAGAGTCTTGCAACAACAGGAGAGGTGCAACAACAATGGCCACCTGCTTTTGTGTCTGTATTTCTTTGATTAGAAGCAATAATCAGTGATCAGAGCTCAGATACTCTGTATTCACTATAGGGTCCTTTTTGTCCACCCTGGCTCTCACAAGCTGTGTGCAGGTTGCTGCAGGAACACCCATACAGCCGCCTGACAGGGGGCTGTGGTCAGAGTAGCTGCTTTCATGTTAACAGCTAAAATTGACTGAAATTAAGCACAATTTACTGTCCAAGACTTCCCCTGGAAGTTTCATGCCTTCAATAGACTCCAGTGTTACAAAACAGTTACATCAGACAGATTCTGCCAGTGCAATTGTTGTCTAGGTGGGAAGATGGATTCCTGATGCTTCCTACTCTGCCATCTACCCAGAATCCTCTTCTCTGTCCATTTTTACAAACGTTTTTCCTATGTTGTAAAGTGAATTAACAAGTTGTAAGAGTAGTAGCCAACATTCATCAAATACTTACTAAACTATTAGTGTGTTACTACATTCCAGGCAGTGTTATACACGTGCTATACAGATAATTCATTTAATCCTCACAACAACGTTTGAGGTAGGGACTATTGTTTTCCTCATTTTACAGATAGTAAGGCAGGGTGGGGGGCGGTGGTTAAGAACTTGCCCACTTTGAAGCCAGGATTCAAACCTGAGGTTTGGCCCCAGAGTCTGCACCTTGCTATAATGAGTGAATGGGTGAACGAATGAACAATCTTGCTTATTACAGAGGTATCCTTGGTATGCCATGGCAGCACAGAGGAAGGGTTCCTAATAGTACAATTAGGGGTTGCGGAGGTCAGGGGAGGCCTCCTGGAAGAAGTGATACCTAAGCTGAATTTTGAATAATAAGCAAGAGACGGGGCAGGGCAAGGGGCACTTCTGTAGGCACAAAGAGAAGCAAAGACCCAGAGGTGGTAAGGAACTGCCAGAAGCACAGGAAACCCCAACAGCTGGGGATGTTGGAGCATCAAGTTGAGGCAGGAGGGAAGGCTGAAGAGACAGCTGTACTGAGGCACAGACCAAGTGTTTCTAGGCTCAAAGGAAGAGAAACTGCGGGAAATGGAAATGTCTTTGTGCAGGAGGTGGCAGGGCTCGGAGGACAGTGAAAACTGCAGCTGGTAGATTGAACTGAGAAAAGCATTCCAGGCAGGGGAAAAAGCATGGAGGTGGAAGAGTGGGAGAGAAATATTTAGGGAAGCATTTGATTTGGCAGGATGGGAGAAGCATTTGTCATGCATTGACTGCTGAGACACCAGCAAAGCCCAGGCACAGAATTCCGCCCTCCAGAGGAATGGCTGGAGTTCTGTCCGTGAGCCAGTTTTCAGTTCCAGCTGTGCAATCCTGGGTAAGTCACTTCTGAGTCTCAGTTTCCACATCTGTAAAATGGAGGGGATAATCAACTACCTAAGAAGCCTGCTCAGAGGTTTAATGAGAACATGCATGAAAGGTCTTCCAATTCCAAGGTATTCTGTCATGTCCCGCGGTCCTCGTACTGACATCAGAATAACCAGAGGAACTTTTAGAAAACATAACCTGCCACATGCCACATCTACAGAGTCAGGGTGGGGGGCAGGGGTGGAGACACATCCTTTTTCTTCCAGCTCTTCTTTTCTGCTATTTCCACACATGGTCCTGATGCTTTATTAACTTAAGACCTGCCAGCTTCTGATAGCTGAAAAGAAGAAAATGCAGCAAGAAAAATAGAGATCCTGGAGGCTCATGGAGATACATTGGATCTGAAGGGTTTTCTGGTCAGGGCTTGATCGCTATAATGAAGGACAGAAAATGAAAGACCTGTCTCAAAACATGGAAAATGAGCAAAGCGGCTGAAGGGACGAATAGTGTCTTCTGACCTCCACTCAAGGGCTCTTCGAGAAAAGAGATCTTCCAACAGATCACCCGCAGCTTCAGTATGGCTGTTCAGGTAAGTCAATTAAAATCACACCACGACCAGACATGGTGGCTCACACCTGTAATCCCAGCACTTTGGGAGGCCAAGGCAGGAGGACTGCTTGAGCCCAAGAGTTCGAGATCAGCCTGGGCAAGATGATAAGACCCTCGTCTCTACAAATAATTTAAAAATTAGCGAGGCACATGGTGGTGTGCCTGTAGTCCCAGCTACTCAGGAGGCTGAGGCAGGAGGATCCCTTGAGCCCAGGAACTCAAGGTGGCAGTGAGCTATGATTGCACCACTGCGCTCCAGCCTGGGTGACAGAGTAAGACCTCATCTCTAAGCAAATAAATAAAAGCACACAGCACCCTATGGCTTATAACACATTTGCATCTGTATTGATTCATTTGATCACCCCGATATCCCTGGGAGATAGGGCTTCTTATTTATCCCTATTTTACAGGTAAGGAAACTGAGGCTTAGGGGAGAAAATGACTTACCCAAAGTCCACAGTTAGCCAGGGATAGAGGAGTGATGGTTTGCACCTGGGATCCTTAGATTCCCAGGCCTTTCTGCTACACCACCTCTGCTCTTTGTGGAGATTAAAAGGCAACAGAAAGAGCACTGGAGCCCTAAATGTTGTGCCAGCTCCGCAGAGAACATGCTATGTAACCCCAGACAGATCTCTTGCCCTTTCTGGGCCGCACCACTATCCATCTAGTGTGGTTGTTTGGATTAAATCATGATCTTAAAAGTATCCAGCACAGTCCCTGACATGTCACAGTGGCCAAGATGATCACAAGAAGGGGAAGAGAACGGTGAAAATGATGGTGCTTATATACAAAGGACATGGCAATATCACAGATGGAGAGGCCAACTTCGCCAGAGAGAGGACTCCCTGGGGGCGAAGACACTGAACAGACATGAAGAATGGAGAAGGTCCACCTCCCTTCCCTTACTTCTAGGTGACTAGGGGACTAAAACTTGGGATGTGTAAGAGGGGGTGGCCAGAACTGATGCTGGAGAGTTAAGGTGAGGTGGGGGCATATCACATAGGCCTTGAATGCCACACCAAGCAGTTTGGCTTTTGCCATTGAAAGGTTTTAAGCAGGCAAGTGTCATGATCCATTCTGCAGATCTGCAGTTTAGAAAGGGCACTCTTGCTGGAATGTGGACAGCAGACAGAAGAGGAGAGTCTAGAGGCACAGAGACTCTCAACTGGAGGCACAGTGATGAGGGGAGGTGGGTAAAGTTCATGGAGATCCACCAGCTGAAGCCCCTCAAGGCCACCTCTCCCTAAGGGGAGGTCAAGGGAAATGATGAATGTGAAAGTGCTCAGAAACTGCTGCCAGCTACCAGCCAGTGTGAAGGGTTGTTGATTACTTTTATGTTAAATGTGAGGCCTGGAGCCTCCAGCCCAGCTGGCTAGAACCTGCACACACAGTGCAGTGGGAGTTAGCTTCCCTGAGTTCCCGGGCAGTTGGGTATTTTCATCTCCAGTTCTCAGATGCTGAACTTGAGACTCGCTAAACAATTCCACATGGAGGAGAGGATGGAAATCGTTAGTCTAGGGCAAGGGGAGGGGGGCGCCATTCCTTCAAAAGAATGTCCCTATGGGAGGGGAGGAAGCAGGAGGAATATAAGCTAGACAAGCCAGGGAGTCCAGAGGTCATTCCCGGGCACCCTCCCCTCCCAAGCCTGCTGGGCTTTCCAGTCTCTACCCCAGTCCCTGACGGAAGACATTTAGCAACCACACAAAGGAGCTTCCTGTGAGCCAGACTAATGCTTTACCTAAATTACCTTGTTTATTCCTCACAATAGCCTCTTCTACAGTTGCAGACACTGAGTCTCAGAGAGGTTAGGTAACTTGCCTAAAGTTACCCAGAGCTGGTAAGTGGCAGGGCTGGAACCTGAATCCTGACCAAGCTTGGCCCTCACCCGATGCTGATTGCAGGTCTCTCTCCCATCTAGGCCAGGAGCCTTTAGAGAGGGGAGGGAATGGGAGGGTGGGAAATGGGAGGGGCCCGACTCCTCTCTATGGGTCCCAGGGGTTGTGGAGTTGAATCCCTGCAGCCCTTTTAAGCCCAACAGTGAGGAAGACACTGGATACCAAAGGGCCCATGGTGCCATCCCAAAGACTGATAAGGAGTGTGAGCTGGATGATCACAGAAGGACTCCTAGTTCTGAAAGCTGGGATTCTAATCAGGAGAGGACAATGAATGGAGAGGAGAGACGGGAGTTCTCCCTGCTTCCACACATATGAGACCAGGCTCCTAGCCTTTTCTCTGCACATTCCTAACTGGCAGGGTCCACAGGTGTCAACCCAAGTGCATCCCCAAGACCACACAATGGCTCTGAGTGCAGAAAGGACCTGCAAGACCAGTTTGTTTTCTGGGCAGCAGATGATTTTGCTGGCCTGAGGCCTGGGGCAGTGGTCTCCACTCCTACCTCACCACCTCTCTAGTGTCTTCCTTCTTCCCCAAGTAGACCGGCATGCATGCACACACAGGCCCAAGCAACTCCTTTTTTTTTTTTTTTTTTTAATGAATAAGAAAAAGTAATAAGGAAAGAAGCAGCAAGCAGACTGGGTGTGTTAACAAGTCTGGGCCACTGCAGGAGGTACATTGCCCAATTTCTGCACCCCGAGGCCCTCCAAAGTCTAGGAGAAGCTCCTGGGAGGTCCAGGGCCCAAGACCAAAGCCTCTATCAACTCTCCCACCTGTGAACTGCCCCTCTCCCAAGGTAGGCATTGTCGGGGTGTGTAGACTGGGAGCCACCCACACACCTGACTCTCCCCTCCTAGGAAATGCGTCCACCAGGTCATTTCTCCTGCAAACCCTCATTTTAAAGTGTCTTGGATGCTTTCCTGCCCTTTTTTTTTTTTTTTAACATAAAGAGGGGTGAGAGCCCAAGAGCTACAGCAGGGGGAATAGACTGAAACTGCTGCCTACTCACACGCCAGTTTCCCTTCTTAGAACTCTAACCAGAAGCCAATGGTTTCCTCCTAAAAGAAAAACTCAATCTGTTGACTTTCTCTCTCCTCTCCTGCCAGCTTTTCTGCCCGAGCCGGGCTCTCTCTTCTCTGTGGGTTCGTCTTTCAGCCAGTCTTTCTCTGCTTCAGATTCTTGGTTTCTTGCTCCCGGTAGTCCCTGAACCTCTTTCACTCTTTAAAAAAAAATGGGGAGGGGCGGTGAACAAGCAAAGAGGAAGCCCTCACCCACCCACCAAATCTCTTTCTTACTAGCAACTAATTCCCTCTCTCTTTCCACACACACAGTCATACACACACATACACATACACAGGCACGTACTCCGGCGACCTCCAGATGTTCCCGACAGTGCGGCCATCTGCTTAGATTGCTGGGGCGCGCAGGGGGAGGGGGCAGGGATCCGGGATGCAGGAAGCTGTGAGCGAGGCCAACTAGAGGGGGCGGGAGCAGCGCACTTTTGAGACGCTCCCTAGAGTGGAACCCGGGCTCGGCTCAGGCTCCGCGGGCGGGGCGCGCGCCGAGAGAGGCTGGCACTTTGGCGACACTCCCTGAGCCGCCCCGCGGCCGGCCCGAGCCGCCACCCGGCGCCCGGCAGGGGGGAGCCTGGCTGCGGGCGGGGACCGGGGGGCGGGCCGCGCCGCGCGGAGAAAAGCGCTGGCCGGAGGGCCCGCGGCCGGGCCGCCGGGGTGAGCGTGCCGAGGCGGCTGTGGCGCAGGCTTCCAGGTGAGTGCAGTTCCCCGGGCGGGGCGAGAGTCCGCGCTGCGGTTGAAGATCCCAAGTCCCCGATCCTAGCCTCGCGGCCCCTTCGGAGGGCGGGCTGGGGACGCCGGGCGCAGGGGCGGGGCTGGGTCCCGCCGAGGCCCCTCAACTTTCGTCGGACGCCTAGGGCTGGGCGGGAGTGGGGAACGCCGACCCAGGGGAGAGGTCTTGCGGGAGACAAAGGCTACGCCCAGGGGCCGTGTGGGTCTTTGTGCGGACACGTGCATCTCACGTTTGTGGGTCTTTGTGGATTTGCGGTCGGGGACGCGCCGCTGTCGGTGCCTTTGTGTGTCCGTGGCTTTGCGCGGCTGCTTTGCGCCCGTGTCCACGTTTGCGGGCCTGCGCTTGGCTGTGGGCGTCGGTGGGCGCATCGCGTGTCTCCGCGTACGTGGTCGGTGCCTGCCGACGTGTCTGGGCTGGGTGTCCGCAGAGGGTGTGCGCACCGAGAGCCCAACGCCGCCCCACCCCCCCGCTCCCCCGCCGTCCCCTCGGGCCCACGACTTGGCTCCAAACTTTTCTCCCGGTTCCTCGGGCAACAGCCCCAGTCCTCCCCACCGCTACCCGGCCGGGGGCGCAGACAGCCCTCCCCCTCCCCCTCCTGAGGTCCCAGGACAGCAAGGGGCTGCGACGGGATTGGTGGTCGGGGGATCGGCAGCGCCTGGGGACTGGCTGGGCAGGGGCTGGGCGGAGCGTGCGGACTCCCCCTCAGACCCCGGCTGGGAGGAAGAGGCGAGCGGTGGGTCCCAGGCTCCGGCCCTGGGCTGGGGAGAGGAAGGGACAGGGCGGCTGGCGTTGCCCTCCCCGCGCTTCTTGGAAAGAGTGTGATCCAGAGTTGCGTCTGTTTGGTAGGGAGACAGGCTCCGCTTTGAGACCCACTCTCCGTTTGCAGCCCGCCCCCGGGGTAGGGGGCCAACCCTCGGACCCGGTAGGGGAGAGGGGGACTGCCAGTCCAGATCTGGGCATGCCCGAGGCGCCGGCTCACAGGACCCGGAGCTGGGCTGGGGGCCGTGGGAGCCTCACATACACAGGTTTCAACTGGGACGGCCACTGGCCCCTGTGCGGCGCTGGCAAGTTGCTCAGCTTCGCGGAGTCGCGGTCACTCTGGCACGGACAGGGCGAGAACTCCCTCGCGGCTCGGGGCGTGCGGTGGGAATAACCCGCGCCTCTGGAGCCGGGCGGAGAGCAGCGCCAGCCCACACTTGGCCTGGCGAGGAGGTGACTCAAGACCTTCGATTCTTCTTTCATCTTTGTGCGCCCTGCCCTTCGGATAAGTCTAGACTTGCAGTGCCTGGGGCTGACCGGAGGTGGGGGGGGGGGGGTGCTCAGAGCTGCAGGAGCCTGCTGGGCTTTTGAGCCTAAGTCGCAAAGATAACCGTAAACACCCTCCTCCCCACTGCTCACTCCAGTCTTTAACCTAGAACTTTGTCGGATGCTGCAGACATGATGGAAGGGCACAGGCCGCTAACCTGGGAAAGAAACAACTGTGGGCATTTTCCTTTCCCTCTCCGGCCTCAGTTTCCCTTCTGGAAGGGGAGGTATTGATAGCCTCTTCTGTTCTGGCTGACTGCTTCAGATCCCAGAACCCAGAAACACTTTGATGTTTAACCTACACCTCCATTCTGACCTGACCTATTCCGAGGCACTACTTTGCTCCCCAGGAAGGCTGCAATGCAACCGCCACCGGGCTTCCACCTACCCTTCCTCCAACACCAGGAAAGGCAAAAGCTGATAAATGAGTCAAAAATGGAGAGGGAAGGGAGGGGGATTGACCTTTTCTCCTCTTACTTTTTAAATGACAGTTTGTGGTGGTAAAGTCCAGATCAGTCTTCTTCTTAATCATAACTCCTGGGTCAACACAGGGGATGCAGTTAAGAGTTCATGCTTCAGTTTTCAGAGCAAGGCTGGCCTGGGCACTGAGGACACTTCCTAAAGAGGGTTGGGTCCTCCCTGAAAGCCACCTGGCCAAAACAAGTCCTAAGAGGGGTTCTGTGGGAATAACCCGGAGAAGGGGCCTGACAGGAGATTCCTCCTGCTCATGGTTTTGAAGTCAGTGGGTACACAGGGGAGGCAGGAAGAATCTCCCACAAAAGGATCAGCATGTGCAGGACCTGTGCATGAAAACAGCACAGGTGGTCAGCATGGTGGACCAGCAGACGCAAGGTCTTGAGGGTGGTGAATTGGAAGTGAACTTGAGGCTGGGAAGGCAGGGACCAAATCACCAAGGCCTTGAATGTCAGGCCGAGAAGGGGGATTTGAGCCTGTAGGCAATGGAGAGCTCCTGGAGGATTTAAACAGGCACAGCAGGGTGCGGTTGGTAATTCTATGAAACCCGTCTCTGGCTTGTGGGTGGTGCTGGAGGCCGAGAGACCAATCTGGAGGGCGAGTGATCCAGCCTCTTAGAGTCAAAGGGACCCAGATTTTACTCCCACCCCATTGCTTCCTACCTCTGTGGCCTGGGACAAGTAACTTATTTAAAATGTGAGGATACTAATTCTTGCTCCACTGATTTGGTGTATTAAATAAGATAATGAATTACATGTGCAAATAAATAAAAAGTGGTTTGTAGTGTGTATTACATTGTGCAGACATTCATTGGATTGCACTGACAATAGAAGGCAGAGACAGCATTGACTCTGGTCCTAAACCTGATCTCACCAGCGGGCAGAGCCCTAAGCATCCTGCAGGGTTGCACCAATTGTTATGTTCCCCACAAAGCAGAAGGGAGCTTTCTGTCCATGACATTTCATTCATCTGATTTATCACCTTCATGTGGCCAGGCTCGTGCAGGCAAGGAGGTAGACACAGATTCGTAGATGGCCACAGAAGTGGGCCAGTACCTTGTCGGGGGCAGCCCAAGGGCCATGGGCGCTCACAGGATGGGTGGCCTTTCCTGGATGAGCGGCAGGTTAGACTGGGAAAGCCTCACAGAGGAGGTGGCTTTTTGAATGAAATGTGTGAGAGTTTGCTGGTAGACAAAGAAGGGTATCTTTGCATCAGAGGGAACAACGTGTGCAAAAAGGCAGGTGGCTCTAGAAGAGTCACAGGCCTCTAGACTAGAAAGCTGTCTCTGTGGGATGGGTTTTAAAGAGGGAGCTGTAGTAGGGTCCCAGACTTCTGTTGGGAAGTGCGTTCTGGTGCCAGCATGGCTGGCAGTTGGAGTCAGGCCAGGAGCGAGGCTGTTGCAGCAGGTCTCTTGAGCCTGACCTGGACAGGGGGAGGTGACTGCCCAGCTTAGGGATGAGGGAAAGGGAAGACAGTGACCCCAACTGCCCAGGGGGATCTGCGAATTTGATGCTGAGCCCTCATTCTGTCACAGGCAACACAGCAGCTTTTGCCTGCTTTGGTCTCTGAGACCTTTCCAGCTCACCCTTCCCAGTCTCCTGGGAGTGCCTTGTCAGCATCTTGTAGCCACACTGGGATCCTGGATGGTATGTGGAGAGAGGATCCAAGGCCTCTGGGATGAATTGTGGATTCTTCTCCATCTTCAGCCCCTGCCTTCCCTCAGGATTTGCTGGTGTCACAGCACCTTTTTCTTCCCTGGTCCCTGAAATCACTCACTGGGGACAGGAACCAACATTCAGTGAATACCAACATGTGCCAGGCCAGGTCTGGGTCTTCACTTTGCCTCATGTAATCATCACAGTGACCCGTTAGGACCAGCACTGGGATTATCACCATATTACAGACGAGGACTCAGAGGGGTGAGGGCACGAGCAAGCCTCAGAGCAGTGAAGGCCCTGTTGGGTTGGAACCCAGACTGCCTGGCTACAAAACCCTTGCCCTCTGCCCCATAGCGCCTCCTCATGTGTCCATGTACGCTGCCTCAGGTTGATGGGAACTTGAAAATCTTCAAGAAGAAGACATATTGAAAGGAGAAAATCTTACTGGGAGCCTTGCCCATCTCCCTGTAGATTATCCTCCTTGGGTAAGTTGCTAGGCTTACAGGTCCCTGCGATCATGTCATGGAGGAGGCCAGGTACTGGATGTCAGAATACCTGGGTCCTGGGTCCAGCCCCTGTCCTCTCTGGCTGTGTGACTCTGGACAGATCACAGAACCTCTCTGGACTTCTTAACACAGCTGTAAAGTAGATATGACGCCATCTAACCTGCTGATCCTGCAGGGTGACTGAACAGATGGTAGTTGAGGAAGCATGGGAGAGGTTGAGAGGTGTCCTTTGGTGAGGTAGCGGTATTCTAGATGCTTGGTGCATCTTCACGTGGTGTCTGCTCTGTACCAGGCTCAGTGCTCAGCTTCAAGGGCATAAAAAGGAACCTAATCGCATCCCTGCCCACAGTAGGATAGACAGTTAAACATGTAAGTACAGTTCAGCATGACCAGGTCTAAGCACATGTGCTCATTTGTAAGCTGAGGCAGAGTGGATTTGGAGCTAAGACATCTGGGGTTAAGTCCGGGGTCCTCTCCTTCCCAGCTGAGTAACATCCATTTCTGTGTCTGCAAAATAGGGACAGTATCCCCAGGGTCAAGGCTCTGGTGAGGCAGAAGTGAGATGCTGGTGGAGAGCACATGGTGGGCTGCTGTGTTTGTCCAGATGTGCTGCATTGGTGGGTCTGTTGCAAGAGCTGGCCCTCAGGGCTCCGGGAGTCTGGCCTTGAAATTCTTTCTGCCTTGCGTTTCCAGAGCTGACAAAGTGGTTGGAGGGCAGGACGTTTCTGAACCATCCACCTGGGGATTTCCTCGGCATCAGCTTGAGTGAACTCATGACTGAGGGGAGCAGGGTGGGAGGCAGCTCTGTGTTGAGGAACAGCTGATCGAGACAAAGGCCGGTCTCGGGGGTGCTGGGGCCCTGTACCAGTGGGGCCCTGTGCCAACAGTGCCCTGTGGAAGTTGTCGAGGGCGGTGGGGGGAGCTGGAAAACTTTACAGACCAGAGATGCTGTAGTGCAGCACCAGGGTCAGGCAGCTGGGGCCAGGTAGGTTCAAGCTGGAACCCAACACCCAGAGAGCTGTCCTTATCAGCAGACACCAGGGAAGTGACTGAAGAATGTCATCACAGCCAGTCTCGGACCTGCTGTGCTCCTGGCGCCACACTGGGAACTTGGGTGGGGAGGAACATGAAGGATCACATGGTGACTGCCTTCAGAAGGCTTAGCAAATCACCGTCATTGTCTACCACACATTGAGTATTTGTGTAGCAGATAGTGAGTGGAATGCCTGCCATTCTGTCATTTAATCCTTTCAACAAACCTGTGTTCTTAGCCCTGTTGAGGACCCTCGGAGCGGGTCCCAAGACTTACCCAAGGCTGGTAGGTACAGAGCTAGGTTCACACCTGGTCTGGGTCTTGCGGTTGACCCGTTCATCCTGCTCTTCCTCCACACACCCTCTAGGCCTGGCTCTGATCCCAGGTGGGGGAAAGAACACACAGGTAAAGTAGGCAGGGCACCGCCCCAAGCTGCTTACACATCAAGTAGGAAAACAGCAGGTAACTCACGGCAGAGAATTTACTGAAGGAGGCCTGTGGGTAGCCTGTGGGGTGAGAGGCCAGGAGGGAGGGGTGGCCCGAGGGCCTGAGTGGACAGAACAGGCTTTGTTTTGCTGGGAGCAGGCCAGGGGCAGGCGGGATGGATGCATGCAGTTCTGGCAGTCACATGAGGCATCAGGTCCCAGGTCCTGGGCCCTGCTCTGCCATTCCTTGCTGTCACTGCCCCTCTCTGGGCCCCAGTTGCCCATGATCCCCAAGGGGCCTTCCAGCTCCCAAGCCCTGGAATTCTCCAAGTTTGGAGATGTATTAGCAGAGGCTGAGAGTTGTTCAAAGTCCATCAAGGGAAGGCTGTTCCCACTTTGGCTGTCAAGGAGGGTTCAAATCCAGATGAGGGGCTGGGGACAGGTGGGAGGGGAGAAGAAGGTGGTGACAACTTACAGGTGCCTCGTGCATGGGAGAACTTGATTTCTGTAGGTAAAAAGCAGAACCCAAGAGGTTTCTGATAAGGAGAGTGATGTGGCCAAAGCTGTTTTAGAGGTGTCTCATAGCAGTGTGTGCGGTGTCACCTGGGGAGACCTGCCTGGAGCCTGTTGGGGCCGTACCATTTACTCTTTGTCCTTGCAGGCCATCAGCAAACTTAGAGTCACTGTGGACCTGGCCCTGTGGGCCCAACAATGCATGATTCATGGCCCCTGCACTGGAAGGCCTTACGGTATATCCCCCAAATCACAGATGGATGTGGTTTCTAAGCCCTTGTCCTCCTGTTCTTGTGTTTTATAATCTGGTCAATCAGTGGATATCTTGTATCTGCAGGTCAAGATTTGGAAAAAAATGTTGAATCTTGACTGAAAGATCCCTTTCTCCCTCAGCCTTCTTTGGTGGCTACCAGTCTTCATTTCTCTTTTTCCTGGGGGTAGAGTACGGGTCCCAGAGGGAGGCAGTGTGAATACTGTTACACAGATAAGAAAACCAAGGCCCAAAGAAAACAGGGAAGGTCACACAGATAGTGGCACACCTGGGACTAGAGCCCCAGTCTCCTGGGTCCAAAGCTGGTGTTAGTGATCTTGTTATAAGTTGGTCTTCTGTTCTCATTGCTGGTCTGTAAGCCCCATGAGGACAGGGACCCTAGTATCTATCCCATCACCACCCACCCCCCGCCCCCCACTCCCTCCTGGCCTAGCCCAGTGCTTTGTATATACTTAGTAGAAATTTAGGATATGCTTTTGTTAAACTTTAAAATCCTGAAACTCTGGAGTTGGATTATCTAAACTGAACCTCTTACTGTGAAGCTGGAGAAACTGAGGCACAGAAGGGGGAAGAGACTTGTTCAGAGATGAGATGAGGACAGTCCATGGCAGAGCAGGCACTGAGACCTAGGGCTCCTGACCATCCTGCAGGACTTCTCTTGTCACCAGGCACAGTTGCCCTGTCACCTCCCTGTCAGTGCCCCAGAGTGTGGGGAGGGAAGTAGTCGGTGACTGTGTCTCAGGGGGCTTCATCTACCATTGGCTGCACATTTGTCAGCGTCCTGGTGCTGTGCTGGGTGTTTCACACGAACGATCTCTAGCCCTTGCGGCAACTCCTTGAGGAAGGGAGTGTTAACTCCATTTTAACTCCCCATGACTTCTGATATGGTTTGGCTGTGCCCCACCCAAATCTGAACTTGAATTGTATCTCCCAGAATTCCCATGTGTTGTGGGAGGGACCCAGTGGGAGGTAATTGAATGCAGGAAGCTTTTGCTTCCTCCTCATTGTATCTTGCCACTGCCATGTAAGAAGTGCGTTTTGCCCTCCGCCATGATTGTGAGACCTTCCCCGGCCACGTGGAATTGTTAAGTTCAATTAAGCCACTTTCTTTTATATGTTGCCCAGTCTCAGGTTTGTCTTTATCAGCAGCATGAAAAAGGACTAATACAGTAAATTGGTACCAGTAGAGTGGGGGCATTGCTGAAAAGATACCCAAAAACATGGAAGCAACTTTGGACCTGGGTAACAAGCAGAGGTTGGAACAGTTTGGAGGGTTCAGAAGAAGACAGGAAAATGTGGGAAAGTTTGGAACTTCCTAGAGACTTATTGAATGGCTTTGCCCAAAATCCTGATGGCAATATGGACAATAAAGTACAGGCTGAGGTGGTCTCAGATGGAAATGAGGAACTTGTTGGGAACTGGAGCAAAGGTGACTGTTGTTATGTTTTAGCAAAGAGATGGCAGCAATTTGCTCCTGCCCTAGAGATTTGTGGAACTTTGAACTTGAGAGCAATGATTTAGGGTATCTGGCAGAAGAAATTTCTAAGCAGGAAAGCATTCAAGAGGTGACCTGGGTGCTGTTAAAGGCATTCCGTTTTATAAGGGAAGCAGAGCATAGAAGTTTGGAAAATTTGTAGCTTGACAATGCATTAGAAAAGAAAAGAAAATGCCATTTTCTGAGGAGACATTTAAGCCGGCTGCAGAAATTTGCATAACTTGCAGCTGAATGTTAACTCCCAAGACAATGGGGAAAATGTCTCCAGGGCATGTCAGAGTTCTTCAAGGCAGCCCTTCTCATCACAGGCCTGGAGGCGTAGGAGGAAAAAAATGGTTTCTCAGGCCAGGCCCAGGATCTCCATGCTGTGTGCAGCCTAGGGACTTGGTGTCCTGTGTCCCAGACACTCCAGCCATGACTAAAAGGGGCCAAGGTACAACTCAGCCATGGCTTCAGAGGGTGCAAGCCCCAAGACTTCGCAGGTTCCAGAACCACCATCATTCACTGACCTTGGGCAGGTGACCCAATCTCTCTGAGCATCCACAGAAGGGGATAATTGTTCATTTTACAAAACCCAAACCAAAGCTCAACACCACTTGGCAGCTTCCATGTGGTGTTGAGCCTGTGGGTACACAGAAGTCAAGAATTGAGGTTTGGGAACCTCTGCCTAGATTTCAGAAGATGTATGGAAACACCTGGATGCCCAGGCAAAAGTTTGCTGCAGGGGTGGGACCCTCATGGAGAACCTCTGCTAGGGCAGTGCAGAAAGGAAATGTGGGGTTGGAGTAGAGTCCCTACTGGGGCACCGCCTAGTGGAGCTGTGAGAAGAGGGGCACCATCCTCTAGACCGCAGAATGGCAGATCCACTAACAGCTTGCACTGTGCACCTGGAAAAGCTGCAGACACTCAACGCCAGTCCGTGAAAGCAGCCAGAAAGGAGGCTGCACCCTGCAAAGCCACGGGGGTGGAGCTGCCCAAGACTGTGGGAACCCACCTCTTGCATCAGCATGACTCAGATATGCGGGACATGGAGTCAAAGGAGATCATTTTGGAACTTTAATAAGATTTGACTGCCCTGCTGGATTTTGAACTTGCCTGGGGCCTGTAGCCCCTTTGTTTTGGCTAATTTCTTCCATGTGGAACAGCTGTATTTACCCAATGCCTGTACCCCCACTGTATCTAGGAAGTAACTAACTTGCTTTTGATTTTACAGGCTCGTAGGTGGAAGGGACTTGTCTCAGATGAGACATTGGACTGTGGACTTTTGGGTTAATACTGAAATGAGTTAAGACTTTGGGGGACTGTTGGGAAGGCATGATTGGTTTTGAAATGTGAGAACATGAGATTTGGGAGGGACCAGGGGTGGAATGATATGGTTTAGCTGTGCCCGCACCCAAATCTCAACTTGAATTGTATCTCCCAGTATTCCCATGTGTTGTGGGAGGGACCCAGTGGGAGGTAATTGAATCATGGGGCCAGTCTTTCCCGAGCTATTCTCGTGATAGTGAATAAGTCTCACAAGATCTGATGGGTTTATCAGGGGCTTCAGCTTTTGCTTCCTCCTCATTCTCTCTTGCCGCCGCCATGTAAGAAGTGCCTTTTGCCTTCCACCATGATTGTTAGACCTTCCACAGCCACGTGGAATTGTAAGTCCAATTAAACCTCTTTCTTTTGTAAATTGCCCAGTCTTAGGTATGTCTTTATCAGCAGCATGAAAACAGACTAATACAACTTCCCAGAGTTGCACAGTGTAGCAAGTCACTCCTGCTAAAGATGGTCAGCCACCTTCCTTTTCCGATCCTCAGTTTCTCTGCTCTAAAATGGGGATGAGACTGCTGGCTCACAGAGTGACTGTGCGGACTAAATGAAAGCATGTGTGTCCAGCACTAGCAGAGAGTGAGGACTGGCCCTGACTGTCACTGTCGTCACTTCCCACTGCAAATGCCCAGCCCCGGGCATAGGCCCGGCACAGAGCAGGAACCCCGGGAGAGGTGTCTACTGTGCAGGGCTGAGCAAGGAACCTAGTTCAGTGCCCTGGGAGCATCTGCAGACAGTTACCTAGGTAACTCCTGCCCCTTTACATCAGATGCCTCTTTACATCGGCTGTTACTACCATTGCCTCAGTTCTGTATCTTCTGGCTGCTGGGTGATGACTGCCCTGTGCCTGTGCACAGCCCTTCACAGTTGGCAGTAAGGGTTAATCAACTTAGGTGAAGAGGGCAGGGCAGAAATTGCCACCCTGTAGTGCAGAGGACAAGGCTGAGGCTTAAAGAGGGGCAGCGAGAGGTCCCCTCTGGCGGGATAGCATTTGGGTCGTATTTTGAGCTGCTGGTTACATAAGTGGGAGCTCATATGAGGCCATTTGGCATTTCACGGACCCCTTGTATAATCACCTCTGGGAATCAAAGGGTAATCTCAGGGCCTTTGTGCTGTTTGTTTAAACCCCAGGAAGGGTGGGTATGAATGAGCAGATCAGCTTAGCAGGGGAGGTGGGGCCTTTGGTGGTAATGAGCCCTGCGGTGAGGAGCTCGCCCAGGGGAACAAAAGGGGCCTGAAGCAACTTAATATTTTCCTTTTGGTTCCAGACATTGGAACACTCTGTCCTGCCTCAGCTGGGACCATGCCCAGGATGCACCTGGGCTGGATTTAATCCTGAAATTGGCCTCTACAAAAGAAAGGGGTGGGAGAGGAGGGTCCCACATGGGGAGGGGGGCAGGGGAGAAGAGTCCCACTTTTCCCTGCCCCTGGGCAAAGCCAGAGTGCAGATCAAGTGGCTAGCCCTTTAAAGTTTCATGCAGGGCTGGTAATGCAATCCTGCTGCTCCCTCCCACCCACCTTCCAGTCTGGAAGGTGGGCAGGTCCCTGGCCCATCTCCTCCCCCTCTCTCACCTCCTTCCTGAAGTCCAGAGGGAGGGATGGGCAGGAGGGCAGGGGCCCAGAGCAGGGCCACCCAGATGAAGAGCCTGGCTAGAAGGAAGCTTAGTGCCTTCTGTCTCCCAGGCTGCTGAGGGGCCACTGTGCAGGGCCGGGGTGACGACAGACTATCCAATTGGTCTAGTTAGAAGCTCCCACTGCCCAACCCTCTCCTTCTCATGCTGGCACCACTGAGCACCACCATCCCAGGAGCTACAGTGGACGTGAACACAGGCTTTGAATCCAACAGCAGTGGGTGGTGTGACCATTAGATGTGACAACACGTATGTAGCACCTGGCATCTGTAGCAGCCACCACTGTAATTGTACAGAGGGAACTGAGATCTGAGGAGGGACACTGGCTCATGCCACAGCATGTGTCAGTGGGAAAAGCCCCTCCTGCACCCTGCCTCTCCACCAGCTACTCTGCCAGTCCTGCTGGAGGCAACGCATATGAATATAGTAATTGGAGTACACCAGGCCTGGGTCCCATTCCTGCCCTGCATTTTACTAGTTTGGGGTAAGGCCCTATTCCTCTCTGAGCCTCTGTTTCTTCATCTGTATAATGGGGGAAGCAGCCTAACTGCCTGCCCGAGGTTAAAGGAAGAACCAAAGAGGTGTAGTAGCTTAATCTGCTGGTGGCAAGGGACAGAGTAAGGGGGAAAGAGGCTTGGGACAGGTGTCCCCAAAACCCATCTGGGAATCTGGACACCCACGTTGGACACCAGGATGCCCAATGAGAAGGGAAGTTCCTGCCCCTGGATGACAGGCTAGGGGGACAGGGCAGGTGGAGTATGGGTGCGGTGGGGCAGTCACTGCAGGCCCCATTGCAGGGAGGGAGTCCTGGTCTTGAAGGCCAGCCCCGGCCAGACCACAGGTGCTTTCTCTGTCAGTGTCCCCTCTAGTGCCACTCCACTCTGCTGTGTGGCTGTCCAAAAGCGTCTTAACCTAAGGCCCAGTTCCCTTTTGGTAAAACAGAGAATTTTCTGCCTTGGAAGGTGGTTGTGAGGGTCAGATGCGACCATGCTGTGGGGCAGCCAGAACAGTGCCTGACGTGTAACACTTGCTCAGCAGAGAGTGGGGCACCCTGGGCACACCCTACCCTCAGCCCTGTGGATGAGCCCCTCACCCGGGGCCCGAGGTCTAGACCAAACCAGGGACTCTGGACCATCAGAGCTGGAGAGGCCAGCCCGAGAAACCGTCTAGTCTGGTGGGTTTCAAACTGGGTTTCCTAACACCCTAGGCAGGGATGGTGGGCAGAAGTCGAGGGCTTCAGGTCCCCCTCACTTCAGCCAGACCAGGCCCGCCTTCATCTGCTGCTCTTGTTTAAGAAAGGGATCTGCTGCTTCTAGTTGAAAATTCACCACCTGGCCTCACGCCCCTTACCATACAAATGGAGAGGCAGAGGCCAGAGAAGAACTGGGACTAGGAACTCTGGGGAGTGTTCCAGGAAGCATTCCAGGAGGTCGGGGTCTGTGACACCTTCCAACAGTGTCTAGACTGGGCTCATGTCCTGTGTGGTGGCTTTAGACCATCTGGTGCATTCATTCCTCACCTGTGGCTCTCTTTCTAGCCCCCACCATGCCGTGGCCCCTGCTGCTGCTGCTGGCCGTGAGTGGGGCCCAGACAACCCGGCCATGCTTCCCCGGGTGCCAATGCGAGGTGGAGACCTTCGGCCTTTTCGACAGCTTCAGCCTGACTCGGGTGGATTGTAGCGGCCTGGGCCCCCACATCATGCCGGTGCCCATCCCTCTGGACACAGCCCACTTGGACCTGTCCTCCAACCGGCTGGAGATGGTGAATGAGTCGGTGTTGGCGGGGCCGGGCTACACGACGTTGGCTGGCCTGGATCTCAGCCACAACCTGCTCACCAGCATCTCACCCACTGCCTTCTCCCGCCTTCGCTACCTGGAGTCGCTTGACCTCAGCCACAATGGCCTGACAGCCCTGCCAGCCGAGAGCTTCACCAGCTCACCCCTGAGCGACGTGAACCTTAGCCACAACCAGCTCCGGGAGGTCTCAGTGTCTGCCTTCACGACGCACAGTCAGGGCCGGGCACTACACGTGGACCTCTCCCACAACCTCATTCACCGCCTCGTGCCCCACCCCACGAGGGCCGGCCTGCCTGCGCCCACCATTCAGAGCCTGAACCTGGCCTGGAACCGGCTCCATGCCGTGCCCAACCTCCGAGACTTGCCCCTGCGCTACCTGAGCCTGGATGGGAACCCTCTAGCTGTCATTGGTCCGGGTGCCTTCGCGGGGCTGGGAGGCCTTACACACCTGTCTCTGGCCAGCCTGCAGAGGCTCCCTGAGCTGGCGCCCAGTGGCTTCCGTGAGCTACCGGGCCTGCAGGTCCTGGACCTGTCGGGCAACCCCAAGCTTAACTGGGCAGGAGCTGAGGTGTTTTCAGGCCTGAGCTCCCTGCAGGAGCTGGACCTTTCGGGCACCAACCTGGTGCCCCTGCCTGAGGCGCTGCTCCTCCACCTCCCGGCACTGCAGAGCGTCAGCGTGGGCCAGGATGTGCGGTGCCGGCGCCTGGTGCGGGAGGGCACCTACCCCCGGAGGCCTGGCTCCAGCCCCAAGGTGGCCCTGCACTGCGTAGACACCCGGGATTCTGCTGCCAGGGGCCCCACCATCTTGTGACAAATGGTGTGGCCCAGGGCCACATAACAGACTGCTGTCCTGGGCTGCCTCAGGTCCCGAGTAACTTATGTTCAATGTGCCAACACCAGTGGGGAGCCCGCAGGCCTATGTGGCAGCGTCACCACAGGAGTTGTGGGCCTAGGAGAGGCTTTGGACCTGGGAGCCACACCTAGGAGCAAAGTCTCACCCCTTTGTCTACGTTGCTTCCCCAAACCATGAGCAGAGGGACTTCGATGCCAAACCAGACTCGGGTCCCCTCCTGCTTCCCTTCCCCACTTATCCCCCAAGTGCCTTCCCTCATGCCTGGGCCGGCCTGACCCGCAATGGGCAGAGGGTGGGTGGGACCCCCTGCTGCAGGGCAGAGTTCAGGTCCACTGGGCTGAGTGTCCCCTTGGGCCCATGGCCCAGTCACTCAGGGGCGAGTTTCTTTTCTAACATAGCCCTTTCTTTGCCATGAGGCCATGAGGCCCGCTTCATCCTTTTCTATTTCCCTAGAACCTTAATGGTAGAAGGAATTGCAAAGAATCAAGTCCACCCTTCTCATGTGACAGATGGGGAAACTGAGGCCTTGAGAAGGAAAAAGGCTAATCTAAGTTCCTGCGGGCAGTGGCATGACTGGAGCACAGCCTCCTGCCTCCCAGCCCGGACCCAATGCACTTTCTTGTCTCCTCTAATAAGCCCCACCCTCCCCGCCTGGGCTCCCCTTGCTGCCCTTGCCTGTTCCCCATTAGCACAGGAGTAGCAGCAGCAGGACAGGCAAGAGCCTCACAAGTGGGACTCTGGGCCTCTGACCAGCTGTGCGGCATGGGCTAAGTCACTCTGCCCTTCGGAGCCTCTGGAAGCTTAGGGCACATTGGTTCCAGCCTAGCCAGTTTCTCACCCTGGGTTGGGGTCCCCCAGCATCCAGACTGGAAACCTACCCATTTTCCCCTGAGCATCCTCTAGATGCTGCCCCAAGGAGTTGCTGCAGTTCTGGAGCCTCATCTGGCTGGGATCTCCAAGGGGCCTCCTGGATTCAGTCCCCACTGGCCCTGAGCACGACAGCCCTTCTTACCCTCCCAGGAATGCCGTGAAAGGAGACAAGGTCTGCCCGACCCATGTCTATGCTCTACCCCCAGGGTAGCATCTCAGCTTCCGAACCCTGGGCTGTTTCCTTAGTCTTCATTTTATAAAAGTTGTTGCCTTTTTAACGGAGTGTCACTTTCAACCGGCCTCCCCTACCCCTGCTGGCCGGGGATGGAGACATGTCATTTGTAAAAGCAGAAAAAGGTTGCATTTGTTCACTTTTGTAATATTGTCCTGGGCCTGTGTTGGGGTGTTGGGGGAAGCTGGGCATCAGTGGCCACATGGGCATCAGGGGCTGGCCCCACAGAGACCCCACAGGGCAGTGAGCTCTGTCTTCCCCCACCTGCCTAGCCCATCATCTATCTAACCGGTCCTTGATTTAATAAACACTATAAAAAGTTCTTTGCTTTACTCAGCCAGTGTCCACTGGCAATCCCTGGGCTGGGCTCTGGGGCCACAAAGATGAATCAGGTTAGGCCCTGCCCTGGGCAGCTTGTTCTCCCTGAAAAGCCTGATAATCTCAGGATTTGGGGAGTAAGGTGACGTGAAGGAGGGAGTTCCTGCACCCTGTTCACCTCTCATCTCCCGTGGCCCTACCCCACTGTTCCTGCCACCCCAGCTCCAGCCATAGCCATGAGCATGCAGGCCCTTGCACACCTGTTCTCTTGCTCAGGCGTTACTGTGGGACCTTGCCCTTGCCCTCACCCCTGTCTCTCAACCTCCTTCCTATCCAGTAGACCTAGTTCTTGCCCGCCCGCAGAAGCTTCCTTGGCCCCTTCCACCTCCCTCCTCTGAACTGCAACAGTATTTTGTTCTTCCTTGGTGCTTCAGCTGCTATGGTACCCCAGCTCCTGTTTGCACACTTCCACTGACAGAGATCACACTTGGAGCTCATCTGGGTGGCTCTGCTGTCACCAAGTTCTTCCTTCTAACTGGCCAGTCTACAGGGAATGTCTACCATCATCACCAATGACAGGTTTTTCCTGATCCCTACTCTGTGCCCAGAACATTCAGGCCATATGCACTGGTGGGAGCTTGCCCATCTTGTAATCAGGCCTCCCCAGGGAGAAGTATCAGCTTGAGGCCCTGGGTCCGAGGCTGGCACCCAGCGGTCAAGGTAGGAAAGAGCTGAGGCTTGGCGCCGGGCGGTGTGGAGGAGAGGGAGGTCAGGGTGAGACCCCGGGCCCCCACAGTCCTCCTGTTTGTTCTCCACTTCCCCTACATTTCCTGGGACAGGAGAGGATTCAGATGGAGGTAGGGATCACGGTACTTTCACCCAATGGGTCCGGGTCTTCCCAAGTCCCCGCTTGTGGAAGGAGTCCTTGCGGGAGGGCCATGGAACAAAAAGGCCTTAAAGACAGGGCCAAAGCGTGCGGAGGGCAGCGAAGGGAAGGAGGGGGCTTCTGCGGCAATCAGTTCTGGAGCAGGTCACCTCCGCCCGAGCTGCAGCTTCCTCCTCTGCAAAACGGGGCAGGGTGAAGGCCCAGTGAGAGCATGGGCGCGGATGCCATCACGCTGGGCGGGCTCGTCCTTCCCGTGGGGAACCTGCCCTGCACCCCGCAGCCCTGGCCTCCTGCCAGCCATAAGGAGAGCGGAAGCCCCGGCGGGCCTCGCCGACCCGGGAGTCCGCGCGGCCCCTCCCTGCCCGTGCGGAGGCTCCCGGCCCGCAGCGCCACCTCGTGCTCACGCATGGCCAGACACCCCAGATCCCAGCGGGGCCAAGAGCCAGGACCGGGGCGGCTGGAGGCCAAAGTGGGCTGCGCTGTTTGCTTTATGCGGCCAGTCCCTTCCCGCCCACCAGACTACCCTCGCCCTGCCGGACTCCGCCCTCCAGGAACCCTGGCGCCCAGGGCGAGGGCTTCGAATCTTACACAATCAGGAAAATTCGTGCAAAGAATCCGTTTTGGAATTCACAGAAAAGGGTTGAAATCTTGGGGTCATCACTAACCAATTGTGTGATTTTTGGCCAGGTCACTTTACTTCTCTGAGCCTGGAAAATAGGGATGAAAATATCTCCCTCAAGGCCGGGCACGATGGCTCCTGCCTGTAATCCCAGCACTTTGGGAGGCTGAGGCAGGAGGATCGCTTGAGCTCAGGAATTCAAGACTAAGACCAGCCTGGGCAACATAATTTAAAAATCTAAAAATTAACCGGGCATGGTGACGCCTGTAGTCCCAGCTACTTGGGAGGCTGAAGTGGGAGGATAGCTTGAGCCTGGGAGGTTGGATGACAGAGTTAGACCCTGTTTAAAAAAAAAAAAAAAAAAAGCAAAGAGAGAAAAATAAAAATAAAAGAAAGACAAAAAAGAAAGAGAAACAAACAAAGAAAGAGAAAATACCTCCCTGAGCCTGGGAGGTTGAGGCTGCCGTGAGCCGAGATTCTACCACTGCACTCCAGCCTGAGTGACAGAGCTAGACCCTGGAAAAAAAAAAGAACGAAGGAAGGGAGGGAGGGAGAGAGAAAGGAAGAAAAGAAAGAAAGAGCAAAAAAGGAAGAAGGAAAGAAGGAAAGAAGGAAGGGAGGGAGGGAGGGAGGGAGGGAGGGAAAATATCTCCCTCCACAGGACTGTGTGTAGAAGAAATGAAGTAACATTTGTAGAGAACCAAGTACGGTGCCTGGCACAAAATGGCAGCCTCTAAGTGCTCTTTCCCGCCCTCATCCAACCATGGAGTTATGAAGTAGATTACAGAGCCATGTAGTCTGAGTCTGTTTTTTATAACTCGCACTCAGAACTGAAGAATTTTGTAAAGTTCTGGGACTGTAGAATCACAGAACGACACCCGGTAATCCACAGGGTCATGGAGTAGGTACTCACCGTCAGCTGTGGCCCAGCTCACCACCATGGGTCAGCAGGGTCACCAGCCTCTTTATGCCTTTCACAGTAATGCAGCGGCCAGCTATGGCTATGTGTTCCTCATGCTTTGTGTACATGCCATCATCTCCTCACAACTGCACCAGGTGTTTTTGTCACCATACAGATGAGGAAACCAGCATAGGCCAGGCTTTATCTGTCAGGTGGCAATTCTCACATTCTTCCTTGTCCTACCCCAGGGGCCGGGCCAGCTGTGTAAATCCCATGAATCAGAGAGGGTAGAGGTGCACTGATAAACCAAAAAGCACTGGGATTCCATTTATTTTTTATTTTCAAATAAGTTGCAGAAGTTATGCAGTTCTACATAGCTCCGATCAGACTGTGGATTCTAGATCTTAGAGTATAAAAAGCCAAAGGTCAAAGTCAAAGTCCTTTCTCTCCTGGCCCCTTTTCACGGATGGGGAATCTGAGGCCCAGAGACGAGTAAGTTCCCATGGTCCATGGCCAGGATTCTGTGCTTCAGAACGGCCTATGTAATTTGTGGGACCCAGTATAAAATGAAAATGTGGGGCCCCTTGTTCAAAGTTATTAGGATTTCAAGATGACAAGAACAGAGCATTAAACCAAGCACAGGGTCTTTCTATGGTTTCACTGCCCATGAAGCCAGCCCTGCTGCCATTTGATCATCTCATTTCTAGAGGAGGGGCAAACACCCAGACAGTGTTGGTCAGGATGGCAGAAGAGAGTAGGTGTGGATTTGTGTGTAATCCAATCCCTCTGTAGTTCAGGGAGCCAGTTAGACTCTTCCAAATGCAGGAATGTCCCTCTGTCGTTATCACACAACCCCCTGGTTTCCCCACCTTGCCATGGCCAAAAGGCTTTCAGAGGGAAAAGGCAGCTAAAGAGGTGGATTCTACCACCCAGCTGCCACCAAACCAGCTCATGGGCTGTTTCTCTGGACTGCCAGGAATATGGGGGGGCAGAGGCCTGCCCCTTGCTCACTTTATGTGCTTACAGAATTTAAAGTCCACCAGCGCTAAAGCCCACTCATACCTAATCTCCACCAAGGGCACTGTCTATGACAACAGAGGTCATCATAGGCTAATAGGACCTTGCCCATCAATGTTCAGTGTTCCTTGTTGGCTAACGTTCACCAGGGTGCAAATGTTGGTTGATATATAATGTTTATCATATGAATGACAGCTTCCACCAATGACCAATATCCACAAAGGGAAAATGTCTGTTGGAGGCAGTGTCTGCTGTATATCAGTGCCCAGTGTTCACTGGTAGCTAATTGCAATTATACTTGCTCTGTGCATCAATACCCAATGTCAGTCCATAGCTCGGCTTCTAACGACAGCAAATGTCTATCCAGTTAAGTCACATGCCCTGTGTTTATTCTTCTCTTTATTTATTTAAGTACTAGTGGTTCTGTCTACAGGGATTATTGTGTTTGTTGAGCTTGGAGGGAAATTCCCCCTGTGTTTATTCTTTAGTTCCCAAACCTATTTATTATTTTCTTTTGCATATCCATTAGATAGTCAAAGTGTTCTGAACTGGAGGTACAAACACATTCATGTTTCTTTTTGTCTCCCTTCCCTCCCTCCCTCCCTCCCTCCCTTTCTTTCTTTCTTTCTATCTCTCTCTCTCTCTCTTTCTCTCTCTCTCTCTCTCTTTCTTTTTTCAGGGTCTTATTCTGTCACCCAGGCTGGAGTGCAGTGGCGTGATCATAGCTCACTGTAGCCAATCTCCCATGCACAAGCAAGCCTCTTGCCTCAGCCTCCTGAGTAGCTGGGACTACAGGCATACGTCACCATGCTCAGCTAATTTTTTAATTTTTAGTAGAAAAGGTCTGGTCTTGAACTCCTGAGCTCAAGAAATCCTCCCACCTCAGCCTCCCAAAGCGTTGAGATTACATGTGCAAGCCACTGTGCCCTGCCATGTTTCTTAATATATGCACATATGTATATGTAACACATAAATAATTACATACATAATACAGGAAGACACAGAAATAATTACATACATGATACAGGAAGACACAGAAAAAGAGAAACTGGTCTGATACCAGAAGTATCAACTCAGGAACAATTTTCTACTAGCTGAGCCTCAGAAGCAGCAACTTTTCCAAAGTGAAGTGATGAATGGAGGCGCCAGCCCTCCTCCTCAGGTTAAGAAAGGCAAAGAGCCCTGCTTTTGGCTGTAAAAAGCCAGGTTCCCTAATCAGGTGAAGGCCTGAGGCAGGGACTCCTTAGGGCAGTGTAACTAGTAGCCAAGGCACAGGCTCCAAAGGGAGGTTGCCTGGGCTCAAGCCCGGCTCTGCCACTCACAGCTGGGTGTCCCGGGGTGAGCCTCTCAGCCCCTCGTTCAGCCTCAGTTCCACATGTGTAAATGGAGGTCTAGTAGCTACCTCACAGGGCAGTTGTTGAAAATAAGCTAATGCTCCTAAAACCCTGAGAACAGTGCTCTGTGTATGATAAGTGTTCATAGACGTCACATTATTTATTTATTTTGAAAATTCTTCTTTTAGTCAAACTTATAAGTTTTCTGTGGCTCAAAATATTCTCAACCAGGGTTTCTTTAGTGGCCATCAGCTCCCAGGGGGTGATATCATGGAAGCTGTTATGCTTAGGAATTTGTTTAAAAAGACGTCCTGCCCTGTGCCCCAGTACATTTCAACACCACCCAGCCACACAGCCGCCTTCTGGCCCAACACTCTTAAAGACACAGTGCTTGGGAAATGTCCTCATGCCCCTTTCCTGAGGCAGGTTTGCCACTGTTTCCCCAGGCCTGGCAGTCACAGATGGCAGTCACTGACCTGCTGTGATTTGAGAGATGGAGAGAAAACCTTCCACTCTTCTTATTCTCCCTAATAGCCTCAGTCTCTGCCTTCAGTTCCACATTTCCCTTTGGCGTAAGCTATGATTGTCGTCCAAGGCCCCTCCTAGATAGGCAAGGACTCATGATACCAAGAGTGTGATCAGGGGATAGAGATGAGATGTCTGGGTTGGATGCGGGAGTGGGGTATTTTCTAACTAATGGGGTGCAAGGGGTACCTGAGCATGCTCTCAAAATGTGTTATACCCTAAAAAATGTTTTTAAGGTAGTGTGTTGATATAACAGTTGTTAAGACCATGATGCTAGAGGCAAGATCGTGAGATCCATAGAGAAGGTAGTTGAAGGGTAGGGCCTTTTATTCACATATATGCTGCCTTCTCCACCAACTGATGTGATATCCTTTTATATTCGTGACTCCAGTGAACCCACGCCTCTGAGGATTTACACCCTTGTATTTGTACTCCTCTTGAGTCTGGGCTGGCCTGTGACTTTAATCAGTGCAATGCAGAAGTGGTTCAGTGCCAGTTCTAAGACTACAAAGAGAAAGAAAAGTTCAACCTTCCAATATCCCAGCAGACATCAGGCCCCAGCTGTGTCACCAGCTTCACGCCCACGAGTGACCACAACAAACCCAGCAGAACCAACCAGCGCATCCCAGCCCTGGTTGCAGAATCATGAGTAAATAAAATGGTTGCTGTTCTAAGCCATCGTGCTTTGGAGTGGTTTCTTATATGTCAGTAGATGACTGAAACAACCAAAGCCACAGCCTCCGCCTCCCCCAGCCCCATTCCCCCACTCCTCCCCACTTGCTAACCTCCATGAAGCCCTGGGACTTGGGCAGCTGAAGGTGCAGAAAAGATGCCAAATGAAAAAGCCACCCTCCTTGACAACAACCCAGCTGAGGGGAGCAGGCAGAGAGGGGCGGTTGAAGGAAGCACGCTGCCTGGTGTTTGAAAGCATATGAGGGGCTGCCCTGAGCGCATCTCCTTACATTCTTGTCTCAAGACCACCCAGCAGGCATGGCCCCTCCAGGTAACCTTGCACTCTCCTCCCGGACCCCTCCCCAGTCCCCAGACAAACCCACCTCTCCCTCCTGGACTCTCCATGGGTCCCTTCTCCCCACCTGCCACTGGGATCAGGAAGAATAAAGACCTGAACTCACTGTCTTGTTTTTTGTTGTTGTTGTTTGCTTGTTTTTTGAGATGGAGTCTTGCTCTGGCACCAGGCTGGAGAGCAGTGGCACGATCTGGGCTCACTGCAACCTCCGCCTCCTGGGTTCAAGTGATTCTTCTGCCTCAGCCTCCTGAGTAGCTGGGACTACAGGAACGTGACACCAAGCCCAACTAATTTTTGTATTTTTAGTAGAGACGGGGTTTCACCATGTTGGCCAGGATGGTCTGGATCTCTTGACCTTGTGATCTACCCGCCTCAGCCTCCCAAAGTGCTGGGATTATAGGCGTGAGCCACTGTGCCCGGATTTTTTTTTTTTTTTTAAAGACAGAGTTTGCTCTTCTTTCCCAGGCTGGAGTGCAATGGCATGATTTCAGCTCAATGCTACCTCTGCCTCCGGGGTTCAAGCGATTCTCCTGTTTCAGCCTCCCAAGTAGCTGAGATTACAGGCACCCGCCACCACACCCGGCTATTTCTGTATTTTTAGTAGAGATGGGGGTTTCACCATGTTGGCCAGGCTGGTCTCGAACTCCTGACCTCAGGTGATCCACCCGCTTCAGCCTCCCAAAGTGCTGGGATTACAGGCATGAGCCACCACGCCAGGCTCACTGTCCTGTTTCCATCGGACCAAGGGACTCCCAAGAGGGGAACTGAGGCTAAATGAGGCCAGTCACTGTGTGGGGGCAGGTGGAAGCTGCTCAGAGGGGAGGAGGTGGAGGGGACAGACCAGCACTCCCAGAGGACCCTGGGAAAGGTGTAGCTTTTGGGCGCTTCCCGCAGACTGTGGGCAAAGTCATACTTAGTGCAAGCTTTAAATACTCTCCCCACACACAGACACAAACACTGTCATTCCTGGACTTGCCCCACCCACCGGTAACATTCGACATCCTGCTCAGACACGTGAGGCTGGTGGGGAGGGGACAGAATGGGTGCATGCTGGGCATGTGGGAGTGAGTCTGGATTCTAAACAGACCTCAGAAGTGACTACACAGACATCCTTTGCTAACATGTTCTAAAGAAGGGTGACCTCAAGGATAGAGGAGGAGAGGGGGAGGAATGAATGCTTCCCTGTCCTCGCACCCACCAGCCTGATTAGCTCCCACTCATCCCTCCTACCTCAGCTGCCATGCCACCTCTTCTGGGAAGCCCTCCCTAACCACCTCCCCTCATCCTACGACAGGCAAAGTTAGACGTTCCTCCTCTGTGCCAGCCCAGTACCTGGTCTTGCCTTCAGAGTGATGCTCATCATATTTACTTTGTGTTTATTTTTCCAGCTTCCACTCATCCCCAGAGGCAGGAACTGTTCCTGCCTTGCTCCCCACAGGGTCCATATCACCTAGGCTGGTGCCCAGCACATAGTTGGTTGTCGATTCATATCTGTAGGATTAATAAATGGGTCTGTTATATCCGTTTTACTGATGGTGAAATGAAGGACCAGAGAGAGTAAGTGGCCTTTCCAAGGCTTCACAGCAAGCTTGTGGAAGAAACCACCAAGAAACCAGCTCTTGAGACTTCCAGCATTTGTTCCAGTTCCTCTGCAAGGGAAACCCCCATTCCCTGCTCTCTCTTTTTCCCCTCCTCACAGGCAGCAGGTATGTGCACAGACAGGCCTGGAGCTGGGCTAGGGTAGGAGTCCCCTGTGAGGCTCCACCTCTGCCTCTCCAGCTCCTTGGCCGGGACCCACTTCTGCTCCAACTCTTGCTGGCCATTAAGTCTGTGCCCCGCCTCACTCAGCCCGCCGCAGCCCCACTGCCTGTGGAGAGGTGAGTCCCACCTCTCTGAGCCTGCTCCCTTCCCCAGCCATAAGACGAATCAGCCTAGGAGATTCTGAGGCTCCTTCAGCCAGGAGGGCCTGTGATGCCCTGTGAAGACGGAAGAGGCTGGGGCCAGCTCCATGCTGCCTGCAGCGTGGCTCAAAGCACAAGCCTTCACCAAACATCAGAAAGGCCCAGAAATCTCATTTTTTCCCAAATGTTCCAGAATTTGACTTCAATGTCACATACTTTTAAAACTTCCCCGTGTGTGGGGAGAGGGTAGGGAGTCTTAGTTTTCAGTTTTTCAAAACAAGCAAATCCAGATGATCTTACTGCATAATCAGGTTTGGGCCACACTTTAAAGTTGACATGGATCTTCCATTTCATACCACACCTCATTTGCTCTGTGCAGCCTTCCTGTGAGGACAGCAGGGCAGGGCTTAGAATCAGCCCATTTCACAGTCAAGGAAAACGATGTCCAGACAGTAGGTGGCAGGGCCTGGGACTTACACTCAGAGGCCCTGTCCCAAATTATGTCTGCTTCCTGCTCTCCACAGAGTGATTTGAGTTGAAAGGAGAAAAAAAAGAAAGAAAAAGAAAGAAAGAAAGAAATTAAGGAAGGAGTGGGAAGGAAGGAAGGAAAGGAGAGGGAAGGGAGGGAAGGAGGGAAGGAAGGGAGGGAAGGAGGGAAGGAATGAAGGAAGGAAGGAAGGAAGGAAGGAAGGAAGGAAGGACAGAGAGAGAGAGAAGGAAGAAAAGAAAGAAGAAAAAAAGGTTGCGTATAATAACTTGATTGGTAGACCTGCCGGAGGAGCCTGCTTAGCCCTGGCAGGAGGCTAAGTCATTTGGTGGGAAGCCCTTTCTCTAGGGGATGGGGTGAGAGATGACAAGAATAATAAAACTCTGAGACAAAGCCAACAGCATGCTGAGTGACTCAAAGGATTAGGGCAGCCCAGGGAGTAGGCCCCTGGGTCTCAGCGTGCAGGATTTGTCCCCACATACACGTGAAAGCCATGTGTTTGGCAGAGACACCACAGTCCTAGCCATGGGGCATCCAGAGATGGACTAGAGCCAGCCCTGGCCCCAGTGGCTTTCCATCCCATGGGAGAGTCGAATGACTGCAATACAAGGTGAAAAGTGACTGCATAGGCAGGGCACGAGCTTGAGTTCCCATCTGACAAGAGGGGCAAACTAGGTGAAAACTTGCAAGAATGGAGTTGCGGGCGGAGTGTGTTGCAGGTCTCCAACTTGTCACGGAGTTTGTGCCCACCAGAGGGCGCTGCCTTAGACACTCCCGTTCCTTTCTCCGCCCGCCCATTGCTCCCTTTCTCCCTGCCCTGTGCCGGGCTTGTCGCTCTATACACAGGCCGGGGGTTAGAGGGGTCCCCACAAGAGGAAAGCGAAGGGCAAGCTCAGACGCAGAAGTCTGATGAGCAGCGGTTTTCAGCAGCCACCAAGGACTCCACTTTCACATCTTCCCCTCCGATAAAAGAACTTTCAACCTGGTGTTTTATAGAATTTAAAAAATAATGTTTATTCAGCAGGCCGGGCCTGGTGGCTCATGCCTGTAATCCCAGAACTTCTGGAGGCTGAGATGGGAGAATTGCTTTAGTCCAGGAGTTCGAGACCAGCCCGGACAACATAGTGAGACCCTGTCTCTAAAATAAATAAATAAATATTTTTTAAAAAGTAAAATAAAATTCAATAAATAGTTTAGAGGGTCTCCTGTGTCCAGACCCAAAGACAAGTACTGGGGAAAGAGCCATGACCACAGACCACCTTGGTCCCTGCTGTCATGGAGGTGGTCATCTACGGGGAGGGCCAACAGTAAATGGGTGCCTGGGCATCTAAGTAAGTGAGGAGATGGTGAATGCTACAAAGAGGGCAAATTGGAGCACAGTAGAGGTGACGGGGGTGCCGGCAGAGGTAACGCGGTTGGGTGCTACTCTCACGTTTGAGCTGAGACTTAAAAGAAGGGAGGAAGCCAACCCTGCGGGGACCTGAGGAACCTTTTCCAAGGGAGGAAATCTCGGTGCAAAGACCTCAAGGAGTGAGTGAGCTTGGCACACTCAGGAAGGACGCGAGGCTGGCCGGGGCTTGATGGGAGAATTGAGGGCAGCGAGGCTGGCTGGATAGACCACTGTCAGTGCTGCGGATTTTACTCCAGTCACAGCAGGAAGCCAATTAGAGGCCTTTAGACAGAGGTGACACAGGCTCTGGGGACACTTTACAAAGATTGCCCTGGCTGTGAGTGCCAGAGCAGAAGCAGAGAGATCCATTAGGAAGTCCTTGCCATAAACCAGGAAGGAGATGAGAGTGACTTGATGGTAGCAGTGGAGATAGGAAGAAATGTAGGAATTTGGGTCTGTTTTAAAATAAAAATAAAACTTGCCGATGAAATGACAGGTTATTCGGTGCCAGGCGCTGAGATGTACACTTTGTGTGTATTGACTTATTCATTCTCGCTATATATAAAGCTGTTTTACAGAGGAGAAAATGGAAGCTCAGGGAGGTTAAGTAATTTGCCCAAGGTCCCATAGCCGATAAGTGACAGATTCTACATTTTAAAAACGAGTCTGTCGATTCCAGAGCCCACAAACAGACTGCTCAATGCAGAGAATGGGAAGCAAAAGATTAGACATACAGAATCAGAAATGGAATCCCAGAGTGCTAGTCCAACAACTTTGACGCAGGCTTCAGCCCAGACCAGAGACTTGTCTCAACTGTTTGGTTGTTCTCTTGGCCAAGGACAGCTGCCCTGGGATCCAAAAGCTCATCAGAGAAAGCTCCCAAGAGCTCAAGTCTGCATTCTTCCCCTCCTTGGGTAACCCACTCATGGTCACCCAGCCAGTTTAAATCCTGGGTCCTCTGACCTTCCTGTCCAGGCCTCCTCCCTATCCCCACAGAGCCCGCTCAGCACAGGGTAAGACCAAGAACATCACGTGGCCACTGCTCACGTCAGATGAGAGCATGGCATATTCCCCTCCTGAGTTCTTGGCTTTTTAACACGGACCTCAGAGCTTTAACTAAAAGTATTTGACTATGCATCCAGGTGCTGTGGCTCATGCCTGTAATCCCAGCACTTTAGGAGACCGAGGCCAGTGGATCACTTGAGATCGGGAATTCAAGAGCAGCCTGGCCAACATGGTGAAACCCCATCTCTACTAAAAGAACAAAAAATACAAAAAAAAATAGCAAGCCTGTAATCCCAGCTATTTGGGAGACTGAGGCAGGAGAATTGCTTGAACCCAGGAGGCAGAGAGAGGCTGCAGTGAGCTGAGATCACACCACTGCACTCCAGCCTGGGCGACAGAGGGAGACTCCATCTCAAAAAATAAAAAATAAAAATAAAAAAAATTGGCCGGGCGCGGTGGCTCACGCCTGTAATCCCAGCACTTTGGGAGGCTGAGGCGGGCAGATCACAAGGTCAGGAGATCAAGACCATCCTGGCTAACACGGTGAAACCCCATCTCTACTAAAAATACAAAAAATTAGCCGGGTGTGGTGGTGGATGCCTGTAGTCCCAGCTACTCGGGAGGCTGAGGCAGGAGAATGGCATGAACCCGGGAGGCGGAGCTTGCAGTAAGCCGAGATCGCGCCACTGCACTCCAGCCTGGGCAACAGAACGAGACTCTGTCTCAAAAACAAACAAAAAAATTGATTATGTGGAGGCACCCAGGCATAAAGGTAGGTCAGCAGGGAAGGTATTTTGCTCCTCAAATTGGGGTGGCAGAGAGCTGGGGTACCTTGAATTCAATCATTCCTACCATGTTCAAGCTGCGTCACAGAAGCGTGGGACATGAACACTGTTTACAACCCATTTCTAACAAGCTCAGAGCCTGCTGAAAGAGTTACCAAGGTAATCAGCTGGAGCCCCCGTCACAGGGCCTGGCACACTGAGGGGTTCCTTCCTCCGCTCCCTGAGGCTGGGGTTCAGGGAGCACATCCCAGGACATGACGCCGTGTCGGTTTTGACTGGTCAGTACTGGTGCGATGCTAGTGTCAGTCCTTTGGCTTTCTCTGCCCGCTACATGTTAGGTCTAATCCATCCCAAGTTAGGATTGGGTCATTATTTCATTGGCACTCAGCAGGGGGCGCTGATAAAACAATTTAATTCAAAGTGTAGCCAGAAATTATGGAGGAAAAGAAACTAAAAGTAACAATCATAAAATGAGTAATTCCTGTCTACCTGAATGGCATGTAATGTTTCAAAGCAACTGGATGTCCCAGATATGTTTGATCTTCACAAAAACCTAGTGAGGAAGTTGCATTGTTAACACTGTCCGCTCTCCGCTCCCTGTAAAAATGAGGACAGAGAGGAAAGGAGAACCCTGTCCCTGCTCCTTGGCCTGGTGAGAGTGGGTCACTGGGAAGACACCAGGAAGGAGGCCAGGAGGCAGGAGTGTTACTGGTAGAGGGTGTGCAGGTTCTTGGCATCTTGAACAGAGAATTGGACAAAACGCACAAAGCAAAGAAAAAGAATGAAGCAACAAAAGCAGAGATTTATTGAAAACAAAAGTACACACCACACAGGGTGGGAGTGGCCCAAGCATAGGGGTTGAAGAGCCCCATTACAGAATTTCCTGGGGTCTAAATACCCTCTAGAGGTTTCCATTGGATACTCGGTGTATGCCCTATGTAAATGGAGAGGATATTCCCTGTCATAGCTGAAGTGTTTCCATTTGATTCACTTCTAGGAAGTCCAGCATGAATTGGCCTTAGGTTCCCTGCCTCCAGACCATATTCTCCTGCCTTATTTCTCCCCTGAGAGATGTGACCCCATAAATCTTTATAGAAGGCAGAGGAACGGATGGTCTTTCTTCTTTAACTACTTTATGCTGGCTTAGGGCATAGTCCCTACCTATTGGGGATCATGGAACGCTAGCCCTGCTCTGTTTAGTGGAGGGAGGATAGTTCCTTGATGGCCGGGGGTGGTCTCTTCACTTGGAACTGGCTGGAACCCATGTTGCATGATCATCTGAAGCTTGATGGTCTCTGAGTAAGAGGAAATGAATTTGGTTAAAAGATTTAATGGGAACTTCAGGGGCTGGGTACCTTTGCTGTCAGGAATGTTTGTTATAGAGATTTGCAGGAGAATAACAAAACCTGGTCTGTGATCTGTTCTAGGATCTATGTGTTTCCTTAAAGTCTTAACATGAGCGACTCCATTTTGGTTTGGTTTGGTCTGTTGGGGCCTAGTGCATGAGCTCAGTTCAAAACAATGGCCTCCCATAATTTTGTTTAAAAAAAATTACCCCTTTTTGGTCACGTTCTCACCTAGGTGAGAACGTGACCAAAACTTACGGCCTTAGCACCACTCTCAGTTACCATCATTTTGGGTTTCTAGTCTCAGAACATCATTCATAGGTTATGGTGTCCTCATGGTCACACATTTCTTTCAGCTCTTGTCATTCCAGTTGAAGAGAGACCATCTGACATTCTAGAGATGGCTGCATGCAAATATTTAAAATGTCTGAGAGAATACAGTGCACCAGGGAGACTATTATCATGACTATTGGGAGGATAATACCAAGAGTTTGGAGTATGCTCCTTACCCAGGGTCCCCATAAACCAAACCTCCTAAAATTAAATAGATTAAAGAATGAGCTACGTAAAGAGTCTACTCACTTAACTAAGCAGGGTCTTCGTTAATCTGCTACAACTGAATCTCTATAATACCCAATGTTTTTTCCATAGGCCATGAGGGCCAGCAGCTTCACAGATACTTCTCTGTTCAGCCAATTCGATCATAACCTTCACAAGAGAACTTAAAGTCTGTTGTGTAACTGTAGCCTTTACAGTAGAATTTGCTATAGAGCCTATCTTGAGGGATACATTTCTAATCATTGCTTATTTTACTCCAAACCATGGAAAAGGACCTAACTAATGATGCCCTTCTAGAAGAGTGAAGGCCTCCTGACAATGTTCTCTTTAACCTATGATGTGCATTAAGAGGAGTGAACCAATGTTCTGTTTCTGACTGATTGTGAGGCAATGTATGTACCATTAAGGTTTCTCACCTACATTGGGCCTCCATCTTTTATCTATCAAAGTACAAGGTTATCCATGTATAAGACTAGCTGCAAACTCCTTCACAAATAAAAGTATACCCCATAAGTGCACATAACAGACCCCTTTTCCACTTCTATTATTCGTAGTGGCATAGGCAAGGAAAAAAATATTCAAAGATAAGGATCTCATGATAGTTGAGAAGTCTTGATTCATGATCCTGGGAAAAGCTGTTCACATCAAGTATGCCATCTTATTCTGGGGAGAAACTTCCCTAGTTAGCTTTACCTTAAGGATTCCAATGGATATACAGTTCCAAGAATGTGGAGGGACCCTTCTCAGTTGTGAGATTATAAACCCAAAGTTCAAGGTCCCAAAATTTTGCTGTAGTGTGGATGGCAAGGACAGTCTTTCTCTGATGTTCTCAGAAGATCCAAACCATAAAAAGCTTTCTTTACCTGGTGAAAATATACCATAGCATAATAATCTACTGTTATAACATCAGCCCTCTTGCATCGGAAAGCTTTTATACAACCAGAAAACATGCATTGAAAATAACAATTGAGGCAGGGTGCAGTGGCTCATGCCTGTAATCCCTACACTTTGGGAGGCTGAGGTGGGCCAGTCACTTGAGGCCAGGAGTTCGAGACCAGCCTGGCCAACATGGTGAAACCCCATCTCTACTAAAAATACAAAAATTAGCTGGGTGTGGTGGCACGTGCCTGTAATCCCAGCTACTCAGGAGGCTGAGGCAGGAGAATCCCTTGAGCCTGGGAGGCAGAGGTTGCAGTGAGCTGAGATCATGCCACTGCACTCCAGTCTGGGTGGCAGAGAGAGACTCCCCAAAAAAAAAAAGAAAAAAGAAAATAACAATTGAAAGAAATTCCTTTATAAAATGTTTAAATGGCCCATCAGGTGACCAAATGTACCTGAAGCTTTGATTGT